>NC_000008.11:20466163-20769193 GCF_000001405.40 Homo sapiens | reverse complement strand
TTTCTCTCTTCTCACCTTCTTTAGCTTGAAATCACCCTGAAATAAGGAAGCCACTAATGAAGGTCTCTATCCCTGGGCACAAAGAAGGTAAAAAGTGGAGAGTGGATCAGGAGATGCCTGCAGAAGGCACCCTGCATACTAGTTGACTGTGTTAACTCACTACACACCTAGTGGAAAGCCAAATGAGTTTCCATAAACATCACCCATCGCAGGGCAACTGATTGAAAGTCTCCAGCCTCTTATGTACCTCAGTGAATGGATCGGTTATTTCTCTGCCATTTCTTCTAAAGCTGAGACATTGGAAATGAAGTTAACAAATTGGACCCCTAGCCGTGAAACCCCAATGGCCTCTTGTTAGGTGCTCAATCCACTCAAATTAGCAACGCCTCCAAAAACACATATTTGTACTTTTCTCCTGGGGACTTGTGTTGGTAAAATCTCCGGACAGTTGGTCAATTCAGTGAGGTAAGAAGCTTCAGCAGCAATCTGTCAATTTTTGGACAGCCAACTGATTCGATTTTCACTCTTCAATCATTTGCTTGGGGCATGATACGCTGTCAATTAATGCCTTATGTCTGCTCTTCATTCTGGATCCTACACTGAATATCCCACCAAGGCTCAACTCCCCAAGTCTGGCTGGGCTCAGTCCTAGCCTAATTCTGGCTAATGTTGCAGTATAATGGGAACCTTGTCTGTTCCCACTGATGAGATTTAGGATTAAACTTCTGCCTTGCTCCTTAAATTCTTTTGCTTAACAGCCAGATATACGTCTCCAGTATCAACCCTTGGGAACTAGATTGTCTAAGTGACGCAACTTTCTTTTTATTCTCCCTCTTCATCTACTGTGTTATCTGAGTCAATAGGGCAAGTCTTATGCTTTGATCTTTACCCTTACTCATTGATTCATTATGTATGAGAACCTATTCTGTGGGTCACTCTATCCTGCTTAGTCATCTGGCTTGGTAGTCCAGGTTATCCTTCTAGGAATGGAATTCAGTATAACCCTTGCCTCCCACTTATCAGTCTATTTTCTGTGAGTAAACATTTCTTGGTGGTTGACTGCCTGTCAATCTTCTAGTCTTCCAGGTATAAACTGATGCCTAGCCACTTGAAGCTATACTTTCTTACCTAACTGGAAGCCACTTTCTGCCTGTCTTACAACTGCCTTTATCACTTCCTTCCCACTCAGCTGACCCTTAGGATCACCATTTACAGAGGGGTACATCCAGGTCTAGAGTCCCACTTTCTCCCAGTTGTGATGTTTGACCCTAGCCCTCATCCCTTATTCATGACAGGGAGCCCTAGAGTAGTTATACCTGTTTCATAGTCAAAGACTTTTAGGACATTTCTATGAAGACTTGCCTGATCCCCTTCAATTAAAATAAATCTGTTGTTTTGCTTTACCAACCTCCAGAAAGGTACTAACTTTATTTTTTACCTATCTTTCTCTTCCATAATCTCTGTGAGGGCAGCGCCAAATTGTATTCATAGCACTTAGCAAACAATGGATGAGTGTATTAGACTGAATGACTGTCTTCCCTGGTAACTGTTGGTCAATGGGAACATGTGATATGGCAAAGACATGTCCTTAGGGGTTTATAGTCACGGATACAGTGGTCAAGTAGAGACATGGACAATGGTCAAGTAGAGACATGGACATGAACATGCTCCATTAGATTGCATGTTAAAGATAAGTAAATGCTAAGTGAAGGCACAAGTAAAGAACCCAAGATCCTAGAAGAAGAAGAAACCATTCTGTGTTCAGAAGACCCAGGTAAGAAGAGGATTCCTGGAAGAACATCAGCATACACTCTTCTCTGTAGTTCTAAAGAAGTACAATGTGTGCCCTTTGGAGGTCCCAGTAGGTCTTGGGACCTTGAGCTGCATTGGTCATTGAATTTTCCCATTCTTTGGCAAAGTTGCTATGAAGTTCCACAAATAGATGTATTCTAAGTGAATCAATGTTTTTATCAGGCTGTACCATGTTGCTTTCACTGTACTTTCTATACTTTCCTTCCCAAGGCAACCAGTACAAGTGGGTCTGACTTCTCACTACGAGTTCAGATAAATTATTTGCTTGTATATCAAAGATTACCCAGGGAGAGAGAAAACCAAAGGAATGACTCAATGATGTTAGAAATCAGACATGGTGGAATCTGACTGGTACAGTAGGTTCTTATTTTGGAATAGAGGTGCTTCTCTCAGCCACTCAGATAACGCTAGGGGGAGAATATATATAATTGTGCCTTTGTGGAGGGGGGTCCATTTAATGTCACCAATCGTATAGATTTGATTCTTATTTGCCTTCACTAATCCTGGAAATGACCTACACAGACACTTTCCCTGTTCAGAAATGAAAGACCACTTTCCCCTTTTGCTCACAAGACAGATGTGAGAAGGGGGAAAGTCCTCAGCATAATAAGAGAACTGCTAGACTTTCAATATTGGGGAGGGTCATCCACTTGAAAGCTCAGCACCCAGGGCTCACCATGCTCAGAGAATGACTCAGAGTTTACATTTTTATAGAACAGCCATTTCCACTTACCTAAAACGATCTGCGTCTAATAATAACAGAGCTGGTTGAGTTGCTGTTCACATCACCCACAGACCATCTTGGAGATTCCTATTTTAAACTCTTTGGCACGTCCTACCCAAACACAAAGGAAAATGCCACCCCTTTCCAACAGCTCATTATCTAGAGAATAGGATGTTTCTACCAAAGACTCAAGAACTCTCAAAATTATGGCTCTTGTCTAGAGAAGGGATTCTGAGATTTTCCATAAGCTCAAGTCTTATCTTCTCCACTGAGCTTTCTCTGACCACTCTAGTTCCATTGATGTTTAGCTTTGTAAAATTAATTTTCTGCAGAATACAGGTGACAACCACGAACCGCTTTGAGGATTTGCATGTAATGGTGTAGTCTTATTTAGTTTTTATTATGAAATATAACGTTTTCATTGGTTAGTCTTGCCTCCAATTGTTTCATAAATCTTTGAGACCAGGAACTGTGTATGTAAATCTTTAAATACTACATAGCTGCATATATAACATAACATTTTGCTTAATAAATATTTATGCAAAAATAAGAATACAGACAGATGTCTGTCCAGTTGGGTTGGAAGCACATCTCTATCTTTTCATTGAAACTGACTTTCACCTTTGTGTTCCATTACTGTATCCCACTGTTTTAACATAGTGCCTGGCACAGAGTGGGTGACCAATAAGTACTTAGGAGGTCACTAAATATAGGAGAGTACTCAGAATTAAATGATTGTTTTTTTCCTAACTTCACCCTCAGACAAGAGTAAAACAAAAATCAATTTGCCTCTAGAATTCATAGACTAGGGAAAGATTCTGAAGGTGCTACTTTTTGTATTCTTCACAAGCAGGAATACTCTTCACCATACCCTAAAATCAATAATCGGATGCTCATTACTTTTCAGAGCAGCTCTATCTATCTAGAGACTCCCTAACTATTACAAACATCTTCCTATGTACATTCTATTCCTGTGTAATAGGATGTCACCTGAGAATTGCTGACCAGAGCCCAAAACTAAAGTAAGAAAAGAGGAGTCTGCTTTGAATGTAATGAAAGGAACCTCCAACAATGGGGCCAGCGACTACCCTCTGAGTTAGTCATGAAGCAGTGGCAGAAGCAGCCTCGCACCTGCCCTCCATGGTCACAAATTCCACATTCCTCCCCACAACCCCTTCCCAATCTATAGAAGCAGAGGCCAGAGAAGGAAGTTGAAGGTAACATTATCTACATTGTGTGCTCTTGAACTCATTTTCAGCTACCTACCAAAGTAAGGAGTCCCCAAGAGATTCAGTGTAGCCATTGGGATGCCTGGAATAATGGACACCAAGCTCTTATTCCCAAACTGAATGCATACCAAGGGTGATGAAAGTTTTCTTTTTTTTTTTTTTTTTTTTTGAAAGAGTCTCACTCTGTCACCCAGGCTGGAGTGCAATGGTGCAAGGGGCTCACTGCAACCTCCGACTTCCAGGTTCAAGCAGTTCTCGTACCTCAGCCTCCTGAGTAGCTGGGATTACAGGGGTGCAACACCACACCTGGCCAATTTTTGTATTTTTAGTAGAAACGGGATTTCACCATGTTGGCCAGGCTGGTCTTGAACAACTGACCTCCGATGATCTGCCTGCCTTGGCCTCCCAAAGTGCTGGGATTACAGACATGAGCCACTGAGCCCGGCCTTTTTAAAATTTTTCTTATTGTAATTCTTATATACATACAATATTTGCCATTTTAACTATATTTAAGTGCACAGGTCTGTGGCATTAAGTACATTCACATTGCTGTGCGACTAGCATCACCATCCAGATCCAGAAATTTTCCATTTTTCCCAAGTGAAACTGTGTTCCTATTAAATACTAATACCCCATTCCCCCTCCCTCAGCATCTTTTTTTTTTTTTTTTTACTCTTGTGGTTAAAACATGTAACATAAAAATCGACCTTTTACATCTATAGTACGGTATTGTCAACAATATGCACATTGATGTATAGCGTATCTCTATAACTTTTTAATCTTGCATGACTGAAACTGTATATTCACTGAAAAGCAACTCCCCATTTTCTTTCGCTTCAGCCCTTACCCACAGTCACCAGTCTACTTTCTGTTTCCCTGAGTTTCACTACATTAGATAATAACTCATGTAAGTGGAATGATTTGGTATTTGTCTTTCTGTGACTGGCTTATTTCACTTTGCATAATATCCTCAAGATTAATCCATGTTGTAGCACAGGACAAAATTTTATTTTTTAAGACTGAATAATATTTCATTGCATGCATGTCACATTTCTTTTTTCCATGCATCTACCAGTGGACTTTTACATTGTGTCTACCTCTTGGCCATTGTGAACAATGCTGCAATAAACATAGGAATGTAAATATCTCTTCAGGATCCTAATTTTAACTCTTTTTGCTAGATACCCACAAGAAGGGTTGCTGCATCATATGGTAGCACTATTTTGAATTTTTTGAGAAACTTCCATACTGTTTCCATAGTAGCTACACCATTTTCCACTGCCACCAACAGTGCACAAGGATTCCAATTTATTCACATCATCGCCAATACTTTATTTTTCTGTTTTATTGTTGTTGTTGTTGGTTTGTTTTTTGAGATGGGGTCTTGCTTTGTTGCCCAGACTGGAGTGCAGTGATGCCATCTCGGCTCACTGCAACCTCTGCCTCCCAGGTTCAAGCGATTCTCCTGCCTCAGCCTCCCGAGTAGCTGGGATTACAGACGTGCACCACCATGCCCAGCATATTTTTGCGTTTTTAATGGAGACGGGGTTTCACCATGTTGGCCAGGATGGTCTTGAACTCCTGACCTTGTGATCTGTCCACCTTGGCCTCCCAAAGTGCTGGGATTACAGGCGTGAGCCACCCCGCCCAGCCCTGTTTTTTTTTTTTTTTTTTTAAATAATAGCCATCCTAGCTTGTCCGAACTGCTATCTCATGGTTTTGATTTACATTTCCTTAACAATTAGTGTTGTTGAGCGTCCTTTTATATACTTGTTGGCTATCTGTGTCTTCTTTGGAGAAATGCCTGTTCAAGTCCTTTGCCCAGTTTTAAAATCTGATTATTTGGGACTTTTTTTTTTTTTCTATTCACCTGTAGGAATTCCTTATATATTTTGGATATTAGTCCCTTATGAGATAGTTTGCAAGTATTTCCTCTCATTCTGTAGATTGCCTTTTCAATCTACTGGTAATTACCTTTGCTGTTCAGAAGCTTTTTAGTTTGACATGAGCACTTTAAAGTTTCAGATGTATGTGAATATAAGGATGGTGTCAGATTATTTCCTGGGCATTTTTGAAGGCAAATAGCTTACTGAAGTAGTCTAACACAGGAGGCTGAGTAGGGACCACCAGTGGAGTCTCTAAAGAAAAAGGTAAGGCAATGGCTACCCCAGGAGCAACTCAGCAGTTTCAGAGCCTCCATATGAAAAAGCACTCAGGTAGAAAAGGAAGCAGATGCACTTTAACAAGAGGGAGATTTGGGGCATGATCTGATGCTCCCAGGAAACTTGACTGCTCCTAAGGGATCCACAGTTACTGAGGAGGGCAAGGTAGAACCGAAGATATCTAGGCACGTGATCTACACAGAGACCACCACATCATGTATGCCACAAGCAGCAGAAGAATGAGACAAACTAGGGAGGGGCATGTAGTTAAGATCACCCCTTCCAATATATCCTGTCACCTTCTGCCAGGCTCCAACAACAAAACAACAACCCGGAGAAGGAGAGAGAGGAATAAAAGAACAAACTATCCCCTGGCCACTGAATATCACTTGAGCCAAACCTGAAACATAATGAGGTTTACATTTCACGTGAATTTCATTGAGTGAAAACAACAGCGTATGTCATTGAGATTTGGAAAAGAAATTGATCTGTTAAACGATGACTGAAGGCATTCATCAGAAAAAAAGAGAAAAAGTATTGTTCAGTATTTGTACCTTATTTTGACTATTCAGGAAAGTGGCTGCATTAATATTGACCCCAAATCAGACTATCTCTACTTTCCATCAACTGATCCTGATCCTTCCCACTAAAGACATCATCTACATCATCTTTCACGCAGGGGCCCTTTGGTTACCAGAAGATGGCTGATTTATCTTCTTTCAGCTGGATATCTGCCATTTTTTTTTTTAACTGTTCACTTAGGCCATTGTTTCTAGAAATTTCACTGTTATTGAGGTTTTCCTTTGGATATTCTCCAAATTGTCAGGACCTATTTAAAATTATGGTAACAGGGAGTGAATCTAGTATTCCTGCAGGGATCTTGCCGAACAAAATAGAGGAAAAATATTTTTGGCCTTGATCTGAAAGCCATACTTGCATACAAATTCTGATTAAGTTGGCTAAAAATTAATATTTGCAGATTTCTTACTTTGTGTCAGATATTAAACTAAGGTCTTCTCTTGTCCTATATCATTCAGTTCTTACAAAAATTATTTTGAAGACATTCTCTTTTGGCTAAGATAGAATAACACAAATCAGATTTATTATCCCACCTAAAATAACTAAAAAGCTGGACTGAATATATGAAAAGACAACAGGACTAAATATTGGACACCAAGCAATAAAAGGCAGTGCTCCCTTAGAGGCAGGAGGAAAACAAACAGAGCCATATGATTGTTCTGACTTACTGCCTAGAGAGTTTTCAAGGCAAGGCATGGAGAGGTGGAGCCCAGGCAAAGCTTAATGGTTTAACTGCGTTGAGGAAGCAGAACTGGGAATCAGGCAAGGATCAGGTGGCTAAAGTTTACAAGGCAGAGATCAGGAGAAGAGAGAGCCATACTTAGAACTTGAGACCTGTAGAAGACTCCTGTTGAGCCTTCAACTAAAGTCTCATTTGCACAGGCATTTAAAGAAGATACTCTAGGCTGGCAAAAGAACCACCTGAGAAAATTAGAAGGAACAATTCTCAGCCATCGCACAGGGCCAGAAAGTGTCTGAGAATGGAAAAATTCAAAATTCACCAAGTACTGAGTAGACTACTAAGAAGGGATTACCTCGGTAGTGGGAAAAAACTAGCCCTAGACTAAATGTATTCATGTTTTGAAAAGATCAAATGGTTTCTGTGTAACTTAACTGTGTCTCAGAACAAAACTTAGGAATATTTTAGGAATAAAAAATATATTCAGACAGCCCAGGCATGGTAGCTTATGCCTGTAATCCCAGCACTTTGGGAGACCCAGGCAGGTGGATCGCTTGGGGCCAGCAGTTCGAGACCAGCCTGTCCAACATGGTGAAACCTCGTCTGTACTAAAATTACAAAAATTAGCCAGGCTTGGTGGCACACACCGCTAGTCCCAGCTACTCAGGAGGCTGAGGCATGGGAATGGCTTGAACCTGGGAGGCGGATGTTGCAAAGTTGCAGTGAGCTGAAATCACACCACTGCACTTAAGCCTGGGTGATAGAATGAGACCTTGGCTAAAAAACAAAACAAAAAAAGATACATATACATACACATACACACAAGATTATATCAAGTATGTAAAAAGCAAAAAAGTACAACCTATAATGGGGATAGAAAGCAAGCAATTGAAACAAAACCAGAAAAGACACAAATCATATAAATGATATAATTAGTAGGCAATTGCATTAAAACAGGTATTATAACTGTATTAATATGTTCAGGAATCTAGAGGAAAATTGAACATATTAAGTAGAGACATGAAAGATACAAGATAGGCCTAAATAGAAATTCTATAGATTAAAAACTACAATGCCTCCAAAAATAAAACACAAAAAAAAACAAAACCAAGCAAACAAAAAACAGTGGATGGGATTTACGGCAGATTAGATATTGTAGAAGAAGAGACTAATGAACTTTAATGCAAAGCAACAAAACTATGCCAAATTTAACACACAAAGGGGAAAAGAGATGAAATAAAGAATGAACAGAGCATCAGTGAGGCATGAGGAAACTTTAAGTAGCCAAGAGGTTCCAGAAAGGAAAAGAGGGAGAGAAAAAAATATTTGAAAAAATAATGTCCAAAATTTTCCTGAATTTAATGAAAAGAAGCTCAACAAAATCCAAATATATTAAACATGAAGAAAGTTACTCCAAGGTGTATCAGAATCAAATTGCTTAGAACCACCGATAAAGTCTTAAATGAGCCAGAGTAAAACAACTTGAGACATACAAAAGAACAAATAGAAAGATGACAGCAGATTTCTCAGTGGAAACAATGCAAACCAGAAGACAATGAAGCAAAATCTTTAGAGTTCAGAGGTGGGTGGGGTAGGGGGAGTTGGGGGTAAGGGAGTAGGCGGCCGGGGGCACAAAAAAGCTAGCAACCTAAAAATCTGTAGTCAACAAAAATATCTTTCATATGGTGAAGGCAAAATAAAGTATTTTTCAAACATACGGAAGCTGAAAGAATTCATTAACAACAGACCTGCATTACAAGAAATGTTAAAGAAAGTCCTTCCAGCAGAAGGAAACAATTTCAGATAGAAAAATATATCCATACAAAGGAATTAAAAGCATTAGAAATGGCTAGTATATTTTTTTCTAATTTAAATCTCCTTAAGCAATAATCAATTGTTCAAAACTAATAACAATGTATTATAAGTTTTATAACATATGTAAAAGTAAAATGTATGAAAACAATGCTACAAAGACTAAAAAGGGGAAATGGAAGGATGCTGTTGAACGGTTCTTATACTATATATGAAGTGGTGTAATACTACTACTTGAAGATTGCGATAGTTAATGATTTACATTACAAACCCTAGAGCAATCAAATAACATTAAAAAGAGGAATAACAAGCCAATGGAGGAGATCAAATGAAATTATAAAAAACAGTCCAAGGGAAGACAGGATGAAAGGAAACTGGAAACAAAGAACAAACAGAAAGCAATTAGTGTTTTGACAGATTAGAACTCAATCATATCAACAACCACATTAAATCTAAATCCTCTATACACCCCAATTAAGAGGCAGAAGTTTGATTTAGGAAAAGCAAAACACAACTATATGTTGCCTACAAGAAGGCAATTTGATACATAAATACACAAATTTATTACAAGGGTAATGATGGAAAAATATAGCAACCTAATACTAATTGGAAAAAGAAGAGAAAGAAACTGAATTGACTATATTATTATCAGACAACATAGATTTCAAAGCAAGATTATTTCAACCTGCTAAAGGGGTCAATTCATCAAGTGGATGCAACAATTCTAAATGTTTGTACATCTAATAACAAAGCTTCAAGATACATGAAGCAAAAACTGAGAAATAAATGCAAATTATAGCTGGAGATTTCAATATACTACTCTTAATAATTGGCCAAACAAGTAGAAAGAAAATCACTAAGGATACAAATGGCTTGAATAATAAATAATACCATTAACCAACTTGATCTAATTTCCATTCACAGAACGTTCCAGCCAACAACATTCAACAGCAATGCACAAATTCTCCTCAAGTGCACATGGAACACAGACCACATTCTGGGCCATAAAAGACGTCTCAATAAACCTGAAAAGATTTAAGTCGTACAAAGTAGGATTTCTGACCACAATAAAATTAAATTTAAAGTCATTTATAGAAAAGTATCTGGAAAAAAATTTAGTAAAATACTTATTTGCTAACTTACACACTTCCAAATGATCCTTGGATAAAAGAAGAAATCAAAAGGCAAATTAAAAATTATTTTTAATTGAATGAAAACAAAAGCACAGTATATAATTTGTGGGGTGAGACACTCTGTGGTTTGAATGATGTTCCTCCAAAATTCATGTTGAAATTTTATTTCAATGCAACAGTATTAGAGGTGTAGCTTTTGAGAGATGACTAATGTGGACCACTCATGAATGAGATTAACACCCTGTAAAAGGGCTCAAGGTTGAAGGGAGCATCTCTCCTGCCCCTCCACCTTCCACCATGTAAGCATACAGCAACAAGGCACCATGTTGGAAACAGAGAGCACCTATCACCAGTCACCAATTCCGTTGCCTTGATCTTGGACTTGCCAATCCCCACAACTGTAAGAAATAAATTTTATTCTTTATAAACTGCCCAGTCTAAGGTATTTTGTTATAGCAACACAAATGGACGAAGACAAGACCTAAATGTAAAATATAAAAATCATAAAACTTCCAGAAGAAAATATAAGAGAAAATCTTTATAATCTTGGATTAGTCAAATATTTTTTAGATACAACAGCAAAAGCATTATCCATAAAAGAAAAAAATATATAAATTGGACTGCAGTGGTTAAAAGGAAAGAACTATTGATATATGCAATATGGATAAATCTCAAAATAATTTTGTTGAGTGAAAAAGCCAGAAAAAAAAGAGCACATATTACATAACTCCACTTATATAAAACTGTAGAAAATGCAAATGAATCTACAGAAAACAGATTAAGAGGTGCCTGGGGAAAAGGTGGAGGTGGGGAGGGGTGTGAGGAAGGGATGACAAAGGAGGGGATAATTGATATACTCATTATCTTAATTACAGTGATAGTTTCACGGGTGCATATGTACTTTAAAACGTATCAAAAAAACACTTTTAAAAAGTGCAGGTTATTGATTTTCAATTATACATCAGTGAAATAAGAATAGGTTCTTTCAGTAAAGCCATCTTACAGATGCAGAATCAGAGCCCCAGGTAAGTAAGTGTCATCTCCCAGGTTTTACATCTACATGTGGCTGGGCCCATACTTGAACTCAATTCTATCTGACTATAAAATTCTTCCCTATTCATTTTCACTGTAGAATGTTGCCTCAGCATTCATGAGGCCCGTACTGAGCTAATACTTGGCCAGATAACTGAGGACTTTCTCAGATGCACTGCTTTCAGGTATGAACTCTCCCAAACAGAGCTAATGTAGCTGTGAACATAGGGAGGAACGTGGAGCTCGATGTGAGCTTCTGTCAGCCGTCTAACTATATTTTATCCCTGAGTAATATCAGCCAGTCCTGTAGCTTGAAACCTCATCTTCATGTGTGATAACTTTCAAATGTGTACCTTCATCCATGAGTTCCAGGTTTGTGTACCCTATGACCAAAAAAAAAAAAAAAAGGCTACTCCTAACAACAATAAAAACAGCCTAAAAAAACTGTATTGACAGAAACATGGGGAATCCTTCTCTAATAACAAAGCAGATGAGTTTATAACAAGAAAAACTTGCCCAGACTTCATTTCATAAAAACACCTGGAATTGGATAGAAAAACATTTTCTTATTTCCCTGTCATCTTTCTCATATCTCAAAGACCTGTGTCTTCTAACTCTTGATTGGGAAAGTGATTCTTCCATCAGCAGCATGGCTGTGCACTGGGGAGGAGTGTGATCCACATATCCTGGGTGTTGGCAAACTCCGAATATAGATAATGTGCGGCACATTTGGAAGTTACACTGAGAACAAAGTCAAAGCAACGTGTCTTGATGACTCAGAGGAAGAGCAGTACTCCATAAACATCTACTGTGAGATGAAAAAACTGTTTGACATTTTCAAAAGAATACAGAAGAACTGGTTTCCAAAAAAGCCAGGACAAATAATAAAAGAAGTAAAAGAAATACAGGCAGAAGAATCAAAATGGGACAATGTATAGTGGGATGAATTGAAAACAGAAATAGATAATATAGAGAAGAATTACAAGAAAAGTTAAAAATAAGAAAGCAAAATTAAAATTTTTCTTTGGGATTGCAAAACTGTCACGCAACAGAGGAAACTTAAGGAGATACATGGTGGCGAAACGCATTGTGGAATCCTGGATGCGATCCTGGAACAGAAAAAAATAAAGAAATCTGTAGGAAAGATAAATTCGAATAACTGGAGTTTGGTTGATAATAATGTCATATACAGTGGCAGGCAGAATAAAGTCCTCCTAGCTCCAAGATACCTATCTCCAAATTCCTGGAATCTGTGACCTGTCTTGGCAAAAAGAACTTTGTAGATATGGCTAAATTAAGGAGCTTGAGATAAAGAGCTAACCTGGATTATCTGGATGGGCCCTGTAAAATCATAAAAGGTCCTTTTAAGAGGAAAGTGAGAAGGTCAATAGAAGAAGGAGATAAGACAACCTCTGGAAACAGAGGTTGGAGTGACGTGCTCTGAAAAAGAGGCCTCGAGACAAGGAGCACAGGCAGTCCACGGAAACCAGAAAAGACAAGGAAGCCCCTTCTCCCCTAAAGCCTCTGAAGGGTCATGCCTGGACATTAGAACTTTGACCTCTGTTGTATTTGTTACAGCAGTAATAAGAAACTAAAACATGTCCCAATGTTGGTCTCAAACAGTGAAAAATGAGCCAAGGTAATGTAAAATGTTGACCTATGGGGAACTGAGTGAGGGTGGAGGGAACGTTATGTACTGTCTTTGCAACTTTTCTGTAAATGTAAAATTATTCCAAAAGAATAGTTTATTTAAAAACGCTTTGGGGCCTTAAAAACAGAAACTGATACTGCAGAAAATCGATTAGTGTAGAAAACAAGTGAAAGTCTCTCTCAGAATACAAAAGAAAAAGACATAAAAATGGTCGCCAACATGGAAGGCAAAGGACAAGTATAGAATGTCTGGATTACTGCGATTTTGGAAGAAGAGATCAGAACAAAATAAATAGAAACAATAAACCTATTGTGCCAGAAGAAATTCTTTCTGAACTAAGGAAAAACCTGGGCTTGTAAACCTATTTTGGCATTTAAAAAAATAACAGGAATAAAAATCCTGTAAAATTTCATCCAGAAAAAAAATCAGGTTGCTTTTAATGGGGCATCAGTCAAACTGGCTTAGGTGGTCTTCAGTACACGTAGGTGGGTTTCCTGCCTGTCGGAGCTCAACATTCTGCCCAAAGCTCTTTTATATTGTGGTAGATACTTGGCTCAAGCTGGAAATGCCTGATTATCTTTTTCAGGAATGAGAAACCTGGATAGAAAGACTGGATAGAAACCATACAACATTTATGGTAATTATTTTGAACTTTCTCACCTTCCCAATGTTTGAATTTTAGCTATTCCTCCATTTATAAAGTGATCCTTTCAACAAATGTCTTGTTTTCTTAAGTTAGTCACAGTCATTCTCTTTCTCTTACAATCAAAATAACTTTAATTTGTACACTTCCAGAAGATCCAAATTGCACTGGCCTCAGGAGTCTCCTCTGTAACACTGAAACCCACGAGATAACAGAGCAACTTTATGGTAAGGGAAAACATGTATTATGCAACAATTTTATATTCGTTAAAATGTTCTTGGCAGATATGCAAGAACCCAGAAAAGATGGGTTGGTCAACGGATACAATCATATAGTGTGATAGAAGGAATAAAATTTAGTGTCCAGTAGCACCATAAAGCAATAGAGTTGACAATAATTTATTACATATTTCAAACTAACTAGAAGAGTAGATCCGGAATGTTCCCAACACAAACAAATGATAAATCTTTCAGGTAATGAATATTTCAACTACTCAGATTGAATTATCACACATTGTAAAACTGTATCCAAATATTACATGTACCCCATAACAATGTACAACTATTATATATCCATAAAAATTAAAAATTAAAAAAGAAAAACAAAATATAACACCCCAATATACATCGAACAGAAGAATTACTTGAAGACAACTTTATTATGCTGAACAAAAGTTAGCGCTCAAGAATGGGAAAACTATAATGTAGAAGGAATGACAGTCCTACAATTAGTAAAACAGAATTGTCTTAAAACTACAAGTCTGGCTCAAAAGGAACACAGGCATTAAAGTGTTTCTTGAAACAGTGGATATGTATTGTAGAATTTATTAATTTGAAACTGTTAAAATAGCTGTAGTTTTATTAATAGATTACATCACATTATAATAACAAAATTATATTAGCAAAAACCACAAAGGTGAAAGGGGAAAAGTAAAGTACGTTAAAATGTTGCCAAACTCTTGCGTCAGGGGTACATCAACATAAGCCCTATTCATTTCCAAACATAGATTTGGAAAATGTTTTTGAAAAACTTCAAAGAAATCATCATAGTAACAACTTATTTATCTTCAGAAATAGTGGCCATGAAAATGAACAAGCTAAATATAGTTCATTTAACAAAAGACAATAAGGAAAGAGAAGAGACAGCAGAGAAACTTCGTATGATAGGATTATAAAAGTGAGACTGAAGTTTTAACTACAGCTATAAAGGTAAAACGGGTCGGGTGCGGTAGCTCATGCCTGTAATCCCAGCTCTTTGGGAGGCCGAGGCAGGTGGATCACAAGGTCAGGAGATCAAGACCCTCCTGGCTAACATGGTGAAACTCCGTCTCTACTAAAAATACAAAGAAATTAGCAGGACGTGGTGGCAGGCACCTGTAGTCCCAGCTACTCAGGAGGCTGAGGCAGGAGAATCGCTTGAACCTGGGAGGCGGAGGTTGCAGTGAGCCAAGATTGTGTCACTGCACTCCAGCCTGGGTGACAGAATGAGACTACCTCTCAATAAATAAATAAATAAATAAAATAAAGGTAAAACGTACTAATCTCCTCAATTCAGTCAGAGACGTGTGGATTGGCCTGAGCAGTAAAGTACGTTATATGGAATATTATAAAGACATCACTAAGACAAAACTAAACAAGACTAAATGAAACAAGAAAAATTAAGGGAAAAATAACATATTGAAGAAAAAATCTTAAGCAGTAGTCATAGCTTTAATGTTAGACTAAGAAAATGTCAAGGCAAAAAATGGAATTCCTATGTATCAATACCAAATTCTTCCTATTAATGTAAAACATCTTTAGCAGTGCTTATGTAACACTATAAAATTTTATCATATAATGGAAAAAAAATTCAACAAACAACTACTACAGGTGATATTCTCCAGTAATGATACCATTCTATAAAATAATTTTTAAAGTTCATATTTAAAAATCCCAAATCACTCATCATTAAAAACTAAGAACTCCTAAATATCTCTCAGATCAAAGAAAAAACAAAATGTGAATTAGAGTGAATAACAAAGCAAATCTTTGATATCAAATTTATGTGATGTGGCCAAATTGTGTTGAAATTTTAAATTCTTCGCTTTAAATAATCATTTTTGTAGTTTTGAAATGATGAAAATAAATTAACTGAATGTTCTACTAGAGAAGTTGGGGGAGGGACATTTTCACATGAAAATTAGGAAGAAAGAATTTATACAGATTTTTTTAAACTGCTGATTTTAAAAACTGTAAGTCCACTTTCATACTGCTATGAAAAAATACCTGAGACTGGGCAATTTATAAAGAAAAGGAGGCTTAATGCACTCACAGTTCCACATGGCTGGGGAGGCCACACAATGATGGTGGAAGGTGAAGAAGGAGCAAAGGCACATCTTACATGACAGCAGGCAAGAGAGCTTGTGGAGGGGAACTCCCCTTTATAAAACAATCAGATCTTGTGAGACTTATTCACCATCAAGAGAACAGCACAGGAAAGACCCACCCCCATGATTCAATTACCTCCCAACAGGTCCCTCCCACAAAACATGGGGATTATGGGAGCTACAATTCAAGATGAGATTGGGTAGGGACACAGCCAAATCATACCAAAAACAGAAAAGGAATTTAATATATTTAGTCTATATATGCTCTTTTCCTTATGTCGTACTACCTTTTATATTATGGAAATAGGCTGGTTATGAATTCTAGTTTTCAGTTTTGTAATGTTCGCATTTTCAAAGTGATCTGAGAATATGTTCTGGGAGCAAACTGTCAACTGGATATTTATAGAGTGTTGGTTGCTGGGCAGCAGTGGAGTGGGAAAGGGAAGCTTCTACAAGGAAATGAAGAATAGTGCAACCAAAAGTATCTCAGAATCCCCTGGATTCTAGGTACTACAATGGAATACCAGTCTGGGATCTCCTTATCTCATGTACATGTGGTTACCTCTCAATCCCATCTCTGTGTTACTTGGTCTTATCAACTAAGTTTTTCGAATACAAATAATGCTGTAATAAGTAATTATTTATTGTATAATTGTTATAAAATAGTAATTATGCCTCACTTTTGCGATGTTGTATCTTACACTTGCTGTTATATCCAATACTGGACTGTCTGAGCAGATTGAGAATATATCCAGAGCAACAGTAAAGGAAGGGTCCCCAAAATCATTTGTTGGTGAAGAACCGGACATCTGGCATTTTAGAAAATTATTAAAATACTCATTAGATTTTTGCTGGGCTTCCTTACGCTTATTTTACAGTTCAATGTTGGCTTCATTTAATTACATAAGTAAGAATGCAGTCTCAGTTTCTAGGACATCTCATTGTTCTAACTGGGCTGTTTGACAAACATTATCTCAGCAGGGCTAGTAGCGGGAAGACTGTGATCTCTGGAGCCACAGAGCTCTGGTTGCAAGTCCCAGCTCCACCAATTTCAAGTTTTATGAATCTGGTGATGTTTCTTCTTGATAAAATGAAGTTGGCTGATATTCTCAACTGTAAAATGAAAACAATGTAAACTACTTCCTAGTCTCATGAAAATTAAATGAGATAATATAAAGTGTTTAGTACAGAGCAGGAACTTGGTGCATGTCCACTTCCTTTCTGCTGATCATTCCATTCTTCGATGCTCTAGGTGTTACCGTGCTCGCTTTATAGAGGAACGCTCATTCTATAGAGGAAGATAGAGAACATGCTCCCAAAGGTAAGACATTTTAAACCCTCTTTGATACTCCCAGTGAAACTAAGAACAATGGTTTCTCACCTCATCTTTTCCCTCAACTTCCTGTTGCCTTCAACTCTAATGAGCAAGCTGAGGAATGATTCTTGGCAAGTTCTAGTGAGAATAAAGACCTGGAATCCCAAAAGCCTCCACTCACAGGGGCAATTTCTGGCATATCCCTTGGCTTCTGCCTCTTACCTGCAGCCAATGATATAAAGCTTCTGCTTACTGCTTAGTCAGTCCACTGCCTCCTACATCTCTCTCAGGAGCTCCTACAACTTTGTAAGCAACTTCGGTCAATTACCATGTCTACTGTCTGTGAAGCGCTGTTGCCTCTCCCCAGATACAGAGCCCTCAGGTCTCTAAAGCCATTCAGTGTTTTTCAAAATTAGAATGCTTTCTGCTTTTTAAAAAATTCCTGACTATTAAAAATATGTTGGCCAGGCACGGTGGCTCACGCCTGTAATCCCTGCACTTTGGGAGGCCGAGGTGGGCAGATCACGAGGTCAGGAGTTCAAGACCAGCCTGGCCAACATAGTGAAACTCTGTCTCTACTAAAAATACAAAAAATTAGCTGGACATGGTGGCAGGTGCCTATAATCCTAGCTACTTGGGAGGCTGAGGCACGAGAATTGCTTGAACCTGGGAGGAGGGGGTTGCAGTGAGCCAAGATAGTGCCAATGCACAACAGTCTGAGTGACAGTGTGAGACTCCATCTCAAAAAAAAAATTATACATATATATGTGCATGTATATATATGTATAGATGTATGTGTAGATATATAATGTGTGTGTGCGTGTGTGTGTGTGTGTATATATATACACACACACCTCAAAGATCCTTCCTGCAAAAAAAGCCTTACAGGACATTTTAGTAAGATAATTCATTTTCTACTTTCCCCTCTCTCAATACGTCCAGAGCTTCAGAAATATATAGAAGGTGGATATTAGAAAGAGGACAGAGCTGGCCAGGCACAGTGGCTCATGCCTGTAATCCCAGCACTTTGGGAGGCAGAGGTGGGTGGGCTGAGCTTGAGCTCAGGATTTCGAGACCAGCCTGGGCAACCCAGTGACCTAGTGAAATCTTGTTTCTACTAAAAATACAAATAATTATAATACTAATAATAATAATAATAGGCGTGGTAGTGCACACCTGTGATCCTAGCTACTTGGGAGGCTGAAGTGGGTGGCTGGCTTGAGAGACGGAGGTTACAGTGAGCTAAGATATTACCACTACACTCCAGCCTGGTGACAGAAACAGACCATGTCTCCAAAAATTAAAAAAAAAAAAAAAAAAAAAAAGAAAGACAGAGCTGAATGACAAATTCAAGGATTTAATTAGAGTTTTCCTTCCTGGACCAAGCTTGCAGGCATGGCCGTTTTTCTATAAGGATGAGTTTTCTCCCTGGAGAAGAAATACATTTCTGATAGGCTCTTGCATATCTGAATCTCCATGATACACACAGCCAAACCCCTCCTCTTCTGCTCACTGACACCACAAACCTACTCTGCTTCTGACTTACTGTGCAAGCTGCAAACCTCAATGGACAGGTCACTCCACAAGAAGTCTCAGAGCCCCTTGGAAAATAACTTAAAACTTTATACTAAAAAATGGAAAAAGAAGGAATAAAGAACGTGAGGATAAGTAGGAAGTTTAACAACATTATTGATACCTCTTAGCCACGTCAAGAAAAACAAAATTGTAACCCCCAGAATTCTCTCTACGTTTTCCTAGTTACATCTCACACCATTCCCACTAAAGGTAGCCATTATTCCAACTTTTTTGATAATCACTTATTTGTTTTATATTCTGTATTAGTTTCCCAGGGCCGCCATAAAAAAATGACCACAAACCAAGTGGTTTACAACAATAGAAATTTATTTTCCCATTGTTCTGGAGGCTAGAAGTGAAATCAAAATGTTTGCAGGGTCATATTCTCTCCAAAGGCTCCAGAAGAGTCCTTTCTTGCCTCTTCCAAGCTTTTAGTGGCTCCCAACAACCTTGCCATTCCCAAGCTGTGGACACATGACTACAGTCTCTGCCTCTGTCTTCACATGGTATTCTCCCTGTGTGTGTCCACAGAGTCTTCTTTTTGTTTTGTTTTGTTTTTTGAGATGGAGTTTCACTCTTGTCGCCTAAGCTGGAGTGTAATGGTGCAATCTCGGCTCACTGCAATCTCCACCACCCAGGTTCAAACGATTCTCCTGCCTCAACCTCCCAAGTAGCTGGGATTACAGGCACGCACCACCACACCAGGCTAATTTTTGCATTTTTAGTAGAAACGGGGTTTCACCATGTTGGCCAGGCTGGTCTTGAACTCCTGGCCTCAGGTGATCCACTTGCCTCAGCCTCCCAAACTGCTGGGATTACAGGCGTAAGCCACCATGCCCGGCCACAGGGCCTTCTTATAAGGACATGAGTTGTCTGATTTAGTACCCATCTTAATGTAAGATAACTACATTGTAACACAACTGCATCTGCAAAGACCCTATTTCCAAAAATAAAAAGCTAACATTTATAGGTTCCAGGTAAACGTGAATTTTGGGAGGTTACTATTCAAATCAGTACATACTCTTAAAACTTCAGTGTATAATCATTCCTAAATATTCTAGCTTCATTTTCCCTGTTTTTGAACTTTATAAAATGGAATCCTACAATACGTATTTTTATCTTGCTTCTTTCACTCAAACTTATGTGTGTGATATTCAGCCACGATACTACACGTAGTTGAGATATGTTTCTTTTCATTGCTTCATGATATTCTACTATATGAATATACTTTGTTTATCTAATACTCCTGATGGATATTTTGAGTATACACCAATATATACCAAGTTTGTGTTTATTATGAATATGTGCTCTGTACCTTCTTCAGCATGTCTTCTGACGTGCATATGTGTGCATATTTTTGAATACATACCTGGAAAAGACTAAATAGTGAAACCTGCAAATGTTATCCTACTTGAGAAAAGGGTTTTTGCTGATGTGATTGAGGATTTTAAAATGAGATTGTTCTGGATTAGCTAGATAGGCTTGAAATCCAATCAATCACAAGTATCCTTATAAGAAAGAGACAGAGGGAAAAGAGGAAGAGGTGATGTGACTACAAAAGCAGAGATTGGAGTGATGTGGCCTTCAGTCAAGGAACGTAGCAGCCAGCAGGAACTGGAAAAGTGGAGTAACTGATTTTTCCCTAGAGTCCCTGGAGGGAACATGACCCCCTGTCTTTTTTTTTTTTTTTAATGTATTCACTGTATTTTTTTTATTATACTTTAAGTTCTAGGGTACATGTGCACAACGTGCAGGTTTGATACATAGGTATACATGTGCCATGTTGGTTTGCTGCACCCATTAACTCGTCATTTACATTAGGCATTTCTCCTAATGCTATCCCCCCGCCCCCAACCCTGACAGGCCCCAGTGTGTGATGCTCCCCACCCTGTGTACAAGCGTTCTCATTGTTCAATTCCCACCTATGAGTGAGAACACGCGGTGTTTCATTTTCTGTCCTTGTGATAGTTTGCTGAAAATGATGGTTTCCAGCTTCATCCATGTCCCTGCAAAGGACATGAACTCATCCTTTTTTATGGATGCATAGTATTCCATGGTGTATATGTGCCACATTTTCTTAATCCAGTCTATCATTGATGGGCATTTGCTTGGTTCCAAGTCTTTGCTATTGTGAATAGTGCCGCTATAAACATACGTGTGCATGTGTCTTTATAGCAGCATGATTTATAATCCTTTGGCTATATACTCAGTAATGGGATCGTTGGGTCAAGTGGTATTTCTAGTTCTAGATCCTTGAGGAATCAACACACTGTCTTCCACCATGGTTGAACTAATTTACACCCCCACCAACAGTGTAAAAGTGTTCCTATTTCTCCACATCTTCTCCAGCACCTGTTGTTTCCTGACTTTTTAATGATTGCCACTCTAACTGGTGTGAGGTGGTATCTCATTGTGGTTTTGATTTGCATTTCTCTGGTGGCCAGTGATGATATTTTTTCGTGTGTCTGTTGGCTGCATAAATGTCTTCTTTTGAGAAGAGTCTGTTCATATCCTTCGCCAACTTGTTGATGGGTTGTTTTATTCTTGTAAATTTGTTTGAGTTCATTGTAGATTCTGGATACTAACCCTTTGTCAGATGAGTAGATTGCAAAAATTTTCTCCCATTCTGTAGGTTGCCTGTTCACTCTGATGGTAGTTTCTTTTGCTGTGCAGAAGCTCTTTAGTTTAATTAGATCCCATTTGTCAATTTTGTCTTTTGTTGCCATTGCTTTTGGTGTTTCAGACATGAAGTCCTTGCCCATGCCTATGTCCTGAATGGTATTGCCTAGGTTTTCTTCTAGGGTTTTTATGGTTTTAGGTCTAACATTTAAGTCTTTAATCCATCTTGAATTAATGTTTGTATAAGGTGGAAGGAACAGATCTGGTTTCACGTTCTACATATGGCTAGCCAGTATTCCCAGCACCATTTATTAAATAGGGAATCCTTTCCCCATTTCTTGTTTTTGTCAGGTTTGTCAAAGATCAGATGGTTGTAGATATGCGGCATTATTTCTGATGGCTCTGTTCTGTTCCAATGATGTATATCTGTGTTTTGGTACCAGAACCATGCTGTTTTGGTTACTGCAGCCTTGTAGTTTGAAGTCAGGTAGCGTGATGCCTCCAGCTTTGTTCTTTTGACTTAGGACTGTCTTGGCAATGCGGGCCCTTTTTTGGTTCCATATGAAGTTTAAAGTAGTTTTTTCCAATTCTGTGAAGAAAGTCATTGCTAGCTTGATGGGGATGGCATTGAATCTATAAATTACCTTGGGCAGTATGGCCATTTTCATGATATTGATTCTTCCTACCCATGAGCATGGAATATTCTTCCATTTGTTTGTGTCCTCTTTTATTTCGTTGAGCAGTGGCTTGTAGTTCTCCATGAAGAGGTCCTTCACATCCCTTGTAAGTTGGATTCCTAGGTATTTTATTCTCTTTGAAGCAATTGTGAATGGGAGTTCACTCATGATTTGGCTCTCTGTTTGTCTGCTTTGGTGTATAAGAATGCTTGTGATTTTTGTACATTGACTTTGCATCCTGAGACTTTGCTGAAGTTGCTTATCAGCTTAAGGAGATTTTGGGCTGAGACGATGGGGTTTTCTAGATATACAGTCATGTCATCTGCAAACAGGGACAATTTGACTTCCTCTTTTCCTAATTGAATACCCTTTATTTCTTTCTCCTGCCTGATTGCCCTGGCCAGAACTTCCAACACTATGTTGAATAGGAGTGGTGAGAGAGGGCATCCCTGTCTTGTGCCAGTTTTCAAAGGGAATGCTTCCAGTTTTTGCCCATTCAGTATGATATTGGCTGAGGGTTTGTTATAAATAACTCTTATTTTGAGATACGTCCCATCAATATCTAATTTATTGAGTTTTTAGCATGAAGCATTCTTGAATTTTGTCAAAGGCCTTTTCTGCATCTATTGAGATAATCATGTGGTTTTTGTCTTTGGTTCTGTTTATATGCTGGATTACGTTTAGTGATTTGTGTATGTTGAACCAGCCTTGCAACCCAAGGATGAAACTCTCTTGATCATGGTGGATAAGCTTTTTGATGTGCTGCTGGATTTGGTTTGCCAGTATTTTATTGAGGATTTTTGCATCAATGTTCCTCAGGGATGTTGGCCTAAAATTCTCTTTTATTGTTGTGTTTCTGCCATGCTTTGGTATCAGGATGATGCTGGCCTCATAAAATGAGTTAGGGAGGATTCCCTCTTTTTCTATTGATTGGAGTAGTTTCGGAAGGAATGCTACCAGCTCCTACTTGTACCTTTGGTAGAATTCAACTGTGAGTCAGTCTGGTCCTGCACTTTTTTTGGTTGGTAGTCTATTAATTATTACCTCAATTTCAGAGCCTGTTATTGGTCTATTCAGGGATTCAACTTCTTCCTGGTTTAGTCTTGAGAGGGTGTATGCATCCAGGAATTTATCAATTTCTTCTAGATTTTCTAGTTTATTTGTATAGAGGTATTTATTCTCTGATGGTAGTTTGTATTTCTGTGGGATCGGTGGTGATATCCCCTTTATCACTTTTTATTGTGTCTATTTGATTCTTCTCTCTTTCCTTCTTTATTAGTCTTGCTAGCAGTCTATCAATTTTATTGATCTTTTAAAAAAAACCAGCTCCTGGATTGATTTTTTGAAGGGTTTTTTTGTGTCTCTATCTCCTTCAGTTCTGCTCTGATCTTAGTTATTTTTTGCCTTCTGCTAGCTTTTGGATGTGTTTGCTCTTGCTTTTCTAGTTCTTCTAATTGTGATGTTAGGGTGTCAATTTTAGATCTTTCCTGCTTTCTCTTGTGGGCATTTAGTGCTACAAATTTCCCTCTACACACTGCTTTAAATGTGTCCCAGAGATTCTGGTATGTTGTGTCTTTGTTCTCGTTGGTTTCAAAGATTTCTGCCTTCATTTCATTATGTACCCAGTAGTCATTCAGGAGCAGGTTGTTCAGTTTCCATGTAGTTGAGTGGTTTTGAGTGAGTTTCTTAATCCTGAGTTCTAGTTTGATTGCACTGTGGTCTGAGAGACAGTTTGTTATCATTTCTGTTCTTTTACATTTGCTGAGGAGTGCTTTACTTTCAACTATGAGGTCAATTTTGGAATAAGTGTGATGTGGTGCTGAGAAGAATGTATATTCTGTTGATTTGGGGTGGAGAGTTCTGTAGATGTCTATTAGGTCTGCTTGGTGCAGAGCTGAGTTCAATTCCTGGGTATCCTTGTTAACTTTCTGTCTCGTTGATCTGTCTAATGTTGATAGTGGGGTGTTAAAGTCTCCCATTATTATTGTGTGGGAGTCTAAGTCTCTTTGTAGGTCTCTAAGGCTTGCTTTATGAATCTGGGTGCTCCTGTATTGGGTGCATATATATTTAGGATAGTTAGCTCTTCTTGTTGAGTTGATCCCTTTACCATTATGTAATGGCCTTCTTTGAAGTCTCTTTGGATCTTTGTTGGTTTAAAGTCTGTTTTGTCAGAGACTAGGATTGCAACCCCTGCCTTTTTCTGGTTTCCATTTTCTTGGTAGATCTTCCTCCATCCCTTTATTTTGAGCCTCTGTGTGCCTCTGCACATGAGATGGGTCTCCTGAATACAGCACACTGATGGGTCTTGACTCTTTATCCAATTTGCAAGTCTGTGTCATTTAATTGGAGCATTTAGCCCATTTACCTTCAGGGTTAATATTGTTATGTGTGAACTTGATCCTGTCATTACGATGTTAGCTGGTTATTTTGCTCATTAGTTGATGCAGTTTCTTCCTAGCCTTGATGGTCTTTACAATTTGGCATGTTTTTGCAGTGGCTGGTACCAGTTGTTGCTTTCCATGTTCAGTGCTTCCTTCAGGAACTCTTGTAGGGCAGGCCTGGTGGTGACAAAATCTCTCAGCATTTGCTTGTCTGTAAAGGATTTTATTTGTCCTTCACTTATGGAGCTTAGTTTGGCTGGATATGAAATTCTGGGTTGAAAATTCTTTTCTTTAAGAATGTTGAATATGGCCCCCACTCTCTACTGACTTGTAGAGTTTCTGCCGACAGATCTGCTGTTAGTCTGATGGGCTTCCCTTTTTGGGTAACCCGACCTTTCTCTCTGGCTGCCCTTAACATTTTTTCCTTCATTTCAACTTTGGTGAATCTGACAATTATGTGCCTTGGAGTTGCTCTTCTCGAGGAGTATCTTTGTGGTGTTCTCTGTATTTCCTGAATTTGAATGTTGGCCTGCCTTGCTAGGTTGGGGAAGTTCTCCTGGATAATATCCTGCAGAGTGTTTTCCAACTTGGTTCCCTTCTCCCCATCACTTTCAGGTACACCAATCAGAAATAGATTTGGTCTTTTCACATAGTCCCATATTTCTTGGAGGCTTTGTTCATTTCTTTTTACTTTTTTCTCTAAACTTCTCTTCTCACTTCATTCATTTGATCTTCAATCACTGATACCCTTTCTTCCAGTTGATCGAATTGGCTGCTGAAGCTTGTGCATTTGTCATGTAGTTCTCGTGCCATGGTTTTCAGCTCCATCAGGTCATTTAAGGACTTCTCTACAGTGGCTATTCTAGTTAGCCATTCATTTAATGTTTTTTCAAGGTTTTTAGTTTCTCCGAACTTCCTCCTTTAGCTCGGAGAAGTTTAATCATCTGAAGCCTTCTTCTCTCAACTCGTCAAAGTCATTCTCCATCCAGCTTTGTTTCTTTGCTGGTGAGGAGCTGCATTCCTTTGGAGGGGGAGAGATGCTCTGATTTTTAGAATTTTCAGCTTTCCTGCTGTTTTTTCCCCGTCTTTGTGGTTTTTCCTACCTTTGGTCTTTGATGATGGTGACATACAGATTGGGTTTTGGTATGGATGTCCTTTCTGTTTGTTAGTTTTCCTTTAAACAGTCAGGACCCTCAGCTGCAGATCTGTTGGAGTTTCCTGGAGGTCCACTCCAGATGCTGTTTGCCTGGGTATCAGCAGCGGAGGCTGCAGAACAGCGAATATTGCTGAACAGCAAATGTTGCTGCCTGATTGTTCCTCTGGAAGCTTTGTCTCAGAGGGGTACCTGGCCGTATGAGGTGTCAGTCTGCCCCTACTGGAGGGTGCTTCCCAGTTAGGCTACTTGAGGGTCAGAGACCCACTTGAGGAGGCAGTCTGTCCTTTCTCAGATCTCAAACTCCATGCTGGGAGAACCATTACCTTCTTCAAAGCAGTCAGACAGGGACATTTAAGTCTGCAGAAGTTTCTGTTGCCTTTTGTTCGGCTATGCCCTGCCCCCAGAGGTGGAGTCTACAGAGGCAGGCAGGCCTCTTGAGCTGCGGTGGGCTCCACCAAGTTCGAGCTTCCAGGCTGCTTTGTTTACCTACTCAAGCCCCAGCAATGGCGGGAGCCCCTCCCCCAGCCTCGCTGCTGTCTTGCAGTTCGATCTCAGACTGCTGTGCTAGCAGTGAGCGAGGCTCCATGGGCATGGGACCCTCTGAGCCAGGCGCAGGATATAATCTTCTGGTGTGTTGTTTGCTAAGACCATTGGAAAAGTTCAGTATTAGGGTGGGAGTGACCCGATTTTTCAGGTGCTGTCCATCACTGCTTCCCTTGGCTAAGAAAGGGAATTCCCTGACCCCTTGCACTTCCTGGGTGAGGCGATGCCTCACCCTGCTTCGGCTCACACTTGGTGGGCTGCACCCACTGTCCTGTTCCCACTGTCTGACAAGCCCCAGTGAGATGAACCCAGTACCTCAGTTGGAAATGCAGAAATCACCCGTCTTTTGCATCGCTCACACTAGGAACTGTAGACTGGAGCTATTCCTATTTGGCCATGTTGGAACCAGGCCCCGACCCTCTGTCTCTTTGATTTTAGCCCTGTAGTACTAATTTCTGACTTCTGGCCTCTTGAACTGTGAGAAAATAAATTTCTGTTGTTTTAAAACCATCAAGTTAGAGGTAACTTTTGACAGCAGACATAGGAAATAATACAATACCTGAAAGTAGAACTGTCCGAGTATGGCCATGCTTATTTTCAAATTTAGTGTATAATACTAAACAGTTTTTAAAAAATGATTATAGCAACAACAACTTAAAACTGTTGTAGCAACCAACTGAAGTGGTTGTAGCGCTTCACAACATCAATGTAGAGAAGTCTCTATCACTGTAGGTCCTCAGAGCTGTTGTTCAAGGCAGCTAAGATACAATGGAGGTATTCTGTGTAGACTACAGAGGTTTCAAGCCAGAGACACCTGCTCAGCATTTTATCTGTCTCTTTTCGATAGAATTCTCTTTTGTGAGATATCTCATCCTTGAAGAGATTCCTGGTATTAGACCTCTGAAAGCCAGTGAGCCACACTGCCTGGACTTTGGAATGGAGTAGGCACAGAAGAGCTAGGGCTGGTATCCACAATGCCAAGGCAGTTCCCAGCACTGGACCAAGATGAAAATTGAAGGATTTTGCTTCATTAATTTGGGAGGCAAAGTATGCCTCACCAACACAATGGTGATCTCCAAATTCTTGAGGATTAGGTAGCCAGTAGCTTCCCCTCTTTGGGGTACATGAAAGTGACTAGATATATATTTCACAAGGAGCAGCAAAGGATCCAAGAACAAATGACTAGTCAAGGATAGGGCAGCTCACAAAATTAATGCCATGCCTTGAGTTAGCTCAAAAGCCACCCTATACTTTATAAAATGCAAATTATCAGGTGGAAGTGTTAATACACAGATGTTTAGGAACATAATCCCTTCCCCTCAAAAATAAAAAACCTTAGCAGGTGGAGACTTGGCAAGATGACAAGATGACTGTTGCACGGAGGTGGTTTGCTCAGGATACACCAGGCGAAAGAAAAGAAAGACAAGACAAAGAAGGGAAAGAACTCTATGCCACCCTTTGTTAAAAAGAAGAGTGATGCAGAGTTCCACAGACACAAAAGTCCTGTGAAAGATTTGGGTATGGGCTGCAAGACACCAGAGGAAATGGGTGCATGTGGGAGGATGGAAATTTCAAGTCAGAATAAAACTCTCCAATGATAAGGATGCAAGCTCTAGATAATCAATTGCTCTAGATAATCAATGGCTGCCCAAGAAAAGGCAGAGCAAGGAAGACAATCAAAGGCAAGGCAGTCAAGAATGAGGTTTGTTGGCTAGTATTAAAAGGATGAAAAATGACAAGTGTTGAGGATATGAAGAAAAGGGAACTATTGTACAGTGTTGATGGGAATGTAAATTAATACAGACATTACAGAAAACGGTATGAGAATTTCTCATAAAATTAAAAATAGAATTACAATACGATGCAGCCATACTACTTATGGGTATTTAGCCAAAGGAAATGAGCTCAGTATGTTGAAGAGATAGCTACCCTCCCATGTTCGATGCAGCATTTTTCACAATAGTCAAGATATGGAGTCAACCTAAGTGTTCCCTAATGGATAAATAGATAAAGAAATATAGTATATATACACAATGAAATACTATTAGGCCTTAAAAAGGAAGGAGATCCTATCTTTTGCAAAAACATCAATAAACCTGGAGAGCATTATATAAAGCCAACTAAGCCAGGCACAGAAAGACAAACACCACATGATCTTACTTATATGTGGAATATTAAAAAGTTGAACTCAGAGTAGAGAGGAGAATAGTGGTTACCACGGACTGGAAAGAAGGGATTGGGGTAATGTTGCTTAAAGGATATGAAATTTCATTTGGGAGGAATACATTCAAGAAATCTGTTGCACAACATGATAGCCATTGTTAATAACAATGTATTGTATACTTAAAACTTGCTAGGAGAGTAGATTTTAAGTGTTCTCACCAAAAATAAATGCTAAGTATGTAAGGTAATACATATGAAGATTTGCTCGATTCAGCCATTAAGATGCATATATGTTTCAAAACATCATGGGTAGAGGTAGGCAAGATTTAAACATACATAAGTGTGTGTGGTGTATTTGTTATTTCTGCACTGTTCTTTCTCTTAATCATACACAACACCGCTTTTTTCACTAATTGTCATCTTCTATCCTAGCCAGAATTCTATATCCTCTGCAGATATGACCAAATTAAATTGCATAGCTTGGTTATTTCCTTTATTTACAATAATTACATGGTGTAATCCCTAAATTAAGATAAGCCTACCCACAGAATATAAGATACATGGCTTTCAGAGTCGAGGCTCTTTCCAATGAGTGGAAACACTTTTTTTCCCTCTGTGTGGTAACTACTATAACCATATTTTCTTACCCCATCCACTCCAAAAGAATAGAACACATTTTTTCACATGCAACCAAAACTGATGCTACTTTTGGTAAGGCAATCTGTGATACATGAATCATTTGCTAGAACTTCAGCTGTAGTGTGGGGACAATGAGCATTTCTGAAGAACACGTAGGACATCTTGTCTCTATACCTGTATGAATCTGTCAAATCACATAATAGATACTCAATAAAGACCCACTATGTTACCTGAAATGTCAACTCAGGGCCAAGAACTCTTCAAACTCTGGCACAATGTACTTCGGGCTGTCTCCCATTAGCACCTTTCTTTTCCCCTAGCTGTGAAGTGAAGCACTTGGGGAATGTCACTTCTCCATTGCCCATCAAAGGCCAACTCTGATTAGGGCTCTGAGACCATGGCAGACTATTTTTTGAAAGTATGTCTGCACTAATGAGAATTTTTCCCTCTTCAGTTACTGTGAAACTATAGGTTTGGGTTTAGAGAAAGATGACAGTTTGCCAGGAGTAGGAACACAGAAAATACAAGAATTTTTTAATGCTAATTATATGGATTTAAGGTGACTCTATAAATATATACATCAAAAAAAGATGAAATAAAAGTTAAAATATTCAAATCAGGACTGTAGGAAAAAGGAAATGTCAAAATAGCAGATAAGATATTGTAAGTGGTTAGCACACATGATACACACTGTATATTTAGTAACGGCATAAACAAATTTGGCACTAAACTATTCAGCATCCAAGCCAGGAAGAAAAAAAAGAAAAATTTGTATAATTTTTAAGGAAAGATATAAGAACAGGCTGGAGGAACAGAAAGTATTTATTCAGCAACTCTTCCACTTAATCACAAAGTAAATTCTATGCAAAACGTGTTGGATTCTATTCTGAAGATGAGGAAACTGAGTGTCTAAGGTGTTTAAGAAATATTTTAAACATTTTCTCAACTATTATGTATAAACCTAAGTCTCTAACACCAAAGATCATTCTGTTTCTATTATAGCACACTACTTCTAAGTCCTGTCTAAGAAAGCCTTGATTTAGGAAAATTAAGCAAAAACGTCTTATGTGGTTAGAGCAGGATACTCTCCCCCTATTTCTCTTGGTGGATCCCTTCTTATAGCAAAGACTGGGTATTCTCAGAAACCCCATCAGGCTGGTCACATGCTCTAAAATCATTTCAGCTTCCCAGGGTGGTAAGAATAGGTGAAGACAGATTCTGTTCTAGTTACTCCTTCTTGATAAGCATGCAGCTGTTAATGGAGGGAAGAAAAGAAAATCATTGGTAGAACCTAAGGTATTTCTACAGAAAGCTTAAGGCAAGCAAATTTTAAAAATAATAGATACTAAAGGAGGAGGATAATGAGTTCTATCTGACAGTATCATGAAAAATCTTTCTCTTCAATTTCCTGGTAATTACTAGCCTCACTGGCAGTGAGTTACCTGATATTAATTAACTGTATTTATTGTTGTTGGCAGTGACTATACAGTAAATCAAGCAATTAACGGCCTCCCAGATTACACTCAGAAGAGAGGTAACAAGGTGCCAAACAGATTAACTTCTTGCTTGATTTTTCATTCAGCATTTCTCTTTTCAGCCAGTTGGCGTTTGTGCTATTCCTATTGTGGGAATTTGGTCAGCATAGGTGGAGCTTTGAGGTCCTTCAAGGAGTAGGATATGGACCTAGTAGCTGGGAGGTCCAACGGTCTCAGTCAGGAGTTGCTGAAGGCAGACACTGGGGATAACAAACATGAAGCAGCAGGTTCAGTCAGGAAATGGGGAATGATCTTAACTAGTCTCGTTTCTTTTGTTTAGACTTTGTAAAGACTGTCAACTTTATGTCACAGATCACTATCTATAATTGGAAGACCCATCTCTTCCTACTGGTTCAAAGTGTTAATAGAAGTTGGAGTGCCCAGAATTCTTTGATTTCTTTTTTGTTTTTGGAGTCAGGTTCTAGTTCTGTCACCCAGGCTGGAGTGCGGTGGCATGATCATGCCTCCCTGCAGCCTTGACCTCCTGAGTTCAAGCGACTCTCCAACCTTAGCCACCCCAGTAGCAAGGACCACAGGTACACAACACTATGCCTGGCTATTTTTTAAAAATTTTTTTGTACAGACAGGATCTTACTATGCTGCCCAGGCTGGTCTTGAACACCTGGGCTTAAGCGATCCTCTCACCATCGTCTCCCAAAGTGCTGGGATTACAGGAATGAGCCACTGCGCCCAGCCTGGATTCCTTAAAAACTAGAATAATTGGGCCATGCTGGAGGCATATGTATCTTTAAGAAGAAGGGATCTGCCCATCTTCTGGAAAACTCTCTGCCTGTGGATACACAAAGTCTCTATGGTCTTATTCTCCTAATTAGCTGAGTTTCCTCAGTCATCTAGTGAGGTCCCAGCCTGTAATAACTCTTTGCTTAAGTGTCCATCACTGCACTTTAGGTGCTGCTTAAATTTAGACTGACTACGGAAGAAGAGAAAGTATCAGAATTCTCAGCTCACTATAGGAGAATTCCCCCAATAGATGAAGGGGGTTCAGTTAGTGTGTGGTCATAAAGAAATGCCCATGAAATGGAAACAAAGGGTTCTACTAAAGAAAATAAACATTTCATCTGGCGGCTTGTGTGAGTTTCAGATAATTTTTTTTCCGAAAGTCTGGTTCTTGGCCAGCATGTGTGTGTATGTGTTATAAAATCCCTGGAAACCTATGTTTGAATAGTTTCTAGTTTCTATCACACACATGCACACACTCGCACGCACACACACACACACACACACCCCTAGTTTTTTCAGACTATCTTCATCTGGCACTACCATGGGCTTGTTGTCCCTAGTGATCTTCTTGTCTGGCTTTTAAAAGCCAGACAAAAAGAAACATCTCATCGACTCCAGACCAAATGCACCTGGTACTTTCCAGGCAAAGCTGGTTTTAGGAATCACCCTGGGGAGGAGACAAACTGTGAAAGTCTGGGATTTGCAAATTGCGGAGTCCAGGGCCTTGGCTGAGGGATGACAGATCTCAATCAGGGATGAGGCACAGCTCGTAAGTACACACGTGCTCACCATATGCCAAATGATTTCCGACTCAGACACCTCTTTGTGAGTCTGCAAGGCTCTAATGGTTGACAACAACTGATACAGATAAATTGGCTTAGAAAAAGGGAATGACAGCTCTTAATGACCCTATTCCAGGGCCTTGTTGAAATGGCATCTAATCATCCTGCTAGTGTGTGAGAAGAGACTGTGATGAGTGGCACATATGTGATATCTGCCATGTGGCAACTGCTTGCAGCCAATGGGAGGAGGTGGTGGTAGAGGCAGAGGCTTGTTTAGAACAGGCTGTGCCTGAGAGGTGCATGAGAAAAGCATGTTGCAGAGAAGTGAGTGGGATGGGTCAGGAGTCCAATGGGCCCTGGGGTGGAGGCTCATATGCCAGGTACTGCCTTGCTTTCTAATACCTCAAGTCTTTCTGTCCTATCACCGAAACATTTCCAGGCTAATGATAATATGGCTGTCAAGCTGTTTTCCCTGGTCTGTGTGATAGACTTGGCTGGATCATCTGAGCACTGAGCTGTCTTATCCATAGAGAGGGAATTTGTGGACAGTGTCTGGCCTGTTTCCTAAGAACACATGCAGGAGAGCAGAAAGTAGGGAGGGGGTTCGTACTGACCGTAAGGGCTGACCCCAATTCTGCCCCATCACTAGGTTGAACTCGTTCATCTGGCCTCCCTCTTCCACCTTTTCTCTCTCCCTTTCCATTCTGTGCCATATCGATCCACCCACATTTCCATGCCAGGGGCCTGCCCTCAGGAATAAATCTCCCAGGCCAGCGCAGGGCTTCTGACCTGCAGAAGCAGGCCAGAAAGTGAGGCGAGACCAATTTTGGGACCAGGGATGATCGAGGTCATGTAGGTCCTGGAGACAGAATGTTTTGATGCCTGGGAAATGCATTCACCTAAAAAATAACATGTTCAAAAACACTTTTAAAAGCCTAATTGTTGCTTTTTTAAAACCTCAGATCATTCTTTAACTACTGGCCTTCATGACATGAGAAATGTTGTTTGAGATCAACCATCTTCTATTTGTTCTCATTCCCTCCCCTCTCCACTTCTATTTTCCCATCTCATATCTCTGTCTCCTCTTCTTTTCTCCTCTTGTCCTTTATCCTCTACCCCACCCAAATCAAGCCTTTCCTCCAGTCAAGGCCAAGTTCTCAACAACCTGCTGTAACTGGCATGGACCAAGACACTCTGAGTTTCAATCTGTTGCTTAGCACCAAGGTTGCCTGGATACATCTCCTGGTGACAACTGGCCTTTGGCTCTGACTGCTTATGCACATAAACCATGCAGTGAGCATCTCTGTTCAGAGGGGCACTGGGCCAGAACCAACTTCCACAATCTCCTTTTGAAGTGCCTGAGTGGTGGTGGGAGGGGGAGCTAGCTTTAAAGGAAAAGAGACCTAAATTTTTACACTGCGCTACAAGGTAACATTTTGCAGTGATAAAGAAAACACTACACAGTGATAAACTGAATAAAATTTCCTGTTGACCACAGCTCCAGAACGGGCTTAATACCAATATATAAACGAGTCAAGGGAAATATAGTCAGAATCTTTCGGGGAAAATAATTTCTGTTCTTCCGCCCTGTGAATTTTCAACTGTACCTGTGATTTGTATTAAGAGAAAAAGTGTTGGAGAGTGTTGTGTTTGAGGATGAGGGGTTTGTATGAAGGAAGGTGAGAAGAGAGGAAAGGGAGAATCAACATAGGACATTTTGATGAAAGCCAAGGCAAAGTAAAGAACTGGAATCTCTGTGCATAAAGACACCAGGGAGATAGAGATGGTGCTTAGAGTTTGGAGAAGACTTTGTTTCATGGACTTCCCAGACATCCCCTTCTGGATCTGTTTGGCAATGACTTCTTCCACCACCCCATTCTTAGTTATGTCCAAACTTCACTTGTGCCTAGAATCCTTCTTTCAACCTCAGTGTTTCATTGTGTTGGAGAGACTGTAGTCGGGGATGAGAAGGACAAGGGAGAGATGGCTATGAATGGAATGGTCTGCAAAGGTGAGAGTAAAATCAGAGTATGCAGGAGACTCAGCAAACAAAGCATAAACAACTCTACAAATCATATTCTGGAGAAGGGAAGCCCTGCGAGAGTGGTGAAAAGCAAGACATGGGGCCAAGATAGAGTGAGAGAGGGGATGGACAAGTGGTTAATGAGCTGCAAGGTGGAATGCAGGGTGGAGGACGACATTCCAAGGGGACTGGCAGGGGTAAGCATGGTAGGGGAGAAGCATGCTGAGGTCACTTAAAGAGTTAAATACGCATGCACACCTCTCCTAATGCTCCACATGTTTGCTACAGCATTTTTCTTTCTTTGCCGAAAGCAATAATCATTACTGCGTTTTTCAAGCTAGTATGTCTTTATTCAGCATCCACTGTGTGTGAAGCCTTTCATACAGCAGACACAAAAAAGGCATAGTCCCTGCCTTGTTGACAGCCTCGTCAGAGGGACAAGATGTGCAGGAATGAAAAAGCTGCTTGTAAAGAACATCCTGAAGCTGTGTGCATTACAAGAATGTTGCAAGAGTTCACAGAGGAAAGAGATGGGGTACACAAGGAAGAGAAGAAAAGAACTGGGATTGATGTTGGGACAAGAGAGAATGAGTTTTAATGATGTGGCATTGAGTAAGACTCATTTTTCTGGGCTTCAGAAAAGGGAAGGGAAGGTGGGCTCACTAGATGACCTCAATCGCCCCCACCAGACTTCACATCCTATGGCTCTAAGATAGTACCATGCTCGGCACGTTTCTGAATCAGAAAGTCAGCCCATGGATTTCATAGCATGACCCGTGGTGCCTACCCTCCTGTGCCCATTCTTTGCACCTGCACCACCTAAGCGTGGAGATTGATTCCCAAGGAGGGAATTACAGCAAGGAAGGGGCCGTGCGTAGAACCCCTACCGACATTGGTAAAAGCCATCTCAGCTTTCTTCTCTGTTGTACATGGCCCATTCCTTGCTCCATGCTTCTGACCAGATGGTGTCTGAAAAGACCATTGATGCATGTTTCTTTGTATCAAATCACAGCCCTATTAATGGTCAATGAAGGGCCGTGCTTAGAAAGGGGAAATGATTTGCCCAAGTCACTCAGCTATTTTGAGGACTTGGAGAGCTGGATTCAGAACTTATGTTCTTTAATACCAAACCTGTATTCTCTCCACAGTCTGAGTTCCAAGACCCTTGGAATTAGGTGGAGACACTGAAATACTTATAAGTAGTTTGGATTTCAGCAGGTCCGAATGATAAGGGTTAAGGAAACATGGGCACATGCCTTCTAGATGGGTGCTCTAGCTGCTTACCTCTTGTGTCTGAGGACCTCTTCTCTGACCCTGGAGATGAGTTCTTTATTATGGAGTCAAACAGGGAAATTTTTCCATGGAAACTGCCTTTTTCCCCCTTGGATTCTACCAAGGTCTGTTATTGAGGCACAAGATAGGTGGAGGGAGAGAGACATTAACAAAAATCTTTCGGCCGGTTGTGGCGGCTCACGCCTGTAATCCCAGCACTTTGGGAGGCCGAGGTGGGTGGATTATTTGAGGTCAGGAGTTTCAGACCAGCCTGGCAAACATGATGAAACCCTGTCTCTACTAAAAATACAAAAATTAGCCGGGCGTGGGGGTACATGTCTGTAATCCCAGCTACTCGGGAGGCTGAGGCAGAAGAATTGCTTGAACCCAGGAGCCGGAGGTTGCAGTGATCTGAAATCATGCCACTGCCCTCCAGCCTGGGCAACAGAGCAAGACTCCATCTCAAAAAAAAAAAAAAAAACTTCCTTGCTAAACTTTTATGTAACCTTGAACAATTCCCATCCAGAGTTAGTTTCCTTATCTTTGGGAGGTCTAAAGGGTACATCCCATAAAAGACATGTTAAAATTATTACCAGCACCCTCCTGGTATCAAAATATCTCGGGCTATGCCCAGGAATCTCTATTTATACCAAGCTTCTTAAGTAATTCTGATGAGCTTCCAGGTGTGCAAACCATGCTGCTTGATGATCCCTGAACTTCCTTCCACTCTAACACATCACATGCTGGCAGAACATGAGGATATTCCTAAAAACTAAGAGGTTTCTATCCTCTGGGTGTCCTCATCCAAAAGAGTAGTAAGAGAACAAAAAAAAACAGTAGATTTAAAGGTAAAAATGCCCTGGGGCGCTGTCTGTTTCTTTTTAAGTTTCATGCTTAATGAGATAGTATTACTTCCCAGCATTGGGCCATCCCTTGTAAACTGAATTGCCTGGACCCAATATTACTTTTTGTGTTCATTTCTGTTTTGCTTTCCCATACCCTTTGGCAATGTCTTGTATGAATCTTTCAGCCTGGTTGCAACTGTACTATAAAGTATAATGGGTTGAGTCAGACAACTGCTGGGTAGCTAGGAAGAAGTACTGCCCCCTCTACCCCCACAAACCCCCAGCAGAGGTCAGAAGGGTGAGGTCATAATCAATAAAACAGTCCAAGATGGTCAGATTGTGCAGTAAGAGGCAAATTTGAATATCTAATTGTCCTCTCCCCATAGAGATTATTCTCCCATTGTTTGCCTTAGAGGTCATGAAGTATATTTTCATTAATAAGATGTAAAATAGTGGCCTCTCCTTCTAGAAAATCTCAGAAAAAGGAGGCGAAGAGAATCTGAGCTCTTCTGCCTACTGAAGAGACACTGGCATGTCAGGACATGGTATGTGACCTTCAAAGAGTAGAGAAGGTCTTGGAGTTGATAGATGCAGCCTGGGTCACCGGGATTGAACCTTTCACAGAGCATAATCCAGATGAGCAGGTAACTCACCTGAGGCCAACACACCTGTGCTGTTCCTAAACCACAGTCTGGAGAGCCCTGAAATCCACATTGAGACATCCTACCACCCTGCCCAAGACAAAATGTTCCAGATTTCTCAAGGGAAGAGAGACCATTCAGAAACAGAGATGAATCTCTCTAATGAGAAGACAAATAGTAGTTAGAACGCTGGCTTTCTTCCCCAAGTGAGGGCAATAAGGGTGGCTGTGACGTGGACCAGGTATGCTCAAACCCATACCAGGGCCAGAAAACAACAGCCAGAAGCTGATGCAGCTCAGGATCAATGTCTCAGGATCATTGGAATGGTCACTGTCAGAGGAAAGATGGGATTTGGTGGCTTGGGATTGCTGATTAGCAATGCTATAACTTTGACCCTTCCATAGTTTTCCACGTACTCTGTGGCAGTAAAGCAAACTGGTAATTCTATGATTCTTTTCCATGATTCTCCTTGGTCCTGAGAAGGTGGCTGTCCCAGGGGAGGGAAGTTCTTGAGCTGACGAAGCCCTGTGAATCACCAGTCATAGGTAGTGCGGTCCCTCTGCTGTCAGCCATCACCTTTAATGATGTATGTGTGCACGCATATGTGTGCATATGAATGCCCAAGCACATGCCTCTCTAACACTCAGGCACCTGGGCCCACATGGCGGGTGCTCCTTGCTGTGATGCCAGGTGCAGCCCCTGCCATGCACAAATAATGAGGCACACGGGCCTGCCTTCTGCTCAGGGTGTTTTTCCTCCTTTATCATTCACATTAAATGTTACAGGCACTTGACTTTATGACTTCTTCATTCTGCATATTAAGCAGCTGACACAGGCAGCCTTCTCCAGACAGCGGTCTGTACAAGCCTGCAGCATTATTTAACGTTCCATCTTGAGGAATAAGAGACAGAAAGGGTCTTTCATGTCATGCCAGGGAGCCCCTTAGACCTCAATAGGAGTTCTCCCACCTAAAAGCTGCTCTTTTGTTGGGGGGATGGGAGGGACAAAAAAGAAAGGATCAGGGCCTAGACTTCTTGCCACCCCTACGCAGTGGGACAATCGGCGGCTCAGCGGCTATCTTTGCTTATTCTCTTAATAAGACCCTGAACTGCGTATTACCTAGGAAGCTCAGGGATGCTTTTCAAAGCAATTCTCATCCTGCTGTTGGACGTGACAGCACCAGCATATATGAAAGGTAAAAAAGCCCCCATCAGGAAAGCTGTTCTTTGCCCATCCCAGACTGGCAACTGATTCTGGGAAAATAGAATTCCTTTCCTCATCTTTCTCTGTTTCCCATTCCTCCTTCTTTCCTGTTCTCATCTCCTCCCTTATCTGCACTCCATTTGACTCTCACTTTCTCTCCTTAGTATCTCTTCTCCTGGTCTCTGTCCAGGACTCCCTCTACACTTGCTAATAAGGAATTCTGAGAATTCTATACTCCAAGCTCCAGAAATTACAGAAGGGCCCAATTTCACATCTCAAAGGCAAAGAAATGAGCTCAGAGCAGGAAAGGTCCACTCTGCCAGATGTTTTCCCATCTGACCTGCCATTCCCCATCTTCCTTAGCCTGCACGCATCCTTAGCCTGCCTGATCCTCACTCTCCCACCTATTTCCATGACTGCTCAGTTTGCCAGTGTTTTTGCAAACGTCAAGTGTGATTGAGAGGCTTGGGGACCAGCTGCCAGGGAGGCATTCTTGCCTTGAGTTCCCATTTCCCTTCTCTCCTGGCCCAACAAGCAGGTATGAAAACAACAGTGCCCTAGGTTTACAAAGAACCTCTCATCCAGGAAATCTCAAAACACTGTTGCCAGCCAATCTGATTACACTCATTTTTCTGATGGAGGAGAGTGTCTTTTCTGGGAGTGAAGTCAATTGCCAAAGGCTGTTCTAACTGCCCCTGGAAGAGCTGCAGGGTGGACCCAGGCACTGTTCCCATTGGCATCCTGGGTCTCCTCCTGCTGGCTCTGTGCTACCTTTGCAGGTATGGATTCAGATAATGGGGACTATAGGACAAAAGACTCTTCCAAAGCCAGGATCTCAGCCCTGAAATCACAGGATGAGGTAGGAAATGGCATCTCCCTACACTGTAGTTGTTTTTCTAGTTAAGCAAAAGATACTTAAGAGCTATTAGAAATTCCAAAGCCCGTAGTCTCACAAGATTCAATTCAGCTAAACTCCATAATCCTGACAGAGGTCTTCCCTCTCATGAGCAGTTCAGTGTCTCCCTGGATTCTTATTCTCTTGTTACTCTGGCCCGCCCAGGGGCAAAGCCAGAGTCTTTCTGTTCCTTTTATAAGAGCATAAATACCCCTTAGATTGCTTCCCTATGGCCAGCCCTCCCACCTCATGCTGAGAGGCTACAGGTCTATGTATTGTGTGTGAAGCGAACTTCATATGTTCACACTCGTAAGTGAGAGCTAAGTTTTGAGGAGGCAAAGGCATAAGAATGATACAATGGGCTTTGGGGACTCAGGGGAAAGGATGGGAGCGGGGTGAGGGATAAGACAACAAATTGGGTACAGTGTACACTGCTCAGATGATGGGTGCAGCAAAATCTCAGAAATTACTACTAAATAACTTATTCATATGAGCAAACACCACCAGTTCCCCAGAAACCTATGGAAATGAAAAAAAATTTTCTTAAAAAGCAAAGGAATGAGGAGGAAGAGAAATAGAAGAAAGAGGAGAGGGGAGAGAGAGGAGGTTGGCAGAGAAGGCAGCAGAAGAGGGAGGGAGGGAGGAAGAGGAAAAGGCCTCCAGCGAGAAGTGGGTAGAGAGGAAGTGGGAGGGAAGTGAGGTGGAGCCCATGTATTTGCAGGGATCATGCTTGATCCCACACCAGGAATTTTAGACACTGTATTTGTTTGCTAGGACTGCACCAAGTACTACCAACTGGGTGACTTAACACAAATTTATTCTTTCACAATTCTGGGGGCTGGAATTCGGAGACTAAGGTGTGAGCAGGGTTGGTTTCTATTGAGGCCTTTCTTTGTGGCTTGCAGGCAGCATCTTCTCTCTTCTTCCCATGGTCTTCTTCTGTGTGTTTCCTCTTCTACTAAGGACACCAGTTCTTTTGGCTCAGAGCCCACACTAATGACCTTATTCTAATTCAATCACCTCTCTAAAGATGTATGTCCAAATAATGATCACAACCTGAGAAGGGCTTAGAACATCAGCATACACATTGTTGGGGGTTTAGAACATCAACATATACATTTTTTGGAGGGGAACACAATTTATCCCTTAATAGACATATTATTTCTAATCCTTATGATACCTCTCAGGGGTATAAACTATTGTCCTCATTTTAAAGACAGAGAAAATGGGAAACAGGAGAGACTGGACATGGTGGCTTACACCTGTAGTCCTAGCTACTTGAGAGGCTAAGGTGGGAGGAGTGCTTGAGCCCAGGAGTTGGAGGCTACAGCGAGCTATGATCATGCCACTGCACTCCGGCTTGGGCAACAGATCAAGACTGATTCATTTATTTCTGTCTCTAAGAAATAAATGAATAAATAATAATTAATCATTTAAAAATAAGAAAAATTAGACAGCATGCCCAGAGTTTTTCAGTTAGTAAGCAACAGAGATAGAATGAGCACCAGGTCTGGCTTTCTCTCAAGCTCAGCCACTGTGGCCATGCCTCTGGGTAGAGGAAGGATGGCCAGTGAGTGGCTGAGAAAAAGTGCGGTCTCTGAATCCATACCAACTCCAGTTCCTTCTTTCCCTGCAATACCATCTTCAGGACATGCTAGACATCCCTTTTTATTTTAGATAGCTCATCTCTAAAACTTAAGATCTGCAATAAAAAGTCATGGTTGGCAAAGAACAATAATACAATTCCCTCCTTATCAGTCACTTTGTATGGGACACATATATGTGTATGAGTGGGAGGTGACAGTCTAAGACAAATACCTATTGATATGATTGTTTAATGTAACTTTTTTTTTTCTGAAACAGTGTTTCACTCTTGTCACCCAGGCTGCAGTGCAGTGGCACAATCTCGGCTCACTGCAATCTCTGCCTCCCAAGTTCAAGCAATTCTCCTGCCTCAGCCTCCCGGGTAGCTGGGATTACAGGCACGTGCCACCATGCCTAGGTAATTTTTGTATTTGTAGTAGAGACGGGGTCTCATCATGTTGGCCAGGGTGGTCTCAAACTCCTAATGCAACTTTTCAATGTCAGCATGTACATGTATATATATTCCCACACATGCAAAGACACAAGGTAGGACATGAGGTCTGAATCCCCAACAAGATCCACTGGGAGCTGGCTTGATCCCTCCAGTGTGTCATTGCCATGGTTCAGCTATCATGAGATGCCATCTTGAATTGTGGTGGGCTAGATAGATACATATCTTTCTAGATAAATACTCCTATCTAGACAGGGACATCTCTAGGGCAGAGGTTGTATCTTTCACTTCTCCTGTGTCCTCACAGGGCCTAGCATTGTTCTGCCAGGTAGTAAGTACCTATCAATGCTTTGTGCATGGGGGAGAAGCCTGTGGAGTGAGGATTTCATAGCTACACAAATAGGTCTTTGTATTAGTCATTTCCACAATTATGCTATATAACTACCAACCAAAAATATCAATAGTGAATATAGTAAGAGTGGATGTCTCACTTAAGAGCTTTCAGGATCGCTGGGCAGCTCTCGTTTGGTGGTGACTCTACTTTATGTTTCTTACTCTTCTGCAGATAGTGAGCTAGCTAGGGCATGGTTTTCAAATGGGGGTGGCAGAATGCAGGCCCCACTGCTCAAGTACATCTCAAGATCCCAGTGGCATCACATCTACTAACATCTCTTTGACCAAAGTAACTCCCATGACTGAGGCCTTCAGGCAAACAGTATGGAAGTACACTTTGTTCCTGACAAAGCCACACCAAGGACTTAGCTCCTGGGAAGCATGAAGAATTGGGGCAAACAACCCAATCCGTTGAAATTTCTCTTCTGACTTCCCAGCTATTTTTAAGACTCTGTCATTTTGTTTCATCAGGAATTCTCCATTCACAGAAATTGTGGAAGAATATCAGCACTTGTCATCTTTTCGAGGATGATTCATCAAAAGGGTATCTCCAGGCCAGGCACAGTGGCTCATGCGTGTAATCTCAGCACTTTGGGAGGCCGAGGCGGGCAGATCACCTGAGGTCAGGAGTTTGAGACCAGCCTGGCCAACAGGGTGAAAACATGTCTCTACTAAAAATACAAAAATGAGCTGGGCATGGTGGCAGGCACCTGTAATCCCAGCAACTTGGGAGGCTGAGGCAGGAGAATTGCTTGAACCCGGGAGGTGGAGGTTGCAGTGAGCCGAAATTGTGCCACTGCACTCCAGCCTTGGCAACTGAGAGAGACTTTGTCTCCAAAAAAAAAAAAGAAAAAAAAAAAAAAGAAAAAGAGGGTATCTCCTGAGTCTAGAAATTAATCTCAGGGTGCTGTGGCATAGTTGAGGTTCAAAATGAGATAAATCCTAGAGAAACCCAAGAGTTAATGCCCCTAGCATCCTATCTCAGAGAAGTCCTCTACCCACGCTGTGTATATAATGCATCTGGAGTCTAGAGTAATACTAGTTTTTGATGTTCTCTACAGAATTATCTGGGCCCATCCCAAGCACTGGCCGTGACCCACATCTCCAGCTACAGAGAACTAGTAACCTGCAACTCAGATGCCTTTAGGGGTCCCCGACTCTACTCCCCAGTGTCAGGTTGCTCAGAAAGGTATTTAAAAACACCCTTCCATTTAAAAGGACCTTTGAGCTCAATCCTTGGGCAAATACAATCACGAAGTGGCATGATAAAGTGATTTCTTAAGTGGGTAGCCCAAGGCAGAGCCAAAGGGCAGCCAGGAGTCTGAAAGAGCTTCTAGAACAGCTGCTATCAAGGGAAATGCAGTTTGGTGCAATCTTAAATGGCAGAATCTCACCTCACACCTACTCTTATCCAAAAACACTGAGCACAGCTCAGTGTCTGGGTGACAGTTTCTACCTTATTAATGGTGCATTCTTCCTAACACACTTCTGAGGTTGGCTACAGTGGGATGTGACCAGTTAGAATGATGCATAGGTAAGGGATTATACATGTATAGTGACCATAAAATATTCATTTGTTTATCTACGTGCTTGTTTAGAATATGCCTCTTACAGGGATTGGCTGTGAATATAGTTCTGGAACTACAAATCAGACACTTCATTAACCCAATAATGGTTGTAACATTTGCAGATAAGAGAGCAAGCCTTCTGCTTCTGCTTCTTTCAACATGAACTTCAGGGAGTCACTTAATCTTTCAGAGTAGCCATTTTTCATTCACAAAAGTGGGGTTAATGACCCTTCCCTCAAAGGGTTTTGGTGATGAATAACAGAGATGATGTACTTGTACATGGCAAGTAACTTTTCAGTAAGTTAGCTTCATTTCATGCAATGAGAATGATGAAAACAGATATTGTCAGTGTTTTGCAGAAACTACAGTCTATGAATGCCTGGAAATATGGGGATTCTACATCTGAAGGCTTAGCCTCTAAAAAGGGGAGTGTAGGCCAGAGCTGTAGCTCTATTTGGTCACATGGATATTGATGCTACCACTGATGATCTCTGAGGAACAGGGCAGAGAATGAGGTCTTCATAGCATCAGCAGCAGAGGGGCCCTGCTGGCTGTGGAGAAGATAAGCACAGAGAGACAAACAGAACCAGGTCCCAGAAAAGCCTGTGGGCTCTGGAAGTGGCTAACTTGGTAAATGGATCCACAACTCAGGACACAGGCTTTCTGCAAACCCACCCAGATTTGTGCCTATTCTAGTAGGTGGGCTGGGGCAATAGAGATAGAACCCCACATGTTTAGAAGAGGTGTCAGACTTTGGATGTTACTTTTTATATACCACCTCTTTAACATCTTTTTTTTTTTTTTTTTTGAGACAATCTTGCTCTGTTGCTCAGACTGGAGTACAGTGGCACGATCTCGCTTTACTTCAACCTCTGCCTCCCGGGTTCAAGAGATTCTCCTGCCTCAGCCTCCTGAGTAGCTGGGACTACAGGCATCCACCACCATGCCCAGCTAATTTTTGTATTTTTAGTAGAGATGGGGTTTCACCATGTTGGCCAGGCTGGTACTGAACTCCTGACCTCAGGTGATCTGCCCACCTCAGCCTCTCCAAGTGTTGGGATTGCAGGCGTGAGCCACCGTGCCCGGCCCAACATGTTTACATGAGTTAAAAAGACAGATGTTTTGTCATTCTCATTAAACTATTATCAGGTTGAATTAATGAGTTCTCCTCTTGAAAGATAACCAAGGAAGCAAGAGGATGGGATTTCCATGAGGGAATGAGGCAGAGGATGCTGAAGACTTGACAGGGAGCAGATAAGGGATGGATTTGGTATGTGGGAAGCTGCTTGGTGAGAGCAGACAATTTAGGGAGAAGGGAGATCATGCCACAGCTTTGCTTAATGTTTGTCAATGGCAACTGCAAGCTTCCTGGAGCTTACCCTAGCCAGGGCTTCCAGCTGAATCATGTGATGCCCTGTCCCATGCACCTGCCTCATTCTAAACTACTTCTCCAAACACACCACCTCCTCCTACCTCAGGGCCTTTGTCCATGCTATTCCATCTGTCTAGAGTACCAATCCACAGCTTGTTTGCCTGCATAATTCATTGATTTTTTCAGGATTAAACTTAACTTCTGCCTCCAGTGAGGAACCTTCTTGGATCCAGTGAAGGTTTGGGGTGCTCCTTCTCAACGCACCATCCAGACCTCACTATCATTCTCTGGCACCTCCTTCTCCCCTTAGGCTGTGAGCTCCTCAAAGACAGAGACCATATAGCTGTCACCTAGCAAAGTGCCTGCAAAGGAACAGACTCCAAACCTTTCTAAGGAAGAAGCAGTGAGGAGGAGAGAAAAAGGTCTGTAAGAGTGGATTTGCGCTGGTGCCACCTGGGTTTTTCTCAGTCTTCCTGGGACCAATTCCCATGACAGAGAAATTTGCCTTAAGAGCAAGAAAATCCACTGGGAAGGAAGTAAAATTTATATGATTCTATCAAGTGAATTATAAAGGAGCCAGAATCTCTGGCACACTCCTGCTGGGAAATGAGGAGGGTGAGATTTACCACCTGCCTCCTGCTTTAGGTTTTTATGACCTTCACATTTAGATCTTTAAAAAGTGAGGGGAGATCTTTAAAAGTGAGGGGAGAATCCTTGTCCATCGTTCTTTGTATTAGTGAACATTAAAGGTTCTCAAGGCCTCCTAAAATCAACTATTCCAAAGAATGTTAGACTGGGAAGAAGCCATCTAATCCACCTGCCTGCCTTTTCAGATGAACATAGTATCCAGTATATAGGATACACTCGAGAAATAATTGTTGAGTGAATGACTGAAAAAAATGCAAGAAGCTCCTGGTCCGGAGGGGAGAGTAATTCCTCTGAGACTCTGCAGCTGACTAGAGACAAAGCTGGCTTGGAACCCAGGTCTCTTGTTCCTCAGTTAAGTTGTCCTCTTACTAACATACTCTCTGACCCTCAATGCAAACTGTCTCTTTGCAGCTACTACATACAGCAAGCACATTATTTTCCATTCAAGGTGCTACTGTGTGCTATTACAATTTCAAAAGTAAGGTGCATACACAATGCAATGCATCATTAAGCAAAAACAACAAAAAATACTCCAGGTGCTAGAATCTCCATTTATTTCCCATCACGTAGACAAACACCGTTTGTTGAGTAAAGATACGATCCCAAGTGCAGCCCTGCCTAGTTCTTGAACATCAGAATCACACAGCAACCAAGGCCGCCAGCGTCTCTGGAGGGAGGATGTGTGTGAAGGTTAGGGAGTATTTCTGCGTGGGCAAGCTCCAGAGAAATGGAGGCCAAATACCTCAGGCTTCCATTCTTATTTTTGTTTTAAATATTTTATTGAAGTAATAAAGGCCATCTCATAAATCTGAAGGCAGTAAAAAGTATCTTGAAAACACATAAAATAATATTGTTCTTGAAACCCTGATGTATCCTTAAAAAAAAAAGGATCCCTCTCAGTATCCATTGCTCACCACAGTCCAGGCAGTGAGTGGATGGCAAGGGAGGGTTTCAGAAAAACGTTTGCGATGGGGTAGAGAATGAAACCGAGCTGTCGTCTTCAGGCCCAAGGGGTGAGAGAAGTGCAAGAAATAAGCAGCGCACACAGAGGACACTCTGAGGGTCTCCCATTGGGTTGGAGTGAGTGACGGGGATATCCAGGACCATTGCGTTGGAAGAGGGTACTGTGCACATGGGCACATTGCAAAAACTCTGCTCACAGTGGGCATGGTGCTGCCTGCAATGCTGCTCTCTTGCATAAGGCAAAGACCGAGAAGGCCGTTCTAGTGACTTAGAGCTCTATCTTGCCCCAGGAATTTGGTCCTTCCAATGCTGGGGATGTGCCTGTGACCCTTTCCTCAGCCAGTCCACTCAAAACCACATGCTACCAGTCACCTATGGCCCTAGGCAACAGAACACATGAAATGTCAGCTTTTTAGGTTCCCAAGCTCTCATTATTCCTCCTTCAACCCCTGCTCCTTCACTTCTGGCCTTTCAGGTGACCGCATTCCCTGGAGCCCAGGACATTTATGCCATCTCCATATTTCTCCCTTATCCCGGCCATTTCTAAGGAGAGGGCTCTCATCAATAAATTCACCATGAGATATAAAAGACTAATAAATTTTAATAACTTGCCTCTCCCAGGAGGATTTGCATTTTAACAGGGGAATAGCAGCCTAAGCTATAGGAATTAGGCTGTAATGGTACAATTTCAGGCACCATCAAGCAGCTGAAAGAGGCATTTTTTGGCAGGCAGGAGGACCTCCCCAGGACTTCTGGGGCAGCCCTGCTGGAGGCTGCCTCCTCCAAGGTCAGCGAGCTGGTCAAAAGGGAGACAGAGCAAGCACACCTGTGCCCTGGGCCCATCCTACCACTTCATTCTCAGCCCAGTCCCATAGGCTCACCTTCCCAGGGTGGTGTGCTCCTTCCATCCCCTTATTCTCTCATTTACCTTTTGTTTCAGTCTGCAAATATTGACCAGGCCCTACTATGCGACTGGAGACTGCCTACGTGCATTGAAAGTTCCAGAGACCCAGCAATAACTTAGGGATTGATATAGCTTGACTGTTTGTCCCCCTCATATCTCATGTTGAATTGTAATCCCCAGTGTTGGAAGGGGGGCCTAGTGGGAGGTGATTGGATCATGGGGGTGGATCCCTTCTGACTTGGTGCTATCCTCATGATAGTGAGTACTTGCGAGATCTGGTTGCTAGAAAGTGTGTGGTACCTCCCGCTTTCTGCTTTGTCTCTCTCTGTCTCTCACTCCTGTTCTTGCCATGTGATACCCCTGCTACCTTCTCACCTTCTGCCATCAGTAAAATCTCCCTGAGGCCTCCCCAAAAACCGAGCTGATGCTGGTCCCATGCTTCATGTATAGACTGCAGAATCATGAGTCAATTAAACCTCTTCTCCTTCCTAAATTACCCAGCCTCCAGTATTTCTATGACAATGCAAAAATGGCCTAACATAGGGGTTGAGACCACAGCCGTGAAGTCAAGCTGCCTGGGCTCCTGGCTGGCTCTACTCCTTGTAGCTGTGACCCTCCCACAGGATCCTTCTCTGTAAAATAAGAGCAATAATATTACTTACCTTAAAAAAATGAAAAAGATTCTGTGAAAAAAGTTATATAACCATGGCTTGGTAAAATGCAGGATATTATTATCATAACATTAGTATCTGTAGATTCCAAGAGCCCACTGCTCAGAAGCAAAGACGGGTATGCAAAGAACTCCAAGGCACATAGGAATTTCCTCTCTGTCTTCCAGGCTAACCAAATAGCATAGCCATGCTGCTAAAGTAGTTAATTCTGATGAGGGGCAGCAGCAGGAACTTTCCAAGGAACAGCAAGTCTAGTGTCAGCAGAGCAAAAGCAGAAAGCAGGATGGAGGTAGATTTCACAGGACCTTGAATTCCAGGGAGCATTTAAGGTCTTCTTAAACAGGTACCGCATCTGTGCTTAGAGAAAACAACTCTGGCAACGTGGGAGACGAAGGCATGAATAAGAGAATGATGAGGTGGCTGTTTGCAAATGATGTAGGTCAGACATGGGCCACTTGATGGATGCAGGGATGGAAATGTGGGTGGATGAGCAAAGCAGGACTTTTCTAGTGAGCCTGCAGCTCTCTCTCTCATACTGTTTGAAATTTTGTGTCCCCAAAATGCATTCCTATTTGAAGACCATATTTAAAGTATATAGATGTGGTACCTATTTAAGGAAACCTTGAATGCTCCTTGGAATTCAAGGTCCTGTGAAATCGACCTCCAGCCTGCTTTCTGCTTTTGTTCTGTTGAGTACTCCAGCAGCATGGCTTTGCTCTCTGAATAGCCCGGAAGAAGAAGAGGAAATTTCTACGTGCCTTGGAGTTCTTTGCATGTCTGTCTCTGCTTCTGAGCTATGGGCTCTTGGAATCTACAAATACTAATATTATGATAATATCCAACACTTACCAAGCAATGATGATATAACTTTGCACATAGCAGCTCATTTAATCTTTAAAGATAAGTAATATCATTACCCTTATTTTACAGAGAAGGACCTTGTGGGAGGGTCACACAGCCATAGCGAGCAGAACGTGCAGGGAACCCAGGCAGCTTGACCTCAGGATTGTGTGGAACTGAGTGCTAATGTGTGAGGGAGCTGTCTCCGTTGAAAACATTTTAAAAGGGCTTCCTTGTGTTCTCAGGAAGTTTCCATTCCCTCCACTCATGCAGCCTGGTTTGTGTTGGGTTTTCCCTTTTCCTCATTCTTGATCTTTCCCATTGTTTGCAAGCGTCTCCCTGAAATAACTTTTGGGCCGAAGTATATATTTTTCAAGAGCCACCTCTCAGTGTACTTCTTCCACCTCGACTAACCTTCCCCTGGAGTTGGACGCAACTCTACAAAGAGCATCTGCCACTGTTATTACCAAAAGATGGGCCCATCAGCTCCTGCCATGCTTTTCTGAGTTCTTGGGACCTTGCAGGGCCTCAGGAGCCAGGAGAGGGGCTTGGGGCAGCCCATGAGGTATATATAGCAGCAAGGGAACCAATAGGATTTGGGACAGCAGTGTTCCCCCATCCCCTTCCTAGTGCTGCTCTCATGAGCAAGATGATGGGTTGGAGAGATCCAAGTGGAGACTGAGATAAGGAAGCCTGCATTTAAGCACAGAACGCTCCTCAAATATCTCACAATATCTTGGAAAAGAAGGGCAGAGGGAAGTATTAAGGAGAGGCAGAAATCCAGTGGGTTGCTGATACCATCCCACCAGAGTAAGGACCACTCAAGGGCAAATGCTGGAGCTTGTGCATATTTCTGTCTCCATATCCTAGTTCCTCAATGCCTTGAATAGGATAGGAATTCAACAATAAAATGAGATCATTGGAAAGTAGGGGTGGGGTGGGAAAATGTCAGCAACTTACATCCCCAGTGCCTTGCAGGGTCATTTACAGCTTTCATACTCTCACCCAGAGTCTCAGCCAATTCTGACCAGAAGCAGCAATAAATTAGTCACCTGAGACTACCAGGGGATGAGATCTAGAATATTCTTATCGACCTAAGCCAGGTTTCTGATCCATCTGGGGAGAGTCCTGGGCACCTGGTTGTTCAAACCCCTTGAGTCTCTTGCTGTCTTTCCTTTCTGGGCTTACCTAGTCCCCGTGACTGGCAGCCTATTTTGTTTGCTGTCTGGCTATTTGGGTCCCCCATGGGCTGGGAGGCCTTGCTCTAAGCCCTAGCATTCTTGCTGAGACCATAAATCTTTTTCTAAATAAAAAAATAGACTTGACCCTGTCTATCATCATCTGAGCCACCAAAGCAAACCACCAGGCTCATCTGGCTGAGGACTAGCTTCCCATTCCGATGGCCAGCTAGCTCCTGCAGGCTCTGTTTTGGTCCTTATGGATACTGATGGCAGCCCAAGTCAAGCCAAGGTCACTAGGAGTTGTGCATTTAAGTATACATAATCCTACCTGGGGCCCAGCCCCAGCTCACCTTCAGGGTCCAGCAGTGAGGCATGGAGCAGACAGGGAGGGTTCTGGGGAGGTGTCAGACCCAACTCCCTCTAGTCCTCGAGAATCAGTGACAGCTTCTCAGAGGGGAGCAGTAATGGAGTTTTTATTGCTTGTGCTTCATTGCATTTGATCCTAATGCCAGGAAGTTACTGTTCTGATTTTTTTCAGGTCAATGCTAATTAAGTTTATTAATGTATTTTGGTGAGGGAGAAGCAATGAAACTGGGTTCTGCTCATATTTGTCGGCCCTTATAGTCAAGCGGCATTGGACGCAGCATTGTCTGTTTAGAATCTGGAACTAAGGGGCAGTGACCTTCTAGATGATCCAGAAACCGAGAGTGGAACCCACAGGTTCAGGAGAGGGCTGTCTCCTAAGGAAAGGAAGGATGGAGGGGAGAAAGCAACACAAAAGAAAGAGGCAAAATCCCATTGGTGAAATAGAAGGGAAAGCAAAGCAATGTGCTAGTAGGAGCCTGGGTTCAAATTCCACTTCCACCCTGTACGTGCTGTGGGTGCCGGTGGCCAATCACTGAGTTTCAATTGCTTCTTCCATTAAATACTTGCCTCAAATTGTTGCTAGAAAGACAGGCGCTCATGAAAGTGAAGGAAAAAAAAAACTTAGCTTGTAATAAGTTCTCAACATATGTTAGCTGAATTTTAATGGGATCTGTATGTCTGAGGTGTGGGCATCTAGGTTCATTCACTCTTTCTTTACATAAACATTTGTTTAGTATCTACCGTGTTCCAGGTATAGCAGTAACTGATACAGCATAAGCCACAAAATCATAGGTCCTAAGATGCCCTTATATACCAGAGTGTTGAGTACTAGCCCAGGATAATCTCATAAAAAGGAATTTTTATGTTTTATTGTTATTAGGCTTTACTTAATTGCTATCTTCCCAGGTATTTTTTTTTACCCCATAGGCTACAGACTATATCTCACACCCAATTATGTCACCACCTTGAGCCTCTGATCTTCATGTAATATATAATATGCCCTTGATAAAAATGGACAGACTCCCTTCTACTAACTCCAGCCCTCAAATAGAGACAGAGCTGGCTAAGGAACCCAAATGACTCAAAATCCCTCTTGAAGTGCCTGTAGACCCAGCTACTGGGGAGGCTGAGGTGGGCGGATCACTTGAACCCAGGAGTTTGAGGCTGCAGTGAGCTATGATTGCACCCATTGCACTCCAGCCTTGGTGACAAAATGAAATGCCATCTCTAAAATAAAAAGATCCCCCATGAAAAACTCTGTGGAGGATGGCTTCTCCCATTTTGACCAGGTTCATTTCCATGAAGTCAACCCACAGAAGCCCATAACCAGTCCTGCTATCTCCAAAGAAGACGACGTGGAGGTCAACCCAAGTTCAGAATGCTCATTTTCGCTCAGATGAGGTCAAGACTAAGGTCAAAGTCTAGGTTTCAGAAGTTAGGGTCCACCATATCAGAAGGGACTTGAGCTGCATGGGTTTGAGAGCCTTCGAGTTCTCTCAGACCACGCATGACCTGCACCTCGGAGCGTCTCCCTGAGAGATACTCATGAGCTTTGTCAACAACCTAGCTGGGCTGGGGAGGATCTAACACCCTCCTATGCCTTGAGAGAAGAAAAGGAGAGGAGCTTCAGAGTACAGAATCAATGGCAGCAAGGGAGGTTCCTGGTAAGAACAGAGTCCACCTCACTAAAGGACAACATCAAAATTAGGCACCTGTGACTAATGGAATCTGAAGACTAAGAAGAGCTCTAGGTCACTGTACATTTCCTTTTCTAGGTAAAATAAAGGATCACACAGCTCAGGGTATCAGAAGTTACAGAACATTTCAGTAGGCACTTTATCAATAATTCACACAATGTCTTTACTTTCTCTCATACTCACACACCCTCCTTCACACACAAATGCAGCCACTAGATTCCCCAATATAATTCTGCACAAACTATTCTCAACTCCAAATCTCACAGAGCATGAGACCCGCGTGAGATCTGTGACACCAATGCACACACACACACACATCTCACACACACCCACAGGCAGAGCCCAGTGAAGAAACAGCCATCAGGGGGCTCTGGTGCATTATTTCCATTTTTTTGGACAAACACATAAATAAAATAGTAATAAAAACTCCATTACAGTTCACCTGCTGACAGAGGATGACTCATCCCTGTAATTCCTTTTCCAGTTCCTAAGCGGTTCCACAGATCACTGAACAGATTAAATGTCCTTCTCTGTGATTTGGAACATTTGCACGGCTGAGGACTAACAGTGCACTGAAATGCCAGCCCTGCAAAGTGGCCAGCTGCAATGTTGAGAAAGCACATGGGCCTGTGGTCAGATGCCTGGGTTCAAATCCTGTCTCTGCCCTTTCCACCTTCCCTAAACTTAGATAAGGCACTTGGCCTCTGTTCCCTGGGGGTAGAAAATGGGAGTAAGATCTTGTCTCCTGAGGATTCAATGAGGCCATCTTTGTCAGACCAAATCTCCTGTATGCTAAATAAATGAACCTTCTAATCCTCTCCCTGTGCCTCTGACTATTAATATTATTAACCTGGGGTCCTCTACTTGATTTCAATAGTTCTCCTTAAAATTGTAGTGTTTCAGTTATCCTTAAAATTGTGATATTTTGATTATTTGCTTAAATTAAAGCAATTAAAGATGAGTTCTCTTGAATTATGACAAAAAACTAAAGATACCATAGGGCATCTGAGAATCTAACCTAAGAAGATTAAAAGACTCTGAAATCATATGGATCTAGATAATAATTCCTAACACTTGTACAGAAACTTTACTTTTAAGACACTTGCTCATGTCTTAGGTCCTCAGACCCACAGTGAGTAGGGAAAGGTTTAGGCAGCCAAGCCGAAGAACTGACTCCACCCAGGCAGTGCCCCCAACGGGCTGCAGAATCTGTCCCAGGGTGTCTGAGCCAGGGCAGAGCCAAGTCTGTCTCCCAGATCCATTCTGACTCCAATAGACAATGCTCGTGGTGCGTGGATGGACTGCAATGCCCTTGTTTGGGCACTGCGGTGTCCTATAGCACGTGGGTCTGCAGCACTGCCCATCTCTGGGCACCAGCAGCTACAGTGCAGCAGGTGTGCTCACAGAAGGACCCTGGAACACACCACCTACTGCCCTCTGGCTTCAGATGCACACACACTCGTCAGGCAACACCCATCATGTGTCAGATTCAGTTCTTCTCCTTTAAATTCTACAACTCCCACCCCCAACGCTGCCACACACACCCTTTTTGTCTTGATGTCTTTTCAGACGTGGAATCTGTTTAAGATTTAAGAATATGTTTAAGGCTCTTGATGGAAACATCTCAATTGCTTAGCCTAACCATCAGTGTCTGAGAGTGTTTATCTGTCTCACACCCTCACCAGCACTGAGTGCCATTTGTGTGTGTCGGGGAAATGGAGTGGGAGGTGAAGAATCTTAATTAGGGTACCAGCAGGGGATACACCTGGGTGTGGCTTTCTGAAGCCAGAGAGGGGAAATGTAGACATAAACATGATCTCCTGACATGGAAGGGCAAGATGTCACCAAAGTGCTGCATTTTCCTAGCCTGATGATGTTATAAATAATTGTAATTTGATGTAGAATTGCTGCTTTCGACTACAAGGATCATCATTTCAGAATCAAAAGCTTTACGTATTGCTCAAATAACAATAATTGTAATTTGGTGAAACCCAGGTCAGTCTCCTGGATTGGAGAGTTGGGGAATGTGTACTTTGGCTGAAAGTAGCAAAACACATTCCCCTCTTGCTTCTCTGTCCTCCACCAGAGAATGATCACACTGAGGAAGTTGAGGCAATGCTGTTGCTTTCAAGTTTCTCTTCCTTTTGCTCTTTCAAGACCCATTTAATATAGAAACATTTTGATGAGCTAGAAGGAGAAGAGATGTGTTTTCTGGTAATTCAGTATTCTGATTAATCAAGCATTTATTTTATTATTTAATATGTGCTGATAAAGTACCTGTGCTATGTCAGGTGCTGTGCTAACCACGTTGCAAATATTAACCCATTAAAGCCTCATAGAAGACCTATGAATAGGTCCTATTATATCCTATTTCAAAAAAGGTAAATCCAGCTACCTCTGTTTAGCTTCTTAACCAGAAGTCACATGGCTCCTAAGAGTGGAGCTAGGAGTTGAACCCAGTGTCCCGGGTCCATGGCCCATGTGCTTAACACCATTCACAGGGCGGTAGCTAACAGGCTTTGCTTTAGTAAAAAATCTTGTTATTGGAAAGCTTTAAAAATTTCTATATACATTTCAGCTAGTGAAGTAGGATAAGGAGAACGGAATGTCGCTGGCATGGTTTGAGAATCCCATAGGATTGTGAGGTACCTCTGATGAATTCCTGGTCTCCATGAACAGGCCTGTGAATTGGACAAAAACAGGTTCAGGAACCTGCAGAAGCCGTGCCCTGAGCCAAGAACCCCACACCCCACCCACCAAAATTGTTTTTTGTTCTTTTCTATTTTCTGCTAAATTGCTGCTGTGAATTTACTTTTGGAAAGGGACCAGGTTTTGAAGTCAGAAACATCCCCCAAAATTCCTGTTCCACTGACATTAACTGGGTGACCTTACACAGCTTACTTATCTTTTGCAAAGAGCTTCACTTTTCTCTGTAAAATAGGTTGTTGTAGTTTTAATGGTTAAAGACATAACTTCCTGCAAAGGTCCAAAGAGTAAGTTTGAGGTTCTGCAGACCAAGCGGTAAAATTGAGGGTACTATGTAAGTATTATTAACATAACAAAAGAGAAAACAAGTTTGTTGTTCACAAAATTCAGAATATCAAATAATATATATTAAAATAATAACTGTGTATCATTTTAAAAAATACATGTCTATAATAAAAAAATTGACTTCTTCGCAGGGAGGATTGCATGTCCTTTAATTGGGGTTTCAAAGTGAGTTTTTTCTGTCATCATGTCAGTTGCAAACGTTCATCTTAATGTTCACAGGCTGTACAAAATCAGGTAAAGGGTTATATATGGCCCTCAGGCCTAGCTTGTTGGTCCCTGATCTAAATTAATTTCTGGCACACGAGAGATATTTGACAAATACCTGTTACCCTTCCCCGGAAGTAAGCTGATGACACTGGTTTGCTGGACCTCACTTAAACAAACGGCAGCCCTATAAGGTGAGGGATAATTTCAAACACATTCTAAGACTCCCTTCTCAGTGATCAAGTCCCATACCTGGCTCCAATTCTCTGTGATACAAGAAGCAGCAGGTTTTTAAAAGTATATCTGTGTCTCAGTTTCTGTCTTCTAGAAAATCAAGACTAAAGTATTCATGTTCCTCTAACTCTGTCAGCCTAATGGTGAGAAGTGGGAATGGTATTTGAAATCCAAAGAGGAGGACAAATTGTATTAAAGTAACTATCTGTTGAGAAAATATTTATAAACTGCATATGTGATAGATTTGTATCCAGAATATATAAAGAACTCTCCAAATTCAATAACACAAATACAAATAGCCCAATGTTTAAAATAAACAAAAGATTTGAACCGACATATCAGCGAATACGCTATACAGATGACAAGGAAGCACTTGAAAAAGCGTTCCGTGTCCTAACATTAGGAAAATGCAAATTGAAATGTCAATGAGATATTGCTACACACCTATCAGAATAGCTAAAATTAAAAACAAAACAGGTGCAAAAAGCTAACAATACCAAATGTTGTGGAAGATGCAGACAGCTGAAGCTCTCATATATTTATGGTGGGATTGCAAATGGGTACGGCCACTCTGGACAATAGTTTGGCAGTTTCTCATAAAGTTAAACATACGCTTACCATGTGACACAGCCAATATATTACCTATCTATCCAAGACAAATGGAAACCTATGCTTACACAAATATTTGTACAGGAATAATCAGCTTTACTTACGTATGTCTCTAACAGGAAGCAACTCTATGTCCATCAGCCAGTGAATGGATAAACTGACACATCCACACAACTGAATAGCACTCAGCAATAAAGACGAACAAATTATTGATACAAGCAATGACTCGGATGAAATGGAAATACATTTTGCTAAATGAAAGAAGCTAGACTCAACAGCCTGAATACTATGTAAGTCCATTCATATGGCATTCTGGAAAAGGCAAAATTACAGAGACAAAAAAAAAAACGCACAGTGTTTGCTGGGGCCTAGGGTTAGAGGAGGGGGTTGATAAGCAAAGGGTGGCAGAAATGTTCTAGATCTTGATTGCAGTGGTAGTTAAATGACAGTATGTGTTTTTCTAAACTCACAGAACTATACACAAAAAGAGTGTGAATTTTACTGCATGTAACTTTAACCTCAATTAACTTGACTCCAAATAAAGTAAATATGTATCATGTAGTGATGACAGGCTCTGTTAGGAACAGTGACAGGGACACTGGGTCTGGCTGACCTGGAGAATGCAAGCCATCAGTCTAAGCAGTTCTTCTGGAAGAACATTTATCTGCTCACCTGTTTTTTTCCCTTGCCTCATTCCTTTTTACTGATCCTCAGCCCCAGCTCTGCAGAACAACTCCAACTTAACTGTATACAGTACCACCTGCCACCCAATCCCCTTCTAGGGTTTGGGCCACTTGGAAGAGAGGCCTCCCCATACCTGCCCCAAGCCCAGATAGGGATCCTTTGTGCATAGGGAGAGGAGAACCAGATTACAGACTGAACTGGCAAGGGTGAGTCACGCTGGCTCCCAGCAGGCATGGGTGATGGAAATGGAAGTCAGTGCATAAAAGTCACAGAAAGCGGCCGGGCGCAGCGGCTCACACCTGTAATCCCAGCACTTTGGGAGGACAAGGCGGGAGGATCACGAGGTCAAGAGATTGAGACCATCCTGGCCAACATAATGAAACCCCGTCTCTACCAAAAATACAAAAATTAGCTGGGCTTGGTGGCTCATGCCTGTAGTCCCAGCTACTCAAGAGGCTGAGGCCTCTCGAGAATCAGTTGGACCTGGGAGGCGGAGGTTGCAGTGAGTCGAGATCACACCACCACTGCACTCTAGCCTGGAGAAAGAGCGAGAATCCAGCTTAAAAAAAAAAAAAAACAACTCACAGAAAGCATGAGGTCATATCCTGTCTAGGCAAAGGGTCTCAATCAAGACCCCAGCTTATATTTGGGCTACATTCTGTAGACCTATCTGGAATGGTTTGAACTAAGGTCAATAAACTACATTTCCAGTGAAATGACTCCTGAGAACCAAGCCAGCAGGGCTTGGTCACCATGACTGGCAACCCTTCAAACAGAGGGGTTGAGGGAGTGGGGATGGCCTAGAATACCCTTGGGGAGCCCTCCTCTGCCTCCAGGAGGCTAGAGAAACTATTCTGTGTCTGTGTGAGTGTGTGTGTGTATGTGTGCACGCGTGTGTGTTTGTGACAGGGTCTCCTCTGTCGCCCAGGCTGGAGTGCAGTGGCGCAATCTCCACTCATTGAAACCTCTGCCTCCCGGGTTGAAGCGATTCTCCTGCCTCAGCCACCCAAGTAGCTGGGATTATAGGCATGTGCCACCACACCCGACTAATTTTTGTATTTTTAGTAGAGACAGGGTTCCGCCATATTGACCGGGCTGTTATCGAACTCCTGACCTCAGGTGATCTGCCGGTCTTGACCTCCCAAAGTGTTGGGATTACAGGCATGAACCACTGTGCCCGTGCCCTGGAAAAACTATTGTGAGTCTCGAAGTCCAACCTTTTAGAGGATGCCTGGTTAACAATTAGGTGTTCAGACACAGGGCATGTCCTGTTAACTTTCTAGAGTAAATCAGTCTGAGACCGTCAAAAGGAGCAGGTGAGACATTGATGATGAAGCAGGCTTCCCTAGGAGGAAAGAGCTTCATTTACAGCACTTGCCATGGTGCTCAGGCAGCCTGCCTGGGCCCATGCCCCACCTCTGCCTCTTCCCATTCATGTCACCATATGCCCACTCACAACACTTTCTGTGCCTCAGTTTCCCCATTTCTAAAATGGAATTACTAAGAGCACCTCCCTGAAATAGTTTTTGTGAGAAATAAATGACTAGCAAAATGAAAAGCTCTTAGAATGGTGCCTGGCACACAGTAGATACTAAAGAAAAGAGCTTCTGCTGCCATTTGTCACTCGGATTCAGATATCAGACTGGGCAGCACTGAGGCTTTGGAAGCAGCATTGTGGGGAAGGCTGGTGGAGATGGGGACGCTTTGGGAAGTGCATCCTATCTGATCTCCTTCAGAGAATTCGAGGCCTGGTGTGATGGGGATTTTTGTAACCTGGGTTGGTGCTCCCTTGAGTTCCCCTGACCACAGGTGCCTATCCCCAGACAGAGTGGCAGAAGGACAGAGGCTGACAAAACTTCTGACAGTGAGAGAACTCCTCTCCCTGCCTGGTGGCTTCTTGCAGCCACAGTGCAAGCATCTGGGCTTGTTTTCATAGCTCTGGTTTTCTGATACACCCTTGGCCTTTTGGGAAATTGGACAGTTCGGTCATGGTGAACATCAAGTAAGCTCTGGATCCCACTCAGAGTGCTTGCTTGCCTTGTGTTGCAAGTATTCCAGAGTCCCCCTGAAGGCTGGATGTCCCCGTACTGAAAATGAGAAAACAGCAGCAGCATAACCACAAAAAAAACAGGGTCAAACATGGTCTCCTGACTTCTCCTTCATTGTCGGGGAAACCCATTTGTGAATTAGTGAAGGATTATAGTTTCAGACCAGCCACCACCCCCACCCCCAGCTGATATCAATACTACAACTGCCTCGTCCTTGTTCCTGTCCACTGGAAACATAAAAATGCTAGGGCCCTCTACTACTGCTTTCCTCATCTGATCTACTTCCTTGCCTCAGTATACGTCTCACTCCAATCCCTTCTGTCCAGCCCAATGAGGACTTCAGTGCTGCAGCTCTAACTTGGGCCCAGCCAGTAATTCCTCATAAATTACTACCCTACTGCACCCACAGATTGCTTGGTTCTGTTAAGTCTGTAGCTCATACTCTTGTGTAATGCAAAGCAAATCTTCAGGAGCTGTTCTGGGGAAGTTGTCACTGTGACCCTTGCTGACCTTGAACTTAACTCTCCTCCTTGCCTTCCCCAAGGCAAGGATTGAGCCATTTACACATGGTAAATTTCCTTTATTGACCCCACTTCCTCCCCAACTCCATTCTTTTCTTCCACTCAGATGCTAAACTTTGGTAAAGAGTAGATTCACTTTTTAATAGTTGATCATGGAATACTATGCAACCATAAAAAGGAATGAGATCATGTCCTTTGCAGGGACAAGGATGGAGTTGGAAGTCATTATCCTCAGCAAACTAACACAGGAACAGAAAACAAACACTGCGTGTTCTCACTTGTAAGTGGGAGCTGAACAATGAGAACACATGGACACAGGGAGGGGAACAATACACACTGGGGCCTGTTGCGGGGGCAGGAGGAGGGAGAGCATCAGCATAAACAGTTAATGAATGTAGGGCTTAATACACAGGTGATGGGTTAGTAGGTGCAGCATACCACCACGGCACACGTTTACCTATGTAACAAACCTGCAAATCCTGCACATGTATCCTGGAACTTAATAAAATTTTTTTCAAAAAAGAATAGATTCACAGGCTGCCTCTAATTGATCATTTTCCATTCTACACATCAGCCTACTCCAGTTGATTTTCTGCAATCACCCTCACTTTATCTTTTTGAATCCACATCACCAATGGCCTCCATGTTGCCAAATCTACGGGACACTTTTCTCACTTGGCTTTACTTAACATTTTTGTAATATTTAGCATCATCAATCACTCTTCCTCCTTTAAACTCCCTTCTCTTGGCTTCTGTGAATGTCACATCACACACCCCTAGATTTTTCTCTTACATTTTGCTGCTCAATCTCAGGCTCCTTTGCTGCCATGCTCCCCAAGTTCTACCTCAAGTGCCCTGAAGAGAACTGCTGTGGCCACTTCTCACCTCCCTCTCCCCGTGTTCTCAACCATTCTCCTGTCTTTGAGCACCTTTGGGAAGCCAACAACTTCCAAGTTTATATCTCCAAGGCAAACCACACCTCAGCTTTTTATATTTGATTTTCTACTTGACTTCTCTAGTTGGGTATAGGGCTCATTTGGCTTAACATGTCCAAAACTAAACTCTTAAAGTCCCCCTCAGTTAGCTCCTCTTCCAGTCCCCTGCCATCTCAGTAAATGGGACAACTTCCTATTAAGCTGCTTAGGCCAGAAGCCTGAGTGTCACTCTAGATTGTCTCCGTCATTTCCTGGACCCAATCTATCTTATCACTCTTACCATTTGCTAAGACTACTGCAATCTCTCTCCAACTGGTCTTCCAACATTCTCTCTGAGTGCTGTGGAATCCATCCCTTACCTTAGAAGACTCTTTTAGAAGTATCATATTTCTATTGTATTTCTGAAAAAACCTAACCTGGGGACCCGCTTTTGCCCTCATTCTATCCCACCTTCCTCTCATTCATGGGTTCTGCCCATGTTGCCTTCTTTCCATCTAACACACCCACCCTTTCTTAAGCCCTTTACACCAACCTACACTTTCTTCTACCTAGATATGGCTTTCCTGGCCCTCCATGGGCTGGCTTTTTTCAGGTCTCAGCTTACAGGTCACCTCTTCGGAACGTCCCTTCTGGGTCGCTTTACCTACGTGAGTACCATTAACCCTAATTAGTCTCCCTAAGGGAACCCAGTTTGTTCTCTTGATAACAGTACTCCTTTTAAAACTCATTTATTGGTTTATTTGCTTATTTATCCTATGAGGTTAGACACTTTCTTCAAATTGCCGGGTCTAACACAGTACATACTATACTTGCGTGCTTAACAATGTGTGTTGCATAGGAATGAATGAACAAATGCTTCCCTGAGGGCAACCTCACTGTAGTACATGTGTTATCATGCTTTTGTGACTAACTCACTCCTGGGTTTGGTGGCCCAATTAGGAACATCAACTTCCTCTTACCATATCTCCAGGGAGCCTATGTCTTTTGCACAATTTATGCTACAATATGACAGAGTTCTCAGGCAGATATGCAAATGGCACTCTAATGAACAGTGCAATGTTGACTTACTCTTTTATTACTAGTATTAAGAAAAAGAAAGGAAAAAAGAAGAAATCAATCTAAAAATATTGACGGAGCCAGTGCCAGACACTGTGCCGCCCACTTTTCTAGGACTATAGCAGGAAATCAGACACGGTTCTACCACCATGGGTCTTACAGAGCGGCTCATATATACAAAATGCTTAAGCGATTGCAAGCCCCTTTGCCATCCTTCTATTTTAACTTTTTCCTGATTTTTGGAATATTTATATAGGTGAAAATTTTTCCACTGTACTTTTTCTTTTGAGATGGAGTCTCGCTCTGTCACTTGGAGTGCAGTGGCGCAATTGCAGCTCACTGCAACTTCCGCCTCCCGGGTTCAAGCAATTCTCCTGCCTCAGCCTCCTGAGTAGCTGGGACTACAGATGCGCACCACCACACCCGGCTAATTTTTGTATTTTTAGTAGAGATGGGGTTTCACCATGTTGGCCAGGATGGTCTCGATCTCTTGATCTCGTGATCCACCCACCTCAGCCTCCCAAAGTGCTGGGATTACAGGCGTGAGCCACTGTACCCAGCCCCCAGCATGTGTTTTAACTCTTCTTTCTCAGCACATTTTTGGGGTTCCAGTGTAGAGCTGGGTGTTAATCCTAAATCATTCATTAGTTCACTGTGGAAACTTAATTGCTTGTAGAGGAGATAAACTGAAAGCAGTGGTTGCTTCCAACTCCATGTTATTTTTTAAGGGGCATGTGGGAAGCCCCAAATCTGTCCCCAAACAACTCTCCAAATAACTTGTCTCCAACATCTAGAGTTCCTCCATAGGAATCCTTCATGTGTCATTGTCTCCAAGGGCAGCATCAACATTGGTTACCCATCATTCATACTTTCAAATGGAATGTACAGGACTTTATCAGAGGGACATCTAGCTGGGAATATTTAATAGAAAAAAGGAAATAACCAATCACAACAGGCTGGAGGGTTCAAGCTGAAGTAGGGCACGATTGGAAATTCAGGGTCACTAGCGAATGGCAGGCGAGAAAATGCAGCTGCGGTGGGCAGGGGAGGATAGGAGGTACTTAAGCGTCATGTTTCAAGACCTGCTCAGTGATATCACAACCCAGATGGCTTCTCTTTCAGCCAGACAGGTTATCTTCTTTCCTTGATACTCTCCAGCCTGTTACTTCTTTCTCCTCCACTAGATTATAAGCTCCTAGTGGGCATGTATGCTTATCCATCCTGCCCCCTCCACACTGCTTATGGTACCCAACAAGTAGCGTCTCTTCCTTAAACATTTCTTGCATTTGTGAATGAACGGTTGTTGTGTACTATGCTGGAAGCAGGCAGAGATAGTGATATCAGAGATAGAGGGTTGTAAGTGGACAACATTATTATGCATCTGTTGATTCCTAAGAATGTCTTCAGGAACTTCTATGTGCCTTCTTGTTCTTATCAAATGATGAAAAAAACCCATGAGCTAAGCACAGCACTCCTGCCCTCCTTGATCTAACCAAGGACTTAGAAGTGGAGATGAATGAAGTCCAACAATTTATGCAGTAGGATTTCTGAGAAGAAAAGACAGGGGTAAGCTGGACACAGATCCACAAAGGAGATGACACTTTAAATTTTCAGATAGAGGCTAGGAACAAGTAACATTTTAGAAGAAGATGAGGAAACAGCCCACACGAAGATGCAAAGGTAAGGCTGAGCAAAGCTCATCTTCCAGGCAATGGGGGGACCCACCTGGGAATCTGAATGGAGTTAACAGGTTAGGCACCAGGTGAGAGAAAACAGGCTTAGCTGGGTGGTGCAGATGACTATAGGCCTAAAGAGCCAGGCCCACGGGCTGGACTTGGTGAAACAACCAGGGCCTACAGGGAGGGTAAAAGACCTAGCATCAGAGCAAGGTGCTGGAAGAACTGATTTTGATGTCTGGCTATTACTTTAGTTTCCCAATTTATTAAAACAAGAATTTGAACTAGGGGACTTCTCATGTCTTTCTCAGCTCTTTCTCAGATGCTCAACTTGGAATCTGTGTAAGTCCTTCCAGAAGCACAGCTTTGGCAAATGTATGCCTGTGCAAAATGGGTAAGAGGGAGGCTGACTGGACTTAATGGAAGCGCCTCCAGGGATAACCGCACCTGCAGAGGCGGCTTGCGTTAGCAGTAACAAGGCAGACCAGGAGTCAGAAGGCTTGGATGTATCTCTTATTTCATAGTGGCATGAGCTTGGATCAGCTACTTCATTTCTTCAAATGCCAGCTTTTTATCTGTAGACTCAAAATACCAATGAATACCCATCTCCCAAAGCTGGAAGCATTCAATGGGAGAGCATACCTGGAAGTGCATGAGTGAGTGCCCAGCAGAGACCCACTGCCCAGTAAGTGTGCAATGCAGGTGCTGTTGTTAGACCAAGTGACAGCAATCACAATGGCATCAGTCTCATAACGCACCTCTGGGTGGATCTCAGGATGCTGACTACCTGCTAATGTACCCACCACCAGAACAGCCCTCCCCCCTCCATTAATGATGTGCTATTGTTCTTTTCCACTCTGCTAACCCCATTGCTGGCAGTGACATTGCAGCCAGCCTATGGAGGGGCCTCCTGTCTGGTGGCCATGCAGAGAGCTAGAGACAGTGAATAATAAATGCCCAGTATGACAACCCTTCTGAGGAGGGTTCTGCTGCCCCAACATGAATATGCATGGACTGCTGGGACTGACTTGAAGCCAGGAGTGGGTGAGAGGACATGGTGGGCTGGCCCAAGCTGAGAGCAGCAGGCAGACTGGTCACCGGGGAGATGCAACTAACTCTGCTTTGCTCTTCACCGGGTGGAATGGAGCGGTGGCTTTCATCAGCTGTGCCATCAGCCCTGCTATCACCCGGCAAGACAGGCTGGCAAATGTGAACATAAATACATCCCCCTCTTGCCTCACCTCAGTGCCCTGAGGAGCTATTAGAGACTTAAAATTACCATTCCAGCAAAAGAGGAGAGACAGAATTGCAGGGAAAGAGGCTAGCTGTGTTTGTTAACTTGGGAGCATCATTGACTCCAGTGGGAGACCACCCTAGGGAGGAGTGGAGACAAACTGGGTTTTCAGACATGCAGGAGCGACATCTTCAGACCTGTCCTGTCCCTTCCTGCATCCCTTTTAGGGCTCATGCCTTACCCGTAGGCAAAGAGACTCCCAGGCATCATTTCGGAGTTCTCTGTTATTCCAGAAAATGGTAAAGGCATCAAGTCTTGACGCCACTCCCACCCCTGCACCCTAAGGCGTTAGGCTGGATCCTGAAATCACACAATTAGAGTTTTCTGTCTCTACATCTTTGTAAATCTTACTGGTCCAGAGTAAATGTTTATTTCATTTGAATGAATAAATGCTAGATGTTTAGAAAATATTTGGCTACTGATGATTGATTGGATCAAGCTGGGCACTTTAATCCCCATAAATTCTCCAGAAGAAATTGCCTGATGTGCTGCAGCAGTTATTTACACCTAGATATCCTGACTTGGGTGCAGGAGGGAAGTGCGACGCACACGACTCTGCACTGTGGAGCACCCAGAGACATCACCAGCTCCACCTGCCGCCTGCTTGTTCCACATGGCTCTGTGTCCCTCATCATGCATTCAGGTCATAGGCACTCACACTTGCAAGGGGAAGTCAGAAAATAAGGAAATAAACAGGAGAGTGACAAGTCTTTATAAGCCCCCAAACTCATGTCTTCCTCTCTGCAGATTGGATTTTCTCCCCAGACCCCCTGAACAGTTAAAACAACACAAGGAGAATTGGTATCTGTTTTTCTAGGGTTCATCACCAAACTGGCTAGGATTTCCTAGAGTTTATCGTTAAACTGGCTTTTACAGATCAGGGGAAGTCTGCCTTCCCTGTGTAGGAGAGAGCTAAGAAGCTGGTCTCGGCCATGTGGCAGAGCCATCACCTGGAAAGACCAGACCATAGATGTGAGTTTGGAGTCATTTCATAGCCTAGATGGTGTTTCATTGAGCTCCTCTTGAAATTTGGTCAACCATTTCCAAAGGGTGGGTATGGACTGAGGCCTAAAGTGGATTTCCTTTTCCCTTCTTGAGAAGTAATCAGCCATTACATTGATGAGCAACTAAAGCCCTGGGCCTAGTTGCTTAGCAGGGGCCCTCACTTGGTTTAATGTTTGGCAGTCACCATCTTGAAATGTTTAATACTTTTGGACAAGTGCCCCAGCATTTTTCTTTTGTACTAGGCCATGCAAATTATGCAGCTGGTCCTGCCTTTCAAGGACTGCAGACAGCCTGGCTTCAGGGCCATCCATTACCTTTCAAAGTCCCACTCCCCTCCTCTAGAATATGGGGTGGTGTTTAGTTAAGTCTCCTTCCGGCCCTGAGACCCTGGGAAGGGGTCTCTCAATGTCAGCTCCAGGCTGAGTCTCTTATACTTAGAGATCAAGTTCTTGAGAAGGGGCAGCCCAAGACCAGGGCAAGCAAAGCCTGTTTCAAACCCCACTCCTACCGGAGGTGCTTGTATAATCCCTGCATCTCTCTACTTCCTCTGAGATATCAGGAGGTTGATGGGAACAACTGAGTGGGTAGGGATCCCAATGTCTTTATCAGGGGAATACAACGAAAAACAAAAGCAAACTGAAACAAAATCCCTCTTCTGTTCAGAACCCTTTACCTCCTGAGCTGAATGGCATCTACTAGGGAATAAAGTAGATCAAGATTGAAAGAAGAAGGCAGAGAACGGTGGTTTACTACTTCACACCCTTCCATCAGACTGGGCTTTTCTGAAAGCTGGGAAGCAGGTTCTGACAAGAGAAGGACTCCGGGTTCTAGATGCATTTAATTTTCACAAATGAGGCAAGATAAGCTTGGCTGTGCAACATTAAAAATTGGCTCCCATATCTCAGTGATTAACCAACCAAGGTATGTTCTCCTTCACCTGTGTCCAATGAGGGCTGCTGGGGCACTCTTCTCATTCGAGTTTCTCAGGTCTTGGCAGGGGCTCACATAGTCACTGCAGCAGTGGAAGGGGACCAGGCAAGGTGTACTCCAGATCCTAGAACTTTCACTCAGCTGTGACATATGCAATGTCTGCTCACATGTTATTGGTCAAAGCAAGTCACATGGCCATAACTTTTATTGCAATCCTAACATGTGTCCAGAAGGAGATAGAACTAGAAATAATTGGTGTCTAAAACCAATGGCACCACATGTGTCAAGACTGAAGGTTCCACTTCCCTACTGTACCTGGCATCATGGGGAAAGGAAAAGGACAAAATTCCACCACGTGTGAGCTAAGCAAAGTCTTACCTTTCTCCTCTCTCTATAAAAAGAGCTTAAAGTTCCCTAGCACTGTCAGAGATTAAGTGAAAACCAAATGAAATAATAGATGCAAAAATAAAAGATAACTCTCATTGAATAATAAGTGCCAGGCATTATTGTAGTGCTGTAATCCTCACAACAAGGGTATGGCAGGGGTCAACCATTAGCCTTGCTTTTCACAAATGTGGAAACTGAGGCACAGAGCATTATGTAACTAGTCCCAGATCACTCTGGAAGACCAAGACTTTTTTTTTTTTTTTTTGAGATGGAGTCTTGCTCTGTCACCCAGGCTGGAGTGCAATGGCACAACCTTGGCTCAATGCAACCTCCACCTCCTGGGTTCAAGTGATTCTCCTGCCTCAGCCTCCCAAATAGCTGGGATTACAGGCATGAGCCACCACCCCCAGCTAATTTTTGTATTTTTAGTAGAGATGGAGTTTCGCCATGTTGGCCAGGCTCGTCTCGAACTTCTGACCTCAGGTGATCCACTCACTGTGGCCTCCCAAAGTGTTAGGATTACAGGTGTGAGATACCATGCGCGGCCAGGAAAACCCAGACTTTGACCCAGGCAGCCTGTTCTTAAGTGCTGTGCTGTGAAGGAACCTATATGCCAGGAAGCTTTACAGTGTGGAGCTTCCAGACCCCGTGTTTTCTGAGTCTGGACCAGGACAGATGCACTCACCCCTTCTCTTTCTGGCTTTGCTTGACTTGTCAGAGGCCTCCAGGAAGACAAGGAAACATCATCACTTTTTCCCAGTTCCCTGCACTGAGAAGCAAGTATCTGCAGGTCCACTAGACCTGGTCAGATCTCATCAATCTGTTCATGAGCTCAGAGGCCAACACAGGACTGCCTGAGCACTGAAATCTCCCAGATGCCAAGAAAAGAAAAAGCAACTTTCCGCTTCCATATTCCCTGCACCCCATCAGCTGGAGAAAAACAGCCAAGGGTAGAGCCTCATTCCTCGCTCCCTCCTTCCCCAGCTTTCCCAGTTGGCACTTAGGAACTATACATGTCACATCTCTGGGGTCACATTCTGTAAAATAACATCTGTCATTGCCGGCAGCCATCAGTGGGGCTGGCACGCGGTGGCTCACTCTGCCACTCAGACATGGCTCCAGAAGGGAGGGCGCCAGAAAAGATGCCTGGGAAACTCTCTTCGGGGCCAGAACCTCAAGGGTGTGGACGATGAACCCAAGCAGAAAATGAGGCCAGCCTTGTTCTCAGGATGCTCCAGAAGGTGGAACTGTTCTCATCGGCAGCTTTGCGCTGAGTCTGCCCTGGCTGTGAGCTCCTCTGACGCACATCTTCACCTTCCCTGCTCCTGCCAGCCCCACTGTGCCTAGATAAATTACTGCTGAGCACAAGTCCCATTTCTACAAAATGGGCGATGATGAGGGAGAGAAGATATGTATGCCTAAAAGCATAAGCCAAACTTCATAGTCTCAGCCCATAATGCCCAGAGTAACCCCCCTGCCGCCAACACCCACATAGAAGAAAAGATCATAGAAAGGGTAAGAATTCCCCTATTTGGCAAGATTTGAGGGCCACCTGCAGTTCCACCTCCTCCTACACATAAAATTCAACAACTGGGCCCTCAGAGACCTTCCTCTGAGTGAATCATTGCCTTCTCTCCAGATGTGCTTTTTCAAAATACAAATACTCTCATTTAACTTCCCCCAACCCAGTATGAATATGCTATCAGTTGTCTCTCCTTCCATCAGGTAGGCATGGTTCAGGCAATGTGAGAGTTCTGGAGGAATTTGGGGGAAAGGGAAGGGAAACGGCCCTGGAGTAGCAAAAGGCTCCGAGCAGGCTGAAGAGGTGTGGTTTAGGATGGGAAAAAGCATTCCTTCCAGGGACACAAGGATGTTCCGGAAACCACCCGGCAGAGGCACCCTGTAAGGTGCCTGGAGTAAGCCCGGTAAGCCCAAAAGTGTTGGAGAGAACAATGTAGTATCTAGTCTGGTCCCTGCATTGAAAGAGGGGAAAACTAAGGTGCAGGGAGAGCAGCTAGATCTCTGCTCTTGGCAGACAAGACCCTAATTCTGACTTCCTGGATGAGTGGATATGGCTGCCTTTGGGACCTCAGGCACCTAGAATGGAAATCTGGAGAGGCAGGCTAAGATCAGGGCTCAAGGACTCCTCCTGCTACTCCGGGCACCTGTCACAGTGGCTATACAGCCAACTGCTTCCCAGCCACATGGAGGATGGATCCCATCCAGCCCCAGGCCTCCCTGGGAATACAGAAGCAGAGCCTATGAGGGCTTGGTCCCAGGTACCAGCTTCTGGGCAGCCCCTCTGTGGGTCTGCAGTGACCGGAGAGGGGTCAGTTGGTGGCTGACCAGCCTGGGTCATTAATCTCATTAAGTCTGGCAGCCGGTGGTGGGAACAAGTACAGGAGCCCTGCTCCAATCGAGAGGGAATTTCAGGGCTCCCTTTAACCTAATTGGGCCAGCAAAGCCACGCTACAAAAAGCCAGGCAAGACGCCCATTTTGCTCCACTGCTCGCTTTGAAGTCTCGCTTCATCAAGTTTTTAAACATGAGATGCAGCCGTTTGATTGTTCATATTTAATGTGTAACACAGGAGATCAAAGGGCAGATAGAGATGGGAAACATCAGGCAATAATTAAGCATCACTCTGAGAGCCTGGCTGGCTCCCCTCCTTTCCCCTCCCCACGCCAGCCCCTGCTTATTCCGAAGCCCCTTCTTTCATCTTTTCCTCAGGCTTCTCCACTCTCCCCATCTCTACTCATCCCCTCTCCTCCTTCCCACCTTTTCACCTCTTGGTTCACTGGCCTTTCACATTTCATCCCCTCCTGCAACAACCACAATTACCCACCTAGCTCCTGCTGTCTCCCCCAATCAAAGACTTCCACATCCTCCCGGAAACTCCCTCCCCTCCACCTCTCTCTCCCTTCCTCTCTTCCTCCCTCCCTTTGCTTTCTGCCATCTTCCCCTTTCACCTCCTTTCCCCCCTTTCTGCTCCTCCCTCTCTCTCTCATTCCCTAGTCTTTTGCACCCTTTCTCTCTGCCTGCTAGTGGAGTCACCATGACAACGGCCTCCATGACAATTACAGCCCAGGCAGCAGTGCCTCTTCCCATGAGGCACTCCAATACTCACTTGGAATTTGCTCCCTGATTTCATGGCCCAGGCAGTGAATTTGCCTCACTCCCCAAGTTTCCACAAGGCCACAGGGAATAGACTTGGTAGCCAACCACAGCCCCGAAGATGGGAGAAAGCAAAGAAGGAAGAATGAAGCATGGGAGAGAATGAAAGAGGAGAGGGGGAACTGAAGCTCTCATCTTCCTCTTCTCTGATGGAACACAAAGGACTCCAGCAAGTAAGAAGGGGGGTTGCAAAGGCTGGGGAGATGGGGCTGGGTTTGCTAAACTGTATCCCTTCTCCCATCCTGAGGCCTCTGCAGAAAGCAGTTGTTTCCTTTAGGTCAGGAAAAAAGAAAAAGGGTGCAATAGCATAGTGTGATGGGTGCTGCAACTTTCTGTTTCACTACCTGGGAGTGCAATCAACACAACTCCCAAACTGCTTTGCACAGTTCCTAAAACTCTTAACACTTGGTAATTGTACTTTGGCTAGGAAGGTAGCTCCTGGCCACATGTGTGTGGAACATCTACTTCATATGCAATACAGAGCAGGCAGCAGCAGAATGCACAGAACACAACACACTGTGACCAAAAAAACAAAATACAGGTAACTGAATACCTACCACTAAACACTTAAGATGCAACTATATAAGTAGCAGATCAAAATAAAGAGATGCAAAAAGACACAACACAACTAATTTCTTCACAAAATAGGAAATAAGTTGACAGACAGCACCATCCCTTGCTCACCTGGCTCTTGGGGCTCAAGAGAGTTTATATGGTTTGGCTCTGTGTCCCCACCCAAATCTCACCTCGAACTGTAATCCCCATAATCCCCTTGTGCCAAGGGAGAGACCAGGTGGAGGTATATGAATTATGCGGGTGGGTTCCTCCCATGCTGTTCTTGTGATATTCAGTGAGTTCTCATGAGATCCGATGGTTTTATAAGCATCTGGCACTTCGCCTACTGGCACTTCTCCTTCCTGCCGCCTTGTGAAGAAGCTGCCTTGCTTCCCCTTGGCCTTCTGCCATGATTTTAAGTTTCCTGAGGCCTCCCCCGCCATGCTGAACCATGAGTCAATTAAACCTCTTTCCTTTATAAATCACCCAATCTCAGGCAGTTCTTTATGGCAGCATGAAAATTGGCTAATACAGGAGTAGAGCAAGAGTATGCTCCGGAAGGCTGAGTAAGGCCTGAGGAGGCAGAGAAATGAGCTTGGAAGGTTGGCCCATGCCGACCAGAACAATCACTTAGCCACGTCATGAAAAGACTTGGATGCCAGGCTAATTAGTTTCAACTTTATCTGGTAGTTTTCGGAAAAGCATCGAAGACGGATTGCAGTTACTTACCTACATACTAAAAAGTCCAGCATGTATGTAATTTGTTTTATAAAAAGTGAATGTCACTGAAAGACTGAAAGATAGTAATGGGAATACTGTGCACTGGGCAGGGTGGAGGGGAGAAGGGGAGTCCTGATGTGGCCACATGTGGATGTGATCCCCTCAAACTATGCAGGTTGGACCCTCCTGCTCTGCTGACATCATTCGCCAGCCCTGGTCCGGTGGCACAATCACTCAGCCACTCAGCCTGCTTGCAGCAAGACCTGCTGACTCCCTGGCTGTTTTTATGCCATCTTCCTGCTTCATGCCTGAGGTTAGGTTGAAGAGATGAGGTTTTACTTGAAAAGTTTATTTTCCTTTCCCAGATGCCTTGGATAGAATAATGAGGATGTGAACTTGAGAACTCAAACCTTGTAAAGGCCTATAGTATCTTGTTCACGGAGAATACAATCAGTGTGGTTATATAAATTTCAATCACAAAGCAGATGGAGATGAAGTGAGGTCATGCCAGCTTCTCTGAGAGGCTGGGTGATGTAGCAGGAAGGAAGTAAACTAGGGGGGTGGTGTTGGGGCCTGGTGTGCCACCTGCCAGCCAAGGGGCCTGAAATATCAGGTAATCTCACTTCCACATCTATACCATGGCCAGAATCAAACAAGGCCTATTTATCTCATGGGGCCGCTTCGAAGACTGAGTGAAATAATAGATCCAAATGCCCTGAGGTGGCTGAAAATAGTTTTTGACTTACGGAATCCCCACATCTCTCTCGGCAGTGGTGGTTGCGACGTGACCCTTAGGTGACCAACACATCATGGTCACAAGTCTGGGCTGAAAAGCTCCTGGGTGGTGTGAACAGAGACGTGATCCACTTGGATCTCAATTTCATCATTGGTGAAATGACAAGGTTGGACCAAAGTCACCTTTTCTCTAAAATGTAGAGCAGTGGAGATCATTTTAGAGGGAGCATGAATATAGTAGTAAGTTACATTTAATCCTGAGTGAGCAATTGATCTCCTTTTCAATTATCATTCAATCCTTCAAGTCCCAGCTTGGTTCTGAGTTCTCAGTTAACACCTCTTTAATGGCTACTAATTTACCTTTTCAAGGAGGAGAAGGCTGGCCTCAGGCTTAGAACCTTGACAAGCAGCAGTACCTCACTGGAATTTAATGACATCGCTGAGTTTTCGTTTTATTTCTTTTTTTGCCTTCTATTTATAGGAAGTGATATTGGTTTTACATTTACAGTAATAGTACAAAGTGTTTTTTTCTATACATGTTTAAGTAAAAAGGCGACTGGTATTAAAGGAAAATACTGCATCAATAACTGCAGATGGTGTGCAGATATGGCAGAAATTGTGGAGGCAGCAAGAATTGGAGAATTGCTGGGCCAGCTGATCCTTAAGATTCCTTCAAGCATTAGCGTCACCTGATACTTTCACTTCGCCTCCTCATATGAGCTCGGTTTCCCACAGGGCTTGTCTCTGCCTTGGCAGTCAGTGAGACAACAGTGATTTAGATTCCCAGGAGACCCACCTTCAGCACCAAGGCAGCCGTGCTAAACCAAGGAGGTCCTTAAGATGCTTCCCCAGTCCACTCCTGTAGGATCTCCCATTTGATCTCACATTTGGCAAATAAGGAAAATGGACCCACCCCACCTGCATTTACATGATTTTCCCAGAATCACACTGTTGATGGTGAATCAGGGCTCCAGGTTAGTTTCTCCAAAGCCCCAATTCTCTCCAGAATCCCTTCCTGTTTCTATAGCCCCCACTATTCCTGGCTACATACAACAACGGCAACACCAAAAGCCTCTTTTGTGTCTGAAAAAGTCAATGTAATTTCTTCAGATCAGGGAAGAATCTGAGTCCTTCAGACCCAGCTGTGGGATGCGTATTACCCACCTTGCCTCAACAGGATGAAAAGAGAGACAGTCCCAGCCCTCTAGCCATGAACTCTTTCAGTGGGAATAGTAGACAGAGCAGGAGAAAAAGTGGTAATTGGCATTGTCCATTGACGTCACCACTTCCATCTTAGGGAACCCTTTCCATCCCCTAAGATGGAATTGGACCAAAATCTTTTTTCAGCTCACCAAACTTTCTACAACCTCTTAAATGAATCACAATGAAAAGATCATCTATTTACTCATTTAACAAACATTGAGCATCTACTGTGTGCAAGGACCTAAAACATATGCCACGAACAAAAAGACTATGACCTCACAGGATGGATTAAAATTAAACACACAAGCAATTATAGCACAGAGCAGACTGTGATAATAAAGATTATTATTAGACATAATTATAAAATGCACATCAATGAAGATCTTACCATGTGCCAGGCACTATTCTAAGAACATGTTTATGGGTTGTTTTACAACATGCAGAATGAATTCTATGAAATACTAGTAATATGCCAATTTTTCAGATGAGGTATCTATTAGATAAATAACCAGTTCAAGGTCAGTCGGCTCCTAAATGGCAGAATCACACTCAAATCCACCTGACCCCAAGGCACCCACTCTGCCTGCTAGAGCAGCATTTTGGACTAAGCACCTTTATTCATTATCTCACTTTTACTAATAGGCAGTGTAGCTATGCTGTGAGAGTTCAAACCTGGAAGCAGGTTGCCGGGGTTGAATCCCCGTTCTGCAACTTCCAGTTCTGTGATGTTGGGAAAGTTGCTTCACTTCTCTCTGCCTCAGTTCCGGCACTAAAGAGGGTTTTGTTGCAATGGTTCAGTAAGTTAACATGTGCAGCATGCTTAGAAGGTTACTCAGCACATGCTGTAACTGGATGAGTGAAAGCTGTTATTACAATGCTGTAGATATTATGAGTCCCATTTTACAGGTGAGGATACTGACCCTCTAAAAATGAGCTAGCTTATCTAAGGTCTTGTATCTGCTAACTCTTTCCCTTATGTAAATCATGTGGTGTTTAGAAAAGAGGATAATTAACTACAATCCAAGGAAGGACAAAGGCAGTTCAGAGTCTGGAAAGGCTTTTTTTCCAAGAAGAGACAACACGAGGAAACCACCATAGAGGAGAAATGCGAAGATAGCCAACGGCTAGGAGAGATTCACTGGGCTACGATATAGGGCCCTAGGAATGGACAGTCATCTCATGGCTAGGATAACACCAGACATGGCACACCTGAAATGCGCAAGCAGGAAGACCTAGAATGACACCAGACATGACAAAGTATTGAAGGCCCTGAACAAAGAAACTGTATCAGAACCAGCAGCAGTGTGAGAGGTCACTAAAGGCAGAGAGATTAGACTCTCTTATATATTAACTTATTTAGAAGTTAGTAAGACACTGAATAGACTCCGTTTTTAATAACATTTTTGTAGACAGGGGCAGTAAAAAACAGATTGGAATTTATTTAGATATTATTCATTTGATATAAATGTAATGAGCATCTATTAAACACTAGGCACCAGGGATGCAATATGTGGTGAGCAAGATGCAATCGCAGTCTGCAGGGAGGTAGAAAATCAAATAGGTAATAATAATATGTGGTAAGTGTGATGGAGCCATATGGAAGCCGAATCTGACCTAGATTGGAGGGGTCAGAAAATACTTCCTGGAGGAAATGACATCTAAAAGATGAGGAGGAATTAGCCAGAGGGAAAATGTGCGCAGGTTGTCTTCCAGGCTAAGGGGATAGCACGTGCAAAGGCCCTGAGGCATAATAAGTCATGGCTTCTTCAAGAAGCAGAGTAAGGTGGTGGGGATTGGATAGAGCTGGTGATGGGATAAGAAATGTAGCAAGAGCTAGATCTTCTAGGACCTTTTAATCAGCATTAATGAATTTCTAGTTTATGATAGAGATCAAAGGGAGCCATTGAATTGTTCCATAAGATCAGGTTTATTATTTAGAAAGACCACCACTGTGCAGATTGGAGGAGGCAAGAGAGATTGCAGGGAGACTCAGCAGTGGGGTAGAGTAGTAGGTCTTATTAGAGAAGATAGTAACTTTTATAGGGACATAGTGATGAAAACAGGAAAAAAAGGATAGGATTTAAAATAAGTTTAGAAGGTAAAACTGACATGATCTGGTGATGACTGGATGTCAGGGGTGAGCAGGAGGAGAAAGGGTGAGTTAAGTCACTGGGCAGATGGTCCTGCCCCATCAGAGACAATGAGTCCAGGCAGGAACAATGGGAGCCAGTTTATTAGCATTCCATTCTCCAGAGAAACAGAGCTAAGGGGATGTATATATGTAAGAGAGATGTTTAAGAAATTGGCTCGCAAGATTATAGAGGCTGGCAAGTCTGAAATCTACAAGCAGGAAGGGTCAATGTTGCAGTCTTAAGTCCAAAGACCATCAGAGGCGGAATTCCTCCCATCTCAGAGCGCCTCACAGTTTTTTTAACACTGACAGCTGGTAAGATGAGACCCACCCCCCCATTATGAAGGGTAAACTGCTTTACTCAAAGTCCTCTGCTGTAAATGTTAATCACATCTAAAAAAATATCTTCACAGAAACATCTAGACTGGTGTTTGGCCAAACAACTGGGCACCATAGCCTAAAGAAATGGGCATGTAAACTTATCATGGGGGAAAGAGAATTTAGTTTTAGATCATTCCTCACAGTGGAACATCCTAAGGAGCTGTTGGCAAGGTTAATTCAAGTTCACAAAACAAGTCATTGATTTGGAGGGGTCTTGTTCCCAGAAGCAGCTATCAGAGGGAACTATGCCTTTGTGAGCAGCAGTGAGATAAGGAGAAAAAATTAAGACAAAGGATATCATCCTTATTCAAGAAGGAAGAGGACCCAGAGAGGAAAACTAACGCCAAGGAAAGAGCCTTTCAAGCAGGAAAACACAGTCACAGAGTTGTGTGCCAAACAGAGGGGGCAAGAGCACTCAGAAAATTACATAGGGTTTGCATTTTTCAGTTGCTGATTCAACAAGTTTGAAAGAGAGAGAATATGAGCTCCTCCCACATGCCAGGCAGTGTCTAGACAGTGTCTTGTCAACTGGCCACAAGCTCCCAGGCAGATAATTGCATGTGCTGCTATCCAGAATTTTCTGCTGGTGCACCACGCGTCCTCGTGGCTCCCAGGAAGTCTGCTAGGTCAAGCATGGCCAAAGACAGCTCTTCCTTTCTAGAGGGTGCTCATGGGACCCTGTGTACTCCTGCTGTGTTAATTTGTACTTCTTCATGTGCTCTACACATTTTATGCAGGTAATTGACTCTAATTTCTCTGAATAGACCTGCTGGCTCCTCAGGGGACTGAGATTGTGCCTTTTATGCTGTCAGAGCTCAGCACCCTCCCCCAGGCCACTTACACACTCCTTGGGGCCTGGCAGAGGGATCTGCATCCAGCAGGTCCTGCTCAAATGACTGGCTGACCCACTCCCTTCATGAACAGCTGCCTCCCACTGCTCCCCTCCCCAGGCTGCCTTCTCAGCTGCTGCCAGAGTGACCACCTTCATAATTACAGAGAGTATCACCTTCCTCCTCTACCTCAATTCCTTTGCAACATCACCTCTGTGAAAAGAATACATCTAACTCTCCAGTGCATCTTATAATAGCCCTTCAAAGTCTGGCCTGAGCCTTCTCTTCTCCAGGTTTATTGATTCAACATTCTTTCAAAAAATATTTACTGAGACACAGACATTGAAGACAGGGTGATTGAGATAACCGACAACAACAACAAAAAACGCTTGCTCAGATGGGCTTACATCCTGGTCGGGGGAGAAAGAAATAAATGAATAAATAGTGGCTTTCATTTCAGAACCAGTGAAGAGAGAATAGAGAGTAAGTGGGCACACCACTTCATAGGGACAGGAAAGAGAGCCACCCTGGAAAGGCAGCATTTGAGCAAAGACTGAGAGGAAGTGAGGGTGAGAACTTTGCAATATCTGCAAAGTGGAGTTCAGGCAGGCAGAACTTATTAGTAAAGCCCTAGAGTTAGAGTAGATACTTAGAATGGTTTTTTCATCCTCTGAATTCTCCTTTTAGAGTGGTTGGAAAGCTTACATACAACTTTACTTCCCAGAATCCATTGCAGTTAGGGACTGGGTATAAACGATAGTCAGTTATCTACACTTGCACAAGATTTGCCAATTACCCACCCTTGCAAATATTCAGAGCCACTTCTTCCAGTGTTTCTGACAGCTGCTCTGCTCAGGGAGGTTCTGGTTCTATAGTGGCTGTCTGTCCTGCAACCTCCCAGGGTCCAGAGGTTGCTTTAGGCAGCAGCTGCTGCCTCTCAGGCAGCTCCTTCCCACAGCCAAAGCTCCAAGAGAACCACTGCCTGCTCCTCTGGTTGCCCCTATAGGCTTATGTGAAATGAAGACTTCCCACTGGGCCAGTTCCTGCGGCTCACCACACCTTTTCGGTTCCGCTAAATCTGCCCATACTTTCTTTAATAAAGTCCCTTCAAACTGGGCCTGGTGGCTCATGCCTGTAATCCCAACACTCTGGGAGGCCAAGGCGGGTGGATCACCTGAGGTCAGGAGTTCGATACCAGGCTAACCAACATGGAGAAACCTCCTCTACTAATAATGCAAAAATTAGCCAGGTGTGGTGGTGCATGCCTGTAATCCCAGCTACTCTGGAGGCTGAGGCAGGACAATCACTTGAACCCGGGAGCTGGAGGTTGCAACGAGCCAAGATTGAGCCATTGCACTCCAGCCTGGGAAATACCAGCAAAACTCCGTCTCAAAAAAACAAACAAACAAAAACACTCCTCAATTACTCACTAGGTACACTGTCTACTCCTTGAGTAGGTGTTAGTCAGAGAAAAGATATGGACTGACCACCAAGGGGTCTGGGGAGTCTGTCCCCTGAGAAGTTAGTGCATGTACAGTGAATTGGTTCACAGGAGTGAAGGGGTTTTGAGGAACTGAGAAGGAAAGGAGATACTAGGGTACAGAGAGCAAGGGGTGAGCAACATCAGATGCGACTGGCAGGCTCTGACGTGATGCTGGAGGACTTGGGAGACCACGCAGACAGTGATGACCAGCCAAACCAGGAACCAGGCATCCGACTTGGCACGCAACGCTCATTCCAGTTCTATCCCATCATAACTTCTGGTTTCTGTTCTCTTTGCATGCCTCCTTCTTTCTATAGCATCCTCCCTTTTTCCTCCTTTGTATGTTTCCCAGAAATCACACAGTGATGAGTGGGTTTAAAGAGCCACCTGGAAAAAATGAACATAGAACCCAGATTTCCCCAACACTGCTACTACCCTGATTTGTCACATGGCCAGGAGAGAGGGTTCTGAAGCTTTGAATCCCTCCTGCAGTATCTCAGGGAGAGGTGCAGGAGATGTGGTTATGAAGTACACAACACCATGAGATCTCGCTGATTTATTTCCCTTCTCCTGGGATGTTGAGGTGCACAACTCCTTCAAATCCCCAGGAACTGGCCTTACTGCCAAGGCAGCCAAAGCTTCTTCCTGAAGCTCTCTTTTGTTTTTCTAACTGTGCCCGCCGCCCACAACTGCTCCTCTGAAGCACCAACAGTGAGGGTCATCTCAGGTGTGCTTGATTCTGTTGCTCCTTCAGCTATTAAGGCACTTGAGCATGATGCCATATTTCCTCAGTCTTAAGAGCTATCATCAAAACTCTGTTTGTAACAAAAAGGTTCCCAAGCTGCTCTTAAAAGCCTAAATCTCAGCATCGTCTGCAGAGATATTCAATGGAGTGTCAGTTAGAGGGTAGCTGTGTATTTTCAGAATGGAAACTCTCATTGATACTCTGCAAATCAAGAAGAGTTGAGGGGTCCCAGGAGCCCTGGGTTTGGAACCCCTCTCCTTTATTTTGCCCCATGTGACTGTGTTTTGAAAATTTTTCTTTGGTTGACTAGAAATCTCTGTAATTCAGAATCACTGCCATTTTAAAGTAAATTTGAATTCACAAAAAGTCTAAAATTGGGGAGTGTTAATGAATGCAATATATTCCTTTTAATGTACTTAGAGCCCCTCTCAATTTGTGATCAGTTGCACTGAACATGTAGGTATAATGTAGAATCTGGATATTGGAGTTATGGGAAGACAAGACTCAGGGGTTGTCAACATATTAATATTTATGTTATTTAGGAGCCTCCCCTGCAATCTTGATCAACATTTTTAGTTTTTCTATATATTTATTTATTTTGAGACAGGGTCTTGCTCTGTCACCCAGGCTGGAGTGCAGTGGTGTGATCATGGCTTACTGCAGCCTCAACCTTCTGGGCACAAGCAATGCCCTGACCTCAGCCACCCAAGTGTCTGAGACCACAGGTACACACCACCACACCTGGCTACTTTTCTTTCTTTTTTTTTTTGCAGAAACTAGCCATCATTTAAGCCCAGGCTAGTCTCAAACTCCTGGGCTTAAACAATCCTCCTGCCTTGACCTCCCAACTGCTAGGATTACAGGTGTGAGCCAACATGCCTAGCCATTTATCAACATTTTCTTCCACTCTTGCTAGCCAAATTCTGCTCATCCTTCTAGACCAATTTGAGGCCTGCTTCCTCCATCACGATGGTTCTGTTCTCACTGATCATCCCCATCATGACTTGCCATTGAGTTTATTATCCATCCCACTCATTTGACTCTGAAATATCAGAATAGTAGACTGACAGAGCTTCAAACATGATAACTTCTTCATGGGCGAGGTATTTTGAAAACACATGGGGGTATTCTTGGTTACCACTATAATTATAGAGCACTATTAGCATGTGCTGGAAAGAGAACAAAAGTCCGACAGTGATGGGACAGTCCTGCAAAACAAGGAACTGCCTCATATCCTACATAAATCTCAAGTGCCCCACCAGAAAACCAGAGACTCCATGCATGAATGCACGCCTTAACATATGGTGGGACTTCACATGGAAGGTGTATGTTCCGTGATGCCCTGTCACTCTCCCATCCCGTCACAACATCAGGCATTATTTTGACACCATGTTTATAAATAAGGCCCAGCTCATCTGTAAGAATATTCATTTTCCCTACTTCTACATGCAGCTTATAATTAGAGTTGGCACATTGTCCTTGCTTCAGTTAAAGCTGTTTCCCACTTTCTCTTTTTATGTGCAAATAAGTCTAGTCTGTTACTTGTTACCCTTACATGGATTTTAGTTCTAGAATATGAGTGTGTGTACCTCTGTTCCTTTATTTCATGTACTTCCAGCACAGACTGCTTCTGATCTTCTCAATGCCTCTTAAACTCAAACTTATTCATTGTAAGTAGGTGCAACCACCCAAGTACTTCATTACATCTTCTATTGTAGCTATATCTGAAAATTTACATATTAAAGTGCATATTATTTATTTTAAAATGCTTGCTTTTTATTCCTTCTTTATATTATACTTAGGGTATTATACTGATTTTTATTACATATCTAAGTATAAAATCTGCAAATTTCATTTCAGTTTGGTAAATGAGGCATTACAAATTATTTGTTATAAAAGGGATATTAAGTGCAGTAAGTTTGAGAACCACTGATCTATTACAATCCCTCATTTTACAGAGGAAGAAAGTGAGGTACAGAGAGATTAAGTGGCCCCATCACTAAGTTGTGGATCAGGAATTAAAACCCTGATCCTGCAGTCCAGTTCTCTTACTTTGTTCTCTAATTTTAGCTGAACATTGAGTCATTCTTATTTCTGTAGTAGGATTATACTCACAATCTCCTTAAGAACAGAGCCATTTTGCACAATGCTTTTTCTGCAATCATCACAGTGACTAACACAGCATTAGACATAGAGTAGTTACTTAATTCATACTTAATATGTCAGATTGAATGAAACTGAATTGCATTGAATTGAAAGGAAATGATTTGAACTGAATAGTGGGGTTCTAATGTTGTATGGCAAATGGTGGCATCCAGTGGGAAATAATCAGAACCATCAGTTCTGGGCCAGGGAGCCACGGCTGGCACAGCTACGTCGGAGTCCCCTCTTTACCTCCTCCCTGTCCTTTACCTGTTTCCAGGCTCTTGCCATGAACTGAGTACATTTTTTGCCTCCCCTTTTCCCATAGCTGTTGACCTGCTCAGCTCAGGGCCATTTTAAGAGGCCTAGCAACATTCATCTCTGGCTGTCCCTTCACCAGCCATATCCTTGGGATATAGGTTGATTCCAAAGCTGAGAAAGGTCCTCCAGGCCCTACAATATTTCCAGGGAAAGAGCTAAAAGTCAGTTGTCCCCCTTTCAAGTTTTTTCAGGTTCCAAATTACTTCTTTTCCTGGCTTTTCCTAAATGTGTTAAGAAAGTTAGTCTATGGTGAGATGCTTTGTTGACACGACACAAGAACTAATCCTACAAGTCAGTGGGAATGGCATGAAAATACTGACTCAGAAGCCAGATTCCAGAGTGGATAAATTGTTGTATCTTCCTGGTGAGTGTGCATGTGTGTGTTTACACACACACATAAGCAGGAAAGAGAGACAAGACCCCGCACCTAATACAGTTGCAAAATTGAAAATGAGTCCCAAGGAGGTGGGAGACTCATAAAGGAGTGCTAAGAAGTTTCGGCAAACTGTGGAATCATGAGGGTTGTGACACATAGCATGACCTGTAAGGAGGAAATTATTTGGGACCATGGTGAAAAAATATGCATCATGGCTCTAGACACCACATAGAGTAAGCTGATTAGATATAAATCTTGCTTTCCTATATGACATTCAACTATACGGGCACAAGGCACCATGAATAACAACAATAACAATGAGTAAAATGCTCCCACTTTTGATTTAGATTTTAAAAGTTATGAGATTATAACTTCCACCTAATTACCAAGAGAAAACATAGTACTAATAGCCGTTATAGAACTAATAACACAAAGAAATCTAAATGAACTAAAAATAAGAAAGAACTCCCAAGGCATTCCAGATCTTCCCAAGACCTCTGAAGACCGGAAGAATGGCAACAGGACTGAAAGCAAACTCCCAAGGTGCAGAGAGCAGTGGGCAGGACTTGAAGGCAAAGACAATGTATTAATGACCAAGGATTTGTCAGCCTAGTTGTAAAGCAAGGAGAGGTCTTCCACATATCTGAAAGCTGATGGCTCAGCTGTGAGTCACAGGCAAATCCCCAGAACCTCACCTGTGCTGAGACCTCCATTTCTGATAAAACGGGAAAAGTGCCTATCCTGTCCTTAAGATATTTGAAGCTAGCGGTGAACTGAATAAAACTAAAACTACAACAGAATTATCTCAATCTAGTCTAACTCAGATGAGATTGATTTATCCCCCAGTCTCACGGCGTCACAGAAAAACAGGAGTGCACCTTTCTGGAAGCAAACATTACTTCCTTCAGTATGTAGTGTTCTTTTGTATGTAATGAGAGCAGAAAAAGGTAAGAAAATGGTAATACAATGTCAAGACAGGAACAGACAATAGCAAACAGTACCAGAGATGATCTAGATGTTGGAATTACCAGACAGAGAGGCTAAAGGGGTTATGATAAAAATCCTAAAGGGTCTAGTGGAAAGGAGAATACCTGTGGGAAGAGATCGGAAATTTCAGCGGAGACATGGAAGCTATAAAAAAGAACCAAATCAAAATGCAAGAAATAAAAAACACAATACTGGAAATAGTTTATTAAATGGATTAGCAGAAGACTGAACATGGTAAGGGCAAAGATCAGTGAACTTAAAGACACATCAATGGAAAGTGTTCAGACGAAAACACAAAGACAAAATGGGTGAAAGAAAAACAGAACAGAGCATCCTAGATCTGGCATACAACAGCAAATGCTTTAAAATATAAGTAATGTGTAGAATGTCCCAGAAGAGACAAGGGAGATGGTGAAGCAGGAGAAACATTTGAGGATACAAAGGCTAATGAACGGTTCAAAGGCATCAACCTGTACACCTAAGAAGGTCAAGGAACTCCAAGCAGGATAATTACAAAGAGCCCCTCCACCTCAGGTGCACTGTAATCAAACAGCCTAAAGTAGTAGTAAACAGCAGATCTAAGAGCAGTCAAAGAAAAAAGACACATACTAGGGAACAGTGATAAAAATAATGACTGACTTTTCTCTGTAAATAATGATGAACAGAAGCCAATGGAATGATATTTTATTTACTTCTCAGTAAGCTAAGTTTAATTTGTTGAAGAATTTTTTTTTATAAATTCAGTGTGGCCTAAGCCAACAGTGTTTGTTTCCAGACAGAGTCGCGCTCTGTCACCCAGGCTGGAGTGCAGTGGCGTGATCTTGGCTCACTGCAACCTCCACCTCCCAGGTTCAAGTGACTCTCCTGCCTCAGCCTCCTGAGTAGCTGGGATCACAGGCAGGCACCACCATGCCTGGTTAATTTTTGAATTTTTAGTAGAGACAGGGTTTCACCAACCTGGCCAGGCAAGTGATTCACCTGCCTTGGTCTCTCAAGGTGCTGGGATTACAGGTGTGAGCCACCATGCCCAGCCAACAGTGTTTACATTGTACCCATTAATTGATTTCCCGTCATCTACCCTGTCCCACCCCATCGCCCCACTGAGTTTCCATTGTCTATCATTCCACTCTATGTACATGTGTACACAGTTTTTAACACCCACTTGTAAGTGAGAACATGCAATATTTGACTTTCTGTGCCTGGCTTGTGTCACTTAAGATAATGACCTCCAGTTACATCCACTGGAATAATATATTTAAAGTGCTGAAAAATTCAAAAGGATGGAAGAAGATCTACCAAGCAAATGGAGAACAAAAAAAGGCAGGGGTTGCAATCCTAGTCTCTGATAAAACAGACTTTAAACCAACAAAGATCAAAAGAGACAAAGAAGACCATTACATAATGGTAAAGGGTTCAATGCAACAAGAAGAGCTAACTATCCTAAATATATATGCACCCAATACAGGAGCACCCAGATTCATAAAGCAAGTCCTGAGTGACCTACAAAGAGACTTAGACTCCCACACAATAATAATGGGAGACTTTAACACCCCACTGTCAACATTAGACAGATCAATGAGACAGAAAGTTAACAAGGATGCCCAGGAATTAAACTCAGCTCTGCACCACACGGACCTGATTGACATTGACAGAACTCTCCACCCCAAATCAACAGAATATACATTTTTTTCAGCACCACACCACACCTATTCCAAAATTGACCACATACTTGGAAGTAAAGCTCTCCTCAGCAAATGTAAAAGAACAGAAATTATAACAAACTGTCTCTCAGACCACAGTGCAATCAAACTAGAACTCAGGATTAAGAAACTCACTCAAAACCACTCAACTACATGGAAACTGAACAACCTGCTCCTGAATGACTACTGGGTACATAACGAAATGAAGGCAGAAATAAAGATGTTCTTTGAAACCAATGAGAACAAAGACACAACATACCAGAATCTCTGGGATGCATTCAAAGCAGTGTGTAGAGGGAAATTTATAGCACTAAATGCCCACAAGAGAAAGCAGGAAAGATCCAAAATTGACACCCTAACATCACAATTAAAAGAACTAGAAAAGCAAGAGCAAACACATTCAAAAGCTAGCAGAAGGCAAGAAATAACTAAAATCAGAGCAGAACTGAAGGAAATAGAGACACAAAAAACCCTTCAAAAAATTAATGAATCCAGGAGCTGGTTTTTTGAAAGGATCAACAAAATTGATAGACCACTAGCAAGACTAATAAAGAAGAAAAGAGAGAAGAATCAAATAGACGCAATAAAAAATGATAAAGGGGATATCACCACCGATCCCACAGAAATACAAACTACCATCAGAGAATACTACAAACACCTCTATGCAAATAAACTAGAAAATCTAGAAGAAATGGATAAATTCCTCAACACATACACTCTCCCAAGACTAAACCAGGAAGAAATTGAATATCTGAATAGACCAATAGCAGGCTCTGAAATTGTGGCAATAATCAATAGCTTACCAACCAAAAAGAGTCCAGGACCAGATGGATTCACAGCCGAATTCTACCAGAGGTACAAGGAGGAACTGGTACCATTCCTTCTGAAACTATGCCAATCAATAGAAAAAGAGGGAATCCTCCCTAACTCATTTTATGAGGCCAGCATCATCCTGATACCAAAGCCAGGCAGAGATACAACCAAAAAAGAGAATTTTAGACCAATATCCTTGATGAACATTGATGCCAAAATCCTCAATAAAATACTGGCAAACCTAATCCAGCAGCACATCAAAAAGCTTATCCACCATGATTAAGTGGGCTTCATCCCTGGGATGCAAGGCTGGTTCAATATATGCAAATCAATAAATGTAATCCAGCATATAAACAGAACCAAAGACAAAAACCACATGATTATCTCAATAGATGCAGAAAAGGCCTTTGACAAAATTCAACAACCCTTCATGCTAAAAACTCTCAATAAATTATATATTGATGGGACGTATCTCAAAATAATAAGAGCTATCTATGACAGACCCACAGCTAATATCATACTGAATGGGCAAAAACTGGAAGCATTCCCTTTGAAAACTGGCACAAGACAGGGATGCCCTCTCTCACCACTCCTATTCCACATAGTGTTGGAAGTTCTGGCCAGGGCAATTAGGCAGGAGAAGGAAATAAAGGGTATTCAATTAGGAAAAGAGGAAGTCAAATTGTCCCTGTTTGCAGATGATATGATTGTATATCTAGAAAACCCCATTGTCTCAGCCCAAAATCTCCTTAAGCTGATAAGCAACTTCAGCAAAGTCTCAGGATGCAAAGTCAATGTACAAAAATCACAAGCATTCTTATACACCAATAACAGACAAACAGAGAGCCAAATCATGAGTGAACTCCCATTCACAATTGCTTCAAAGAGAATAAAATACCTAGGAATCCAACTTACAGGGGACGTGAAGGACCTCTTCAAGGAGAACTACAAACCACTGCTCAAGGAAATAAAAGAGGATACAAACAAATGGAAGAACATTCCATGCTCATGGGTAGGAAGAATCAATATCGTGAAAATGGCCATACTGCCCAAGGTAATTTATAGATTCAATGCCATCCCCATCAAGCTAGCAATGACTTTCTTCACAGAATTGGAAAAAACTACTTTAAAGTTCATATGGAACCAAAAAAGAGCCTGCATCGCCAAGTCAATCCTAAGCCAAAAGAACAAAGCTGGAGGCATCACGCTACCTGACTTCAAACTATACTACAAGGCTACAGTAACCAAAACAGCATGGTACTGGTACCAAAACAGAGATATAGACCAATGGAACAGAACAGAGCCCTCAGAAATAACGCCGCATATCTACAACTATCTGATCTTTGACAAACCTGAGAAAAACAAGCAATGGGGAAAGGATTCCCTATTTAATAAATGGTGCTGGGAAAACTGGCTAGCCATATGTAGAAAGCTGAAACTGGATCCCTTCCTTACACCTTAGACAAAAATTAATTCAAGATGGATTAAAGACTTAAACATTAGACCTAAAACCATAAAAACCCTAGAAGAAAATCTAGGCATTACCATTCAGGACATAGGCATGGGCAAGGACTTCATGTCTAAAACACCAAAAGCAATGGCAACAAAAGCCAAAAGTGACAAATGGGATCTATTAAACTAAAGAGCTTCTGCACAGCAAAAGAAACTACCATCAGAGTGAACAGGCAACCTACAGAATGGGAGAAAATGTTCGCAACCTACTCATCTGACAAAGGGCTAATATCCAGAATCTACAATGAACTCACACAAATTTACAAGAAAAAAACAAACAACCCCATCAAAAAGTGGGCGAAGGATATGAACAGACACTTCTAAAAAGAAGACATTTATGCAGCCAAAAGACACATGAAAAAATGCTCACCATCACTGGCCATCAGAGAAATGCAAATCAAAACCACAATGAGATACCATCTCATACCAGTTAGAATGGCAATCATTAAAAAGTCAGGAAACAACAGGTGCTGGAGAGGATGTGGAGAAATAGGAACACTTTTACACTGTTGGTGGACTGTAAACTAGTTCAACCCTTGTGGAAGTCAGTTTGGCGATTCCTCAGGGATCTAGAACTAGAAATACCATTTGACCCAGCCATCCCATTACTGGGTATATACCCAAAGGACTATAAATCATGCTGCTATAAAGACACATGCACACGTATGTTTATTGCGGCATTATTCACAATAGCAAAGACTTGGAACCAACCCAAATGTCCAACAATGATAGACTGGATTAAGAAAATGTGGCACATATACACCATGGAATACTATGCAGCCATAAAAAAATGATGAGTTCATGTCCTTTGTAGGGACATGGATGAAATTGGAAATCATCATTCTCAATAATCATCATTCTCAGTTTACTGAGAATGTTTTGTTCTTGGTCTGTCGCAAGAACAAAAAACCAAACACCGCATGTTCTCACTCATAGGTGGGAACTGAACAATGAGAACACATGGACACAGGAAGGGGAACATCACACTCTGGGGACTGTTGTGGGGTTGGGGGAGGGGGGAGGGATAACATTAGGAGATATACCTAATGCTAAATGACGAGTTAATGGGTGCAGCACACCAGCATGGCACATGTATACATATGTAACTAACCTGCACATTGTGCACATGTACCCTAAAACTTAAAGTATAATAATAATAAAATAAAAAATAAAGTGCCGAAATAAGAATCTGTCAACTTAGAATTCTATCCAGTGAGTATACATAATATATATAGTATGTTATATACAACATACTACATATATTTTTATGTAAATATACATAATTACATTTAATGTATTTAATACATGTTATATACCACATTAATTTAATATGTTTAATAGCTACTTATATGTGAATACATTAATCATATAGTTATATGTATAATTACAAATGTATTTATATACATAAATATATTTATATATTCCATATATGATGTATTTTTATATATAAATAATGAAGTATACATCCACTGGGTAAAATTCTAAGTTGACATATAAATACACCATATACAACATAAATGATTACTAACTTTGTAAAGCAAAAACAATAGCAATGAACCATGGGCTTGTAGCATACATAATAATGCAATTTAGACAACACCAGCACAACGTGTAAGAGGTATGGAATTATACAATTATAGATTCCTCCACTCTCATAAAGCAGTACAATTTATTATTTTTGTGCTAACTCACAATGTATTATTGATAAATTTTTTGAGAATGATGGATAAATTTCAAGAAGGGTTAGGGTAAGGTTGACTTTCTCCTGCTTTTAGTTCTGTGTATACAAAGCCCACATTTATATTGTTAATCCAAACTACATTTTATTTTCCTTTTTTTCTGGCCCAATGGAACAGCAGAATTTAAAAATAGAATTCCTCAGCAACTTGTTTCATGATCAGTACAGACAGATTTACTATAAGATTCCTAGGCAACATGTTGCAGTATTTAATTTGAGGTTGGGCAGCTCAAGGCCCAAGTCCTGCCTCTATCTGCACTGTGTGACCTCAGGCATGTTACTTAAATTTTATGAGCTTAATTATCTCATTTGTAAAATGAGGCCAATAATTCCCAATCCACAGGATCATAAAGAATTAGGTTAAATAACATCATAGAGGAGCAAAGCACAGTGCCAGGCATATTTCAGGAAATTGCCAGCTCCCTAGTCCCCTGTAAGCTCCAAATCTATGTGGCAACCAAGAAAATCTGATTGGATTCTTTATGTATTGGTTGACTTGGAACTTCTAGGAATTTGTCTTTATTCTCTTTATATAAAAGTCAAGGCCGGGCACAGTGGCTCATGTCTGTGATCCCAGGACTTTGGGAGGCCAAGGCAGGTGGATCACTTGAGGTCAGGAGTTCGAGACCAGCCTGGCCAACATGGTGAGACCCCGTCTCTACTAAAAATATAAAACTTAGGCGGGCATGGTAGCACACACCTGTAATCCCAGCTACCTGGGAGGCTGAGTCGGGAGAATCGCTTGAACCTGGGAGGCGAAGGTTGCAGCGAGCCGAGATAGTGCAACTGCACTCCTGCCTCTCCCGCCTGGGTGATAGAGTGAGACTCCATGTGGGGGGAAAAAAAAAAAAAAAAAAAAAAAAAAAAAAAAAAAAAAAGTCAGGTAGTGGCTACAAAATAAGTAGATAAAAGAAAAATTAACACTATTTAGGACTTAACAAGCGGCACTTAAATGAGCCCTAGCAAGGACAATGACTCAGAAATAAGTTGATTTTTCTGCAGATGCTTCTGAAGTTCTCAAGTACTTGGGGGTCAAACTGGCAAAATTTATAGAAAGATTCACTAAGTCCTAGAAAGCCTTGGAGCATGTGAGGGAGGAAGGTAAAGTAGAAATATCCGTGCTTGCCTCATTCTGGGCAAGCAAGGCGGGGCACTCAGTGGATATTCAGAGGGCCTCCTCCCTGGAGGGAGAAGAAGACTTGTGCAGAAGATCCAGGCAGGCCCATTTCTTTTTCTTTTTCTTTCTTTTTTTTTTTTTTTTTTTTTTTCCCTCAAGACAGGGCAGCAATCTGTTGCCCAGGATGGAGTGCAGTGGGTTGATCTTGGCTCACTACAACCTCTGCCTCCCGGGTTCAAGTGATTCTCCGACCTCAACCTCCCGAGTAGCTGGGACTACAGGCATGCACCACCACACCTGGCTAATTTTTGTGTTTTTAGTAGAGACAGGGTTTTACCATGTTGGCCAGAATGGTTTCAAACTCCTGATGTCAAGTCACCAGTCCACCTAGGCCTCCCAAAGTGCTGGGATTACAGGAGTGAGCCACCACACCTGGCCAAGACAGGCCTATTTCTAAGCCCCTTCTCTTCCATCTGTATGGCTCCAGGCAAAGTCCTTGACATTTCTGACCTTCAGTTTCTTCCACTATGAGAAGAGATAATAAAACCCATCTTCTAGCATTGTTGATAGTAGTAAGATCAAACATGTAAAGGAAAAGTTGAAATCAGGAGCTCTTTGGAGCAATCTGGCTAGCAGATGTACTTTGCTTAGCCTGCAGAATGCTGCATAATGTTTTCTATTTTTTGAATTATTGGTCAATTGCTTATAAATAAGAGATTGCACATTTTAAAAATCTATATTTCTATATGCTCTTGAAATACCAGAAGATCTGGCAACCTTATGCCTATACTTCTCTAAGAAATTAACCCCTTAAAACTAAGTAGTAACCATTTCTTGTGTACAGAACTTATTTTCTCCAGATTGTTACAGACCTCACCATTCCTCATTGTCTCACTTATACTGAAAGTCAATTCACTCGCTGATATTACCTGCCTGTTCTATGGAAACTCTTTTGCACTAGGGATGTAAAATGTCCAGCTCTACAATTAAGGGTTAATAGATACTCTTTCCATTCTTCCCTCCACCTGGAAGGTCCCATGACCAGAAGAGATTCAGAGAGGAACGCAACTGGTGGGATCATCTCCTCAAGAGCCTGACCCTTCTCTTAACCTTGCACCTCATCAGCTACCCTCATTTCAAGAACATAAATGGGGAAAGGAGAATGGGTAGCACTTTCTTAGCCAAAAGACACAGACCTCTTTCTCAGCAGACTACAGTTAGTGCCAGCTACAGAGGAACACCGTGATGCATTAAAATCACTTTAGAAATCTTTTCCAGGAACCTGGGGTCTGTCTCTGAGACCCGATTTAAATGTGACTCATCTCAGCCATATAAGGGAGGAAGTATGGACCTGGTGCCTGAGGTCCAAGAAGAGAGGTGGGGCCGGGCGTGGTGGCTCACGCCTATAATCCCAGCACTTCAGGAGGCCAAGGTGGGCAGATCATTTGAGGTCAGGAGTTTGAGACCAGCCTGGCCAACATGGTGAAACTGTCGCTACTAAAAGTACAAAAATTAGCCTGGTGTGGTGGTCCACGGTTGTAATCCCAGATACTTGAAAGGCTGAGGCAGGAGGATTGCTTGAACCCAGGAGGCAGAGGTTGCAGTGAGCCAAGATTGCACCACTGTACTCCAGCCTGGGTGCTTAAAAAAAAAAAAAAAAAAAAGTGGGAACTCAGCAGGTCTCTCCCAGCAACCCTTGAAATTCACTAGGCCTTGACTCTTCTGAATCCATCAGTGCAAGCTTCCTGAAGGGCAACTGCAGTTCTCTAGAGGGCTAGATGAGAGGGAGAACTGTGGATGATGAAGAGGAGAAAAGCTGGTGAGCTAGGAAAGGAGTGTGGAATGGGAGTGGTTTTCCAAAGGATCGCATGTCTTTCAGCAAATAAGCTTATTGTTACAGCACAAAAGAACTAGAATGCATTTGAGAAGGGGCAAGCCCACTGGAAATTGTGCAGCTCAGCCTCTGGCTTACTGCAGCGGGCGACAGATGTATAAATCATATGCAGCAGGTGAGAGAGAATAGCTGGGAGCCAGCAGCAAGTTGGTTAAGATGAAAAGCATTCATAAATCCTGGGCTTCAACATCTGCCACCTATGATTAAAAATTAACTGGAGGCATCTGACCTTTCCGTTGCCCCAGAGCAGCCAGCTGTAGATGCCAGGGACAGCCGGAGTCCCTGAGGGGACAGGTGAAGCTTGCAGAGCAAGAGACATGGAGTCTAGGAGGGAGTCCTTAAAACCAGGGTCAGAGGACACCCTGTTGGGATGAAATGTGACTTCTGGGAACCTAATCTTCCACACCTGATATACTCAAGTATTACAGTTGGGAAAAATTAAGAGGATGGATAGTTCAGCATCCTTTATCCAAGTTTTTCTTTTTTTTGTTTTTTGTTAGTTAGTTTGCTTTTGAGACAGGATTTTGCTCTGTCACCCAGGCTGGAGTGCGGTGTGCAATTTTGGCTCACTGCAACATCCACCTCCCGGGTTCAAGCGATCCTTCCACCTCAGCCCCCTGAGTAGTTGGGACTGCAAGCACACACCACCATGCTCGGCTAATTTTTAAATTCTTTTGTGGAGATGAGATCCCACTATATTTCCCAGGCTGGTCTTAAACTCCAGGGCTGAAGCAATCCTCCTACCTCAGCCTCCTACAGTGCTGGGATTACAGGCATGAGTCACCACTATGGCCAGCTTTATTCAGGTTTTTATGCATGAGGAACTAGAATTCTGCAGAGGACAAAGGTCTTTCTCAAATTCTCATGGTGAGTTGGGAGAAGAAGAGCTAGTGTTACAACTTCTGCCTCCCAGAGCAGTGTCCCTTATGACTCCTGGCAGACTTCCCTGGCCTCTTCCCTTGCCTGTCCTCAACAACTTCATGCCCAGGCCTAAAGCTCACAGGGTCAATCTCAGTAGCTGGGATGGATATCCCAGCACACACCAAAGGCCTGAGATCCTGACATGGTTCTCACTTGGTCTGTGGGACAGGGACAAGAGTAGAAAAGGTCAACTGAAATTATGCTGCAAAGTGACCCCTGCCCTCTGGAAGCTTCCTATTTATTTCATCTTCCTACTTGCTCACACCGGGAATCAATGACCTGTTGGGTTTAACACATATCAGCCTTGAGGCATTCCTGTATTTTTATCAGTCTTAGTGCTTTCCTGATACTATAGTAAGTTTTGTTTTGTTGTCCCTCTTCCCTGTCTAGGCATTTTGTCTCCCTGGCTGGAACTGTAAGTGAATTCAAGTCAGAGGCTGTAAAATGTCTGTATTTTTAATTCCCCACTCCACCCTCTGTGCCTGGCAAGGCATCAATGACTCTTTATGGCCGAATGGATAAATGCCTCCCTTTGGCACCACACCTGCCTTGCCTGACTTCTCTGGGATGGTCCCAGGAAGAGTTGGGTTTCTCAGGGTTTGAGTGGAGGCCCCTGCCCTCAGGGAGCCTCTGCACATTGGATGTAAGGAGTGTCACTCATGTTCTGTCTCCATAGGGGCCACGCAGTCCCTATCTCCTGATCCTGGAATCCAAGGCCTCCATTGATAACTGGAATTAACCTTAGTAATAAACCTACTTGTTATTTGTGGATAACCTGCTGGATATCAGGCATTGGGCTACACTGATGGATTTTATGTGATCTTTATAAAAACTGCAGTGAGTGATCATGCCCACTTTATAGCTACAGGAACAAGCATGGGTAAGAACTTACCCAGGGTCTCACTGCAAGTAAGCGAGAGGTAACTAGGTCTGCCTGAAGGTGAGCCCATGCTCTCAACTCCTCCCCATGTAGGGCCTGCAGGCTCTCCCCTCCTGCCTTCAGACATAATCCTCCTCACCTACTGGTCTCCCTGGGTCCCTCCACCAATGGTGAGGTGTTACTGTCAGTCATGGGAATGGTTCCCCCACAGGTGCAAGGGGGCTGCTTCTTGTTACTTCAAGGTCTGCAAAATGCTGGCTACCTTTCCTCTCATACAATCCGGTCCCTGCTCAGTCCTCACTATGCTCTTCCCTCCCACCAGCCACCGCTCCCTCTAGTCACCAAACTGCTCTGTCAGCAGCTCCTGACAGCTCAATAGAGGGCCCAACACTGCTTCTTCCCTTTCCTTCCCAGGCATTATTATTTATTTTTGCTCTAAGTCATATGATTATCATAAAGGCAGGTCCCTGCCTGATGTTTCTATAAAATACTCTTATATCTTCAACAAAAAAGTGGAGAGAGAAGCCTCCTCACTTTAAGAGGTGATTTCCGCCTGCGCTGATGCAAAGTCAGATGGCCAAGCCATGCACTGCTTAGACATTCAAGCCTGACCTCAGTTACGAGGCAAATGGAAGAGAAAGTAATTAATTTCTTTAATGGCTCAGAAATATACCCAAAAAGAGGATGGGGGTGGGCAGTGCTGAGTGTTTACATCAGCAGGTTTGGGAGTTTAATTTCTCTGTATTCATTAAGCTTTGAGATCCATCTGACATGCTATGTTATAATACAGTGGCCCGCTGGATGAGGACTATTATCAAGTTAGAAAATGATAAATTAGAGAGACAAAGATTATTTGTTTCTTGAGCTGCTGTTTGAAAATTCTGGGCATAGATTTCTGTTTCAAAGGGTGAAAAGGTGAAGATATTTGTTTCTCCCCGTTAGACAGTATTAAGAAGAGAAAGTGAAATGTTTTCCCCCAACTACTCTGACAATGTCATTCAGCAGGTACGCCTCGCTCTGAATCCCAGGACTTCCTCTAAGATTGATGACACTGGAGAGAGAGCTGGCCTAAGCTCCCTGGGGCTTGACTCTTTCCAAGTGCTCTCGCATCAGGATTTCTAGAAGTTATTGATGAAATGAGAAAATTGCAAGTCTCTTGCCTATATTTCATTTCATGTTTAAGGCAGACAACGCAGTGCAGTTGGAAGCATGTGTAGTGGAATTCAGTCCCAGCCCTGCCATCGACTGCTATGTTGAATTGACACAACACTCAATATCTCTACGCTCTCTCCCCTGTTAAACAGGAGTACAAATATCTTGCAAGAGGGTGGTGAAGGGTTAAGAGTTTGCCTGGAGTATGTATATATACCTCTATATAGCTCAGCACAATCCCTGACACACAGTAAGGTGCTCAAGAATTGCACCTGATTTCTGGCCTCCCTATGCTGGGTCCTGGCTCCTTTCTCATGCCCAGCTTGAGTCTCGGGATAGTAGTTGGCCATCTCCTCCAAAACAGGACATTAAAAATCGTGCAGATTTCACTTAGATTTCATAGGGCAAGAAGAAAGAGATTTTACATAGCACACAAAACAGCAGAACTGTCATGAAACTTTCCATCAGACATTTCTAAGAAGGCTGCACATCACAGTCTATGTGATGGTGGCCCTGGAGATGTGAGGTGTACATCCTTCTGCTCTTGCCTCTGTTCTTTCCCCACAGCTTCTCTCCTAAAGGCAATGATCTCATATCCTCTCCCCTTTAGAGAAGAACGTCTAAAATCATTTCTAGTATACCATCCCATCAGCATTGGATATGCCTTCATACTTCACTAATAAATGGCTCAGTAATTGATCCAAGGACACCCATCTGTTGTTCTCTGCTGTCCTTAGGGTGTCCTCCCCTCACCCAGTGGTTTATCAAAGTATTTGCACAAGACACGCATGTCCCTTAAAGGAGAGTAGTGAATCTGGTGGTATTGGGAGTATGACAACATCTGAGAAAAAATGTTTTCCATATGGCTCACTCATACCCACCAGAGAGGCACAGAGTGTCTGTTTAAGGACTGCAGGCTGATAGAAGGAATCTCTGCAGCACTGAGCTCTGAATGCGGAGACAACACCTCCAAAAGCAGATGAGCTGTTCTAGCAGGTGCAGCAACAGCTTCTCAGGGACCCACAGCCACTGGGCAAAAATGGCCCAAGGCTTGTGGCCCTAGGCATTGTGAAGGGAGTACATATCAAAGTTGGGTCTGTAATCCATTGAACCTCAGAACCATGTAGCATTACAGGGGACTCCTTCAGTTTACAAACAAGCTTGTTTGCTGCTGTTTTGAATAAACCTCAAAGGAGAGAATATATTTGGAAATAAAAAAATTTGGAATGTTTATTTTGTATAAAGAGAATTTTACCCTCCAACTGCCTTTTTGTGTATCTGATTTCACTTTCTTTTCTCAACAATTCTGTTAAGTTTATTGTCACTATTTTATGGAGGAAGAAAAAAAAAGGTTCAGTAACTTGCCAGAGGATATATATCCAGTAGGATATCCCAAGCCGAGTATCTTTCTTACAGTCTTACAAGTCTTACAAACTTAGAGAGCAAATACAAGTCTAACAAAGTGGTGTTTGTTATGTTAGTTTTCTAATGCTGTGTAATTGACACCAGCTAAGCCAGTAAGGACAGCACCCATTTATCGTCTCACAGTTCTGCAGGTAAGAAGTCCTGGGTGGCTGGACTTGGTTCTCTGCTTGGGGTCTCGAGGTGTCAGTAGAGCTGTGTTCTTTTCACAAGCTCACTCAGTTGGTGTGATGGTTAATATGAAGTGTCAACTTGATTGGATTGAAGGATGCAAAGTGTTGTTTCTGGGTGTGTATGTGAGGGTGTTGCTGAAGGAGGGTAACATTTTAGTCAGTGGACTAGGAGAGGAAGACCCATCCTCAATGTGGGTGGGCACCATCCAGTCAGCTCCTAGTGCGACTAGAAAAAGCAGACAGAACAAATTGGGATAAGCTGACTTGCTAAGTCTTCCAGCTTTCATCTTTCTCCCATGCTAGATGCTCCCTGCCCTTGAAAATCAGACTCCAGGATCTTCGGCCTTCAGACTCTTGGACTTACACCAGTGGTTTACTGGGGACTCTTGGGCCTCTGGCCATAGGCTAAAGGCTGCACTGTCAGTTTCCCTACTTTTGAGGCTTTGGGACTCAGACTGAGCCACTACTGGCTTCCTAGCTACTCAGCATGCAGACGGCCTATCAAGAGACTTACCTTGTGATCCTGTGAGTCAATTCTCCTTAAAAAACTCCCTGTCTTATATACAGATATCCTATTAGTCCTGTCCCTCTGGAGAAACCTAACACAATTGGTCATCAGAATTCAGATCCTTGTGGTTGTAGGACTGAGGTCACAGGTCTTGGCTGGCTGTCAACCAAGAGCTTGTCTTTCAGCCTCTGAAGGCTGCCTTCATTGCTCCTCACGTGCCCTGCTCTATTTCACAACCAGTAAGGGTTAGAATAACCCCTTCTGCCAAATCTGTTTGATGTCTTTTGCCTTTTAAAGGGCTCCTATGATTACAGCAGGCCCCCACCCAGATAATCTCCATATTTTAAAGTGAACTGACTAGGGGCTTTAATTCCATCTGCAAAATCCCTTCCTAGAAGCACCTAGATTCATGTTCAGATAACCAGTAGCAGGTATTTTGTGGTAGGAGTGGGGTGGGGCATCTGTAAAATTCTACCCATCACAATGGTTCTCCAACTTTAGTTCAGAATCGCCTGGATTGCTGGTTGTCAGTGTCAACACTTGGCACTATTCCTGGAGATTCTGGTTCCCCTATCTGGGGCAGATCTCAAACATCTTCAGTCTTAATAGGCTCCTTCTCCCTCTCCTGGCCCTACTGAGACTCTGATATGGCTCGCCCTAGACCATGTTTCCACAATCATTGTTCTACACTTAGCTATGCCTACAATAATTTCTCAAACCTGCCTATACACCAGGCCTCATCTAATTCTGCAAGTACTAACTCATTGAATCTTCACAACAAACACTAGTGAGTTTGATACTGCCATTAATTCAATTTTACAGGCCCAGAGAGATTAAGCAATATCTTAATATCACACAGATTTTAACTGATAGAGCTGGGATCTCAACTTGAGCAGGTGGGCTCCAAAATCTCTGTCCCTAACCATTATGCTCTACTGTAAATTAGAACACACCTTTGTTGCATGAGACCTGAATAAAGTACAGACCAGACTAAGAACCAGCTCAGAAGACCATTTTTCAGGTGTTACTGACATCTGGTGTGGGTGGGTGTGGAGGAGGATTTTAAGGTGACAGGATGAGAGGGATTGGTCAGAACAATTCCAGACCATCTCAGATCAGCCACATGCCCATCCCTGGAAAATGCTGCAGACACACACTTACGTCGTTTCTGATGGCTGCTTTACTTAGCTTCTGGTTATGATCCTTATCAAAACTTATGACTGGGGATGACTGTAGGGAAGCAATATGATAAAGAAGGTGCTTATCCTAAAGTAGCCAGGTTTTCCCAGGATTGAGGAATCCGTGCTGTCTGCAAGGTTCAAAGACATCCTCCCATGGGACACTGACCAGAGCATCAGCTCAAGAACTGGCCTCCTTCCCTGACAATGGACAGGGATCCAACATCACACGACTGCATCTAATGTCGTCATCATTCACTCACTTACCTCCACGGGACTTGCACAGTCCCAGCTTCCCCCTCATCCATGTTAGCAGGTATCATCCCCATTCCTCTCACCACAGCACAGCAGTGGAACAGGGGCTAGGACTTGGGGTCATCACTCCAACAGAGCTACTCCCCCCTGCATCACATGTTTGCTGAGTAGTTCTGATTCTTTTGGTGACAACATCAGGGTGCTCTTTAGCTGGCAGGGCCACAGCCATGTGGCTCAATATGTGGCCTTGGAAATGCTAACAGCTGTCAAGAGACTCCCAGCTGAAACCCACAAGCTGGCCCAGACCTGGAGCCTAGGTAGCGGGTTCTTGGGTACGGCATCCAGCCCGCACGGGGACCCTAGCTAAAAGGACCAAGGGCTCTGCCCTCCCGACTGCCCATTCCCAAATACCGCACAGCGTCACTTCGCAGGGGGTCCACACAATGTTCTGCCTAGTTACAAATATAAAAAAATCATAACTTGAATAGCTTTAAATTCATCGTGATGTGATAAATGATCTGTTATATTACACAGTCTCTGCAGGGACTCATCTTTAAAGAGCCAAGTCCCACTACCAAATAGTAATTAGGAAGGAATCACAAGCATTATTTACATCTCTTTAAGACTGTGAAAGGGATCTAATTAATAAGCCACAGTAACTCTTTTTAAAGCCCTTTCTTCTACTACCCAATTCTCTCCCATCCTACAGAGCCCTCTGCACACAAGCCCTAGAACTTCCCCCAGAGCCCCAGCTGAGCGGCTTCTATTCTCTTTCTCTCCTTCCCTTCTCTCAATTCCTTATCGTATAGGTCAATTTAGCATCTCTATCCCACCCAACCCCTTCTATCTCCCTTCTTGGGCCAAGTCTCTTTCTATAGATTATGACAGATTTAGGAGTCTGCTGGCATAAACTTCACTGTTCCCTAGTGAACAGTAAAGGAGGTGTGTGTTTGTGCAGTGGCAGAGTTGTACAGGTTTGGGGCTGGGGAACGGAGCACTAGCCTAAGAGAAAAGCCAATCCCCGTCTTATTAATATAAGTGAAAAAAAGAAAAAAATTAAGATAAAACAAAAGCTAAGTAGAATACAAACTGCAATGCATATTTATAGCTATAATGCATGTAGCACTTTGACACCTACTATTCTATTTGGTTCTTACAGCTTCCTTATGAAATTGCTCTAGAAAAGATGCTTAATCCACATTTACCAGGAAGATAGTCCAGGGAGCTAACAACTCGTTCTGACTTGGCTAAGAGAGACCTGGCTAAGAAACTTCCAAATTAGTAACCCTTTTAGAAGGAGAGAGGGTGAATGCATTCAGTCATATTTAGAGAAGAAAGTGAATGAAGAAATCCTGGGATTCAGGAAAACAATCAGAAAATGAAAGCAATATTATAGGCATGATTAAAACTCAAATGAATGAACATCCCAAGAAGAAGACTGTCCTGCCTCACACACCTCTCACACACCTCTGGCCTTACTGCTCAACACACTTTGCTTTGGCTGCTTGAAAGGCAGAACCACTTCCTGATCCTTCCAGCTGCACCTACCATTCAGGATATCTCAGGGAAGAAGGAGGCAGGACAGCTAGGAGAGGGTCTACATCCAACCCCTATTTTGTGCCCTGTCTTTCCAAAGCAGCTGTGGCATAGTCCAGCTCCTCCATGCCTCCATCCTTTCCTTCCCTGACCCACCACACACACACAGACGTGTGCACACGCACACACACACAAATTTGCTCGTAGGATCAAAGAGGCTTACATGCACATGTCTGTCACCAAGGATTGAGGCCAATTCATAATTCATGCCTATTAGCACTTTGTGTCAAAATTAGTACCTGGCAGCACCAAAAAGCTTGAAAAGTCTCTTTATTGCTTCTTGACCCACCTTCACCAGCTCTCTATGACACCCCCTCACCAGCTCTCTATGACCCCATCCATCTGCTGGTGATGAGCTTCCATCTATCTGCTTCTAAGCCAGATGAGTAGGGACTCCTTCCCTGGCACAGAGGCAGAGGGTAGCAATGAGCCAAAAACCTAGACTCCAGTGTGTGTACCTGCAGAGCCCTTTAGGTATACTGTATATGTACTGTAGAGGATACCGGGCTCTACGATGACATGAATGGGCTACTCCCTCTGCAGCTGAGAACAACAAAACCTAACCAGGTAGAAAACCACTGCATTTGCTACAGTTAATCATCTATCATCTCAGATTGTGGTCTGCACGCCAGATGACTAGTACAGAAATTTTTTTTATTTTATTATTTTTTATTTTTTTATTTTTTTATTTTTTACTTTTTATTTTTTTTATAGTACAGAAATTATATCATGGAGGAGCTGAGAAGAGACCAAGCACAGGTGGGCAACTGGCTTATCTGAGCCTTAAGTAAGAGCAGAATTTACTGCCAGGAGAGGTGGGAGTCTGGGCAGGATGATCTTTGTAATGACCCAGACAAGGGGTGATGAGAACGTAAACAAGCAAAACAATTGTAGAAAATCAAAGAACTGAGAATAGCCAGGTAAAGTTTAGTACAGAGCCCAAGGGGACAAGGATGTTGGTATTGGTTAAATCATTGTATTGTCTGAGGTGGCCAAGAGTCAAACGCAATCTAGAGGGCCTGTCTTCAGGGAGGGGGGACAAATAAAATGTGTGGAGGCATAGCATCTCAGCACGCAGGAGTTCAAAGCGATGAGCTAGATGCCTTCAGAGCAAATGTAGCTAAATCTAAATGGAAAAAAATTAGAAGCAAAATAAGGCCTATTACCAAATATTGCTTATGTCAACCAAAGCACATGAACATACACAATACTAGAAGAACACATATCCAGCACATCAGAGCAGGTGTCCAGGCAGGTGAGGGGAGTAGGAATGAGAATCAGGGACTGAACAGGGGAAAATAAATGGGAGAGGAGCCTTGTGGTGAATGATGTTGATAGTGCTAAGAACTGAAGTGTGTGATTAACTCAACTCTGCATGAGCCCAAAAGGGAGATAAATAATTGTATATATGCCTATATAAATTTATGCAAACACTGAAACATACAAGCAATAGTTTGGAGGGCATTATGAAGAATTGTACACAGGTGAAGAGCAAAAGAAAGAGAAATGGAAAAGGACACCAGGTGTTGGCAGCCGCGTGACTGGCACTGCTCTTGCCTCCAAAATGAGAGTGGCATCTTCTTTCCTTCCAACTTCAGTTCTATGAACACTTGTCTTGACCAGTAACCATATTCTAAGAAAATAACCTTTGTCATTAGACTGATGGGTGTATGAGTCACTTATTACTTTCTGTATAACACAGAAAATTTTTTAGCCAATTCCTTCTCTGCAAAAAGGACCGTAATATTTCACATAGTGCTTAAAGGACTTCCATGAGCTAACAGAAGTGGAAGATCTTCATACAGAATTTGGCTCAGTACATAAAATGTTTTTTTCTGATTGCCCTGGAACCAGGGACCTCAGGTTTTGGCCAATGTCCTCTGAGTGGCCAGTAATAGAAATGAGAGCAGAGCTTTGTGGAGGACAGTGACAGCCTCAGCTCAGTTCTGGAAGCTTCTGCTTTTCTGGAGGAGGACAGACAGAAATAACCTACTGGGCTTGAAGCAGACCCTCATCTCCTACTTGGCCCATGGGAGGGCAGCATCCTCGTCTGGCTGTGTGCCCGAGGTCCAACAAAAATCTGCTCAGAAAGGCTGGGCTCCTTTATACCCAACGTAGCTGCACATTTTCATCTTTTTTATGTGTTTGGGATGTTACACTAATTGTGATGGATGTTCTCTTTGTGCTCACGCTGAGGGGCGGATGATGAAGCCATAATGTAAGGTAATATGTCTATTAAAGATTTAAAATAACCCGCCTGCTAGAAGATTCCTCACTCCTCTGGCAGATTCAAGCTTCTTGGGAAGAATTTGACTCTATATTAGAGAGGGCGATAGGGTGGGAGGAAAGCAGGGGACCCAAAGGATATTCTGTAACTTCTGGGGGCTAACTGGTCTATCTTTTCCTCTCTTAATTAAGAAACATCTGCTAAGCACCTAATATATACCAAGCTTCAATCCTGGCTTTGGATACACATGGATGGTTAATGACTTTGGGATCTCTTAATTTAGGAGAACTATTATCTGGACTTCATGAACAAAATCACAGTACTTAAAAGTCACGAATTAATTATCTTCATCTCTGATGCCCAGATGGACATTACAACTCTGAGTTATGGGTGTGTCATTAGAAGTGATTCTTGGAGCAGCCTGATCCCCAAATTACAGAAGCAAGATGAAACTTGGACTCATAGAACCAGGTGATCTCCCAGCCACATCTATCTCTAGCAAAACAAGAACCTTAAATAAAAACCAGGCTGAACTGTGGTATCTTCTGCATCTATCTCCTCATCCTGTGGTCTCTATTTTACTGAAGAGGAAGAAATAGCAAGAGGTGTGCCTTCACCCCAGCTAGAACCTCAGGGCCATGTGGCCATGAAAGCCAACAGTTTCACTGCTGGAGAGACAGCATGCCAACAGACAAACTCACAGGAGAGCACGGTAGGTGAAGACCAACATTCCAAATATTAGTCCTAGCTCTACCACTTATCTCAACTTTTCTTTCGGGGCTCCAAAATCCTATGACTACACTTTGGGAGGCCGTGGCAGGTGGATCACAGGGTCAAGAGATGGAGATCGAGATCACCCTGGCCAACATGGTGAAACCTTGTCTCTACTAAAAAATATACAAAAATTAGCCGGGCGTGGTGGCATGCACCTGTAGTCCCAGCTACTCGGGAAGCTGAGGCAGGAGGATCGCTTGAACCTGGGAGGCGGAGGTTGCAATGAGCCGGGATTGCACTATTGCACTCCAGCCTGGCAACAGAGTGAGACTCCATCTGAAGAAGAAAAAAAAAATCCTATGACTAGCCACAAAAGTCTAGCTTCCTTCCACTGTGGCTCATCACCCATGACTCCCTTCATTGCAAACCAGCCCCTGCCTGCACTGTCTCCTCTTGCCCATCCCTACCTCTGCTCCTTCCCTCTTTCAGGCCTCTGCCTGCAATGCCTGCCTCTCTCCCATCTACCTCCAGAACCCTGTTTTAGCTTATAGATAGACATGATGAATGGAGGAAGATAAACAATATCCCACCCTATTACCTATTGAAACTAACATCGGTAACAACATTTTCATCATCAGTAACCAAAAATAAATAAGACATAATCTTATGTCTTAAATTTTGAGTAGTGGTTGCCAAGAAAATCAAGAGAATATTTGGGTTGGGCATCGCCCATCAGAAGTCCTAACTCCATGCTTCATCCTTCATGCACCCAACAGGTCACATGAGGCAAACAATGTTGTTAATAAAAATCTCAAGAATACAACCCCATTTGAAAAGACATAGAATTAAAGTGTGAGTATGTAGCCCTGGGCAAAGATAAAGACACATTCTCTGAAAGAGAATATCCATTTACTAATGCAGTAAAATCATCACTCCTAACATATTTTGAGTATCTACTAGGTCATGACAATAACCCAGCACATGCAATATTCTATTTAAGCCTCAAAAATCCCTGTGATATTATTAGCTGCAGGGTGTACATAAGAAAACAAGGGCAAGTTAATCCTAACTGACATTCCATTTTAGTAGAGGCAGAAAAACTACTTGGATTTACCTTTTTTTTTTTTTTTTTGATTATAGTCTAAATTAGGGAAATATTCCAAAGCACAGGGTATTTCCTGACATAAGTAAGATGTACCCTTGATCAGATTTGGTGGTCTCAAATGGTTTATTTTTTGAAAATCTCAGAAGACTAGGGCCCAGATTATCTAACAAACTTTCTCACAGATCCACCTCAACTTTTCAACTGGCTCTGAAGCACTGGGAAACCGAAAAGCGGTAAGAACATAATACCACTAGACTTTGGCTAAAGGGGAAACCAAAACTGTCTCAATAAGATAGGAAACATGTTTAGAAGCATTTGTCCCAATGTACCACAGCAGTCAGAGTTCCCCATCCTTACATGAGCAAGAGGATGAGGTGGGCATGTCATGGTGGTTGTGGAACCTATCACAGGAAAATCCCGAAGGAAAGCATGGGCTACAGGAGACAGAGAAACAACTCGGCAGAAAACATAACCCAAGGAACAGAAGAAAAGTTCTAGCAGGTGGTTCAGGCTATGGAATAACTTGATAATATTAATAACATGAATTATCTGTTTTATAAAGGGCTTTAAGACAGCATGCCAAGAGAACAGAATGAGAAGAAAAGAGACATTGCAGAACTAAGGGAACTGATTGAGGACCACAACAATATCATTACAGAACGAATAATTAGAGCAGCCAAGAACAGAATAGACGTGACTGAAATTTTAATTAAATCCTCAAAATGAAATTCCTCAGTGAATGCAAAGGGAAGGAAAGGGGAAGATAGGATGATTGCGGATAAAGTAACAGATATCAAGGGAAGACAGAAATGATACAACATATGGATAAAAAGTGTTCCTGAAATAGAGAACTCAAAAAATACAGACAAGAATTATTCAAAGATATTTTAAAGCTAAATTTCCTTAAATGAAAAAAGAACTGAATAAAAGGGGTAAATTATAAAAGCACATCCATTCACAGAAAACACTTATACAGAATGGCTAAACCCAAGAGATATCCTGGTTACATTCTTGAACTTCAAGGATTAAGAAAGGAATTATTTAGTTATACTTGCAGAAAAAGGAAGAAGAGAAACCAAAGGTGTCTTCAGTTCTCTCCAGAGCAACATCCAGTGTCAGAAAAGAAAGGGGCAATACTTCCAAGTTCTGAGGCGAAAAAATCATGACCCAGGAATATTATACACAGACAGAAATCCTAAACTATAAAATGCCATCACAGTTTGATTTGATGAGGTCCAGCACCCATCCCACCTCCTCAATGCAAACTTCCCTGACCACTCCAGCACTCATCAATCTTTTTCTACTCTTATTTCATGTGTGTCAGTCTCTTCTCTTAGGCTATGCTACGAGCTCTGAACTTTCTATTGTGGAGAATACACACACACACTAACAGTCTGGAAACAGTTTGTTTTGGTATAATGAAAATGCTCAAGAAACTGTAAAATCCTGTACAGATGAAAGAGACTGTTATCATTGGCTGTGATCCAAATCTTAGCTCTTACCATTCTTCTGTCTCTTCTCTCATCATCCTTCCTCTCATTATTCTTCCTTTCCAGAATGTAGATGTGGATAAATCTGTAAAGAAACAGGCCAGTTGGTTATTTTGTTTTGTTTTGTTTGCATATGAATGAACTGTGGCTCACAGAGGTTAAGTGCCTGGCTTAATAAGGTCATAGGCAAGTTAGTAGCCAAACTGAGATTAAGACTCAGCTCTCTCCATTTCTTACACAGGATGAATGATTCTGGAAAGCCTCCAGCATACCTTTCTGCTGAAGATAATAACTATCTGAGTCAATTTTGAAGGCTGAGGCCAATATATTGCACAAATACAGCTAAGCACTTCTGTGATCTGTATGATCTGATGTGGTTGTACTTGTTAAAATGTTGAAATGCCTCTAAACCAGTTGATAAACAGCCACTGTCCTCTGGGACCTTCCAAGTTCCCCAAGATCCAATAATCACAATGGTAGTGCCCAGCATAGGAGGGGACCTCAGGGCTCTTTTGGAGTGCCACAGCCTCTGGACATTTTGATGGGTGATTGCCCAGGCTATTTAATACCACGGTCACTAAATATTGTGAATGTGCCCCTGCAGACACACAGTGGATGTGGAGATAGATGTGGCTGTGGGCATATAAGGAGATAGGGTTGGAGAAACAGACAGAGTGAGACCTCAACCCCATTCTCTTGTCCCTAAACCTTTGTGGTCTTCTAGGGACATGGCCTTGAACACAGGGGCTCTTCTTAATCTGAGATCTATTCTCGTGGCTGGAGCCACTCTAAATGTGCTCAGGTAACAGGCACTTTCATATTTTCTCTGGGAACATAACAGAAAGTCCCCTGTCAGGGAATTCACATTGCAATAAATTTCAAAAAGGTAGAAAATATTAGGACTCATCCCATAAAGTTCTGTTATTGATCGATGAACACAAAAAGTACAGAGGATGGCTCCGGAATGTGTGAGCTGGTGTCCTCACACACACACAGTGCTGTCCACACTGTGTGTGCTTACAAAATTCCCAAGTGTACCATCTATTCTAACAGCTTCAATTAAAAAAAAAATCCTATTCCATTCCTTTCCAAGAAGTGGTAGAATAAAGGGTACAGGTGTGAATTTCCAGTAAACAGAGTTCTTATTGTTAAATGTTATCAAGTTTGTAAGTTTGTTTAAGCAATTACAGCCAGAAAAGTAAACAGTTTATAGTGTATTCTTTAGAAATGTTCATATCAGGGCTGATCAACAAGTGTTGACAGATCTCCAGATACTTCCACTTGGCAATCCCATTTGAATCCAGAACCATGTTGGAAGGAGCTGACTATGGTGGGGAAAGCCTAGAAGTTAGAGAAATAGGAGGCACCCTTTGGGAGTGTTCTAAATCATGGTCTTGGGCATCTCCCAATTTGTACAGCCAGATAGTGAGGCACTGAGGACATTTATAGGACTTGTTTTGGGGATCTGGGAAGAGAGGGACCCAAATGATTTATCCCCTCAGTAAACACAACCTCATCTCTTCATTCCAGATATTCACTAGACACTCATGTTTAATGGTTCACCTGACCATTCAATTTAATAAGTATTTTGGTGCCTATTTTGTGCAAGAGAATACATGGTGCTGTGACTTTGTGATGGATAACTGTGTTATAGTCCATGGTATTGCTGGATTTAAATCTATAAAACACTGTGGCTATGGTCAATATCTGATTGTTTCTGAATCTGTGGTTTATCTATGACTCAGAAGAAAGCAGTTATCTAATTAGAGAATAAAAACAAAAACAAAACAGAATGAGAAGAAAGAAAGAAGACATCAGAAGCTGAAGAACCAGAGAGTGAAATAAGGAGGCCAGAACTGGACAAAGAACTGTGGTCCAAAAAAGAAAGAAGAAAGAATTAAGATAGAGGTGGGATGAGGTAATGCATGGAGGCTGAGGAGCTCGGTCTGTCCTGATAAGAGTTTCAGACTAAAACCATAGAGGTCACCCTTTAGCAAGCCTGGGACTCATGAAGGCCTGATGTAAAGAGCTAGACTAGCAAGGTCAGCCATCTGTAGAGAAAGAGCTTCTTCACGTATGGTGAGCTTCAGTTCAGGAGAGCCTCAAATGTCCTCTGGAGCTTCACTCTCCATCTGTAAAATGAGGACCAATATCTTTCTCTGGTCCATTCAGTAGAGTCTTTAGAAGTAGCAAGACAATGGATGCCTGATCAATTGTTAAATACATGAGACTGGTCTGATTACCATCCTCAATTGCCTGAAACTGCAAGAGAGATTAGTTTTATTTAACAAGAGACCCCTTTTAAAATGCAAATATATTTCACTCAATTAAAGAAATCAAGTTTATTCTTAGTTTTTGTGATAGGTTTGCTTTATAAAGTATCTGCAAACACTGAGTTAGCAAATACTGAGCCATTGTTCCTAGGGGAAATACAAGGTAAGGTTCCTGCAAGCCTGTGATCATAGCCTTGTTGTCAACCCATCAACACATAACCTTGTTCTATGTGTATTTCTGTTTAAAGACACCTTTCTATATTTATATTTATATATAAATATATATATATAAACATTGAACTCATGCCAACAGCACTGTAACTAATGCATGAACAAAACTTATCTAACACATATTTTTTTCCATAAAGCACATTACAGCCTTCTTGCAGTTACAAACACTAGACAGCACTTTAGCAATCTACTTGGAGAGCAGTTGAAACAGCAAAATTACCAATGAAAACCGCAAAAACATGAAAAACATGACACCAAATAGACCATGAGAAGACCCTCTTTCATAGTATAAGAGCTGAAGCAAGATAGCAGAGCATCACCTTGAACCCTGAGCTGGGAACGTCTGTGCCAGCTGACTCAACTTTTTCACCACTGTGTCTGTCTCTGAATGTCCACAAAAGTAGAATATGTGAATTTGGGGCTTATAAATAAGTTCTATCAAGTAGGTGAATTTGCAAATACAGAATTCATGGATAATGATGATCAATTGTATTCACTGAGCACTTAATATTTTTAGACAATATCCAGGCATTAAGGTTATGACAATGACGACAGACTATATATGTGTGTGTGTGTATATAGATATTTATATATACACACACACACACGTATTTATATATTTATATATATAATGTATTCATATATTTATATACTTATATACATTATATATTTATATACTTATATATTTATATTTATATTTATTATACAACAATCAAGACAGACTATATATGTGTGTATATATATAATTCTCTAATAAATATAAATATATAAGTATATATATATATATATATATCCTTTAATAAACCACATATTTAGGGAACAGAAAAGACAATACATAAAATAAACACAAAAAAGTTGAAAAAAATTGCCCTGAAAAAATTCAGCATGGTAAGAGGAGTGCAATTTAAAACTGGATATTCAGAGTAGACCTTAAATACAGTGTGTGTTTTGAACAAAAATGTGAATGTGGAGAGGAAATGAGCCTTGCTGTTACCTAGGGGAAGAATGCTCCAGGCAGAGGAAGCAGCCAATACAAATGGCCTGAGCTATTGGAGGAATGGGCTACAGCAGACTGAGAGGAGAGTCACAGGAGGTAATGTCAGAGAGGTAATGAGTCAGATTGTTGCCCCGTGCAGGGTATAGTATTACTAAGTACTTAGGCTCCAGATAAAGTGACCTGGAGAGCCATGGCAGGGTTTTAAGCCTTGGACCATGAGAATGGCTCACTCTGGTTATCATATTTAAGAATAGACTATAAAAGGATAGGTATGAATTAGAACAAAGAAGCCACTAGGAATCTATTACAAAAATCCAGGCAAGATGAGAGTGGCAGCAGAAGAGTTGGTGAGAAGGGGCCAGATGCTGGATATATGTTAAAGGAAGAACTAACATGATTTCATGAAAGGTAGGATGCAGAATCAGGGATGGCACCTAGGTATTTTAGCCTATTTTGATGGACGGATGGAGTTGCCATGAGCTCTGATAGAGAAAAGCATGGCAAAGAGGGTGTGGGGAAACATCATTTGGACGTGTTAAGTTTGCTATTTCTATAAGACATCATTGACAGAGCAGGAGCATCGCCATCTTGGACAAGCCCCTCATCCTAAAGTTTGCCTTATTAAAAAACCACCTAAATCCAAAGGGCATCGGTCTAATGGCTAAGGTCATTATGACCATAAACGACAAATAACATCTCCAACCAGAAACATTCCAAACTCCTCCCTGACCAGAGACATGCTAGCCTCAAGACATCCCCCTCCAGCCTGAAAGATGTCGGCCCCAAAACAACCCCCCCTCCTCCCTGAGACATTCTAACCCCACCATAAAACTTCTCCCTCACACAGAAACATTCCAAGCTTGTAGTAAGCCCCTCACCCTGAAAGCAACATATACTCTTAGTCTCTAAGAGAAAGCACTCCTGACTAAAATCAGCCAGAAGCCCCTCTCAGGTTTTATCTAAAGAAAGCCTGTCTTTGACTGTTTAGCCATGTTTCATGTTTCTTTCCTCTTTAACTCTTACAATCACTATTGAATAAGCAGCTGGATGGAGTCAGGAATTAAGTGGCAATATCTGTACCGGAGACGTAAGTTATGAACACATTGGTGGGATTTAAAGCCATAGGATAGGATGACATCACCCAGGCAATAAATGTAACGGAAAAGAACAAGGTCCAAGAATTGAGCCCTGAGGCACTCCAATAATAGAAGACAAGATAGAAAAGGAGAAAACAGAAAAAAAAGATTAAAATATGACCAGAAAAGTAGGAGTAAAACCGAGTGTGTGGTGTTTAAGAAGCTATGGGATGAATGTGTTTTCAGGAGTAAGGAATGAACAATCGTGAAATGTTTACTGAGAGGTCAAATATGAGTTTTAAGAACTGATATGGATTTAGCAGCACTGAAGTCTTTGTGACCTTAAATGTGGGTGGTTTTAGTGGAGGGGTTGAAGGCAAAATCTTGTTTGACATGGGATTATGGGATTAAGAGAAAATAAGAGGACAGGAATTGGAGGTAGTGGGTGGAGTTAGTGGGTAGAGGCAGTTATTTTGACGAGTAATAATCTAAGGTGGAGCAGAAAAATGCGAGGTGCAGTGAGATCAAAAGACATATTTTTAAAGAATTTATTTTTTAGAGCAGTTTTGAGTTGCCTGCAAAATTGAACAGAAGGTAGAGAGATATCCCATATACCCCTTTCTCCCATTCATGCACAGCTTCCCACATGATCAATTCCCCCACCAGAGTGCTGCATTTGTTACAGTCAATGAACTTAAACTGACATGTCATTATCACCCAAAGTCAATAGTATTCATTAGGGATCACTCTTGGTGTACATTCCATGGGTTTGCACAAAAGTCTAATGGCATGTACCCACCATTATGGTATCATAAAGAGTAGTTTCATGCCCCTAAAAATCCTCTCTGCCGCAATGATTCATCTCACCTCCTTGAAACTGATCTTCTTACTGTTTCCATAGTTTTGCCTATTATAGAATGTCAAAGTTAGAATCATACAGCATATAACCTTCTCAGATTGGCTTTTCACTTAGTAATTTGCATTTAAGGATTCTTCATGTATTTTCACAGTTAAATAAGTAATTTCATTTTAGCATTGAATAATATTCCATTATTTGGATGTACCACAATTTATTCATTCACTGACTGAAGGACATGTTGGCAGGTTTAAGGGACTTTTTTAAGATGGGAGAAATAAGCATATTGGGCATGATGACGATAATGATTTACTAGAAATGGAAATATGGATGGTATAGGGGGTAGAGAGAGAAATGTTGGAGCAATAACCTTCAGTAGTTGGGGGTGGGTGAAATGTGTGGTGCTGTGGCCTTAGAGGGGTACATGTAGAGTTCACCTCCATTGACACTTGGGAAGCTTATGGGTGTAGATGCTAGTAGATGGGTAAATGTGGTGGTAGAAACATGTGGACGTTCTCCTCTGATTGCTTCCTACTTCACTGATAAAATTGAAGCAATGCTGTCAGCTGAGAATGATGGTGAAGGAACATATGGTGAAGGTTTTAAGATAGAGGCAAATAGATGGAATGTAGTATGAATGCCAGGGAACACTGTGACTCAACTGTTAAAGTGAATTACATATGGCCCAAGAAGGACTCTGTACTTCTATATTTGAGTCCTTGTGGATGAAATGCAACCTAACTTAATAGGTAGACAAGATTGAAAACCTAACTTGGGAGTATGCATCTGTAACAATAGCTGAGCCTTGGCCAATCCCAGCAGCCATACTTCAATCACCCCTACACTGCTGAGTATTCAAAACTGTTCAAATAAGGCAAATGCTGAGCTGTAACTAATCCAGTTTTTTCTATATCTCACTTCTGATTTCTATACGTCACTTCCCTTTTTTTGTCTATAAATCTTCTTCCACCATGTGGCTGCACTGGAGTCTCTCTGAATCTGCTGTGATTTGGGGCACTGCCAAATTCGCAAATTGTTCATTGCTTCAAGTCTTTTAAATTTAATTTTGGCTGAAGCTTTTCTTTTAACACAACTTAAAGTTGGTAGCCCAGGCCAGGCGCAGTGGCTCACGCCTGTAATCCCAGCACTTTGGGAGGCCGAGGCGGACGGATCACGAGGTCAGGAGATCGAGACCATCCTGGCTAACACAGTGAAACCCCGTCTCTGTTAAAAAATAGAAAAAATTAGCTGGGTGTGGTGGCGGGTGCCTGTAGTCCCAGCTACTAGGGAGGCTGAGGCAGGAGAATGGTGTGAACCTGGGAGGCAGAGCTTGCAGTGAGCTGAGATTGCACCACTGCACTCCAGCCTGGACGACAGAGCGAGACTCCGTCTCAAAAACAAACAAACAAACAAACAAAAAGTTGGTAGCCCATAAGATGATCAGCATGATTATGTATTTTTCTCTGTTTCAGGTTGGCTGCATGAGTGTAGGTGCAGAGATTGTGGAGAGTTTGCTTAGGATCTTAGTTCTCTTGAGAGAGTATTAAAATGGGACAAAGAAGTTCAGGGACAAATACAAGAGATGGGTATAATGAGTAGAATAATGTATTTTAAGCTGAATATCAAGGGTTTATTGAAGTCAGAGCACTAGAAGAAATGAGCTAGAAAAATAAAAGGTGAGGTCAGAAGGTGGGCTCTGTTAGTAAGGATAGGGCAGAATCCAGCCGTGAGATCAAGTGGTGGAGTAGAACAGAAAGAATGCATTCATTAGAGAAAAAAGAAATTCAAGGAACTAGAAGGTCAAGAGTTAAAGGGATTATGTACGTATATATGGAAATCACCCAGCATTAAGATAGAACGAGAGTCAGAGGAACAGTAAACCAGCAGCTAAAATCATTGAAAACTAAGAGGCATAACTCTGGGATTAGAAGTTAACTGTAGTTAGAAGAGGAGTGGGCGGCATACTCTGAAGACAAACGATTCAGATCCGCATGTTTAAAGGGAAGAGAGGAGAGGACAGATTAGAAGCAACAATGAAGAGAAGGGAGGATCTCTAGCTTTCCTCCACAACATCCCGTTGTATAAGGGATAAAGGCAAATAAATAGCCCTCACTCCAGAAAGATCCAGAAAAACCCTGTTCTTGGGGGAAAGCAAGACTTTAGTTAGGGCAAGAAAATGAAGGGAGAATTCAGACAATAGGTTTAGAATACAGGGGGTGTTTTTGCTGATGGACCATTTGTTCTAGCAGACACAGTGTTCAAGAGTTGGGGAGGGCAAGGTGGGAGATGGGGACAGAAAAGACAGACTACAGAAGGCAGAAGTGGCATAAGGCAGAAGTTGCATAGGTCTGGAGCTTCTCACGGTGACTCTCATACACAGGGACATGAGATCAGCCTGGGTGGACTCAAGAGCATCAAAGGTGGCCCAACCTGTTTGATGGGGTGGTTAGGAGTGATATCTAAGGCTCCCTTTCAATCCTTGTAGATGGAGGGTAGAACGTTTAGAGAGGCAGAAGTTAACCATCAATATTTTATTAACATTAATATGGTTAGAAAACAAGTGAAGAGGCAGGGCTGAAAGGAGAGTGGTTTGGATAAGAAGGGTGAGGAGGGCAGGAAGGGTATGGAGCATGGTTCATACAGAGGCAGGCAGGACTATGTAAGCCATGGCAGTGGGGCTGGGAGAAGCTGGGGTCAGCTGGGGTTCCTGGGGAGCAGAGAAGGGATCCCAAAAAGTATGAAAGGAACACAGATGTGAATGACAGGCACAGATTATCAGAGCTGAAAGGGACCTTCCAGACCAATCACGTTCAAATGTTATTGCTCCTATGCCCCAAAAAGATTTTTATTCATGTTCTACACCTCTCTATTTCTTACATTTTAGTAGGCATTAGCTCTCAGAAGATGTATCCCTTTGAAAGAGATGGGATTGGAAGGAGTTTTGTTATAGCAATGTCAGTTTCTAAAATTCCTTCTATAAGCTGAAAAGCACTTGAACTATTAAAAATTATTTTTAGTGATCTATCACAGGACAGTTTGATTAGGCTCCTATTCGCTTCTGCTGACAGCAAAGAATTGGAAACCATGTGAATTGAAGAGGGGTGTGCGAGTGTGTGTGTGTGTGTGTGTGTGTGTGTACTAGTTCATTTTTGCACTGCTATAAAGAAGTATCTGAGACTGGGTAATTTATAAAGAAAAGAGGTTGAATTTGCTTGCAATTCTTCAGGCTATACAGGAAGCATGGAAGCATAGCAGCTGCTTCTTCTGGGAAGGCCTCAGGAAGCTTTCAATCACGACAGAAGGCAAAGGTGGAGCCAACACTTCACATGTCCAGAGCAGGAGGAAGACAGAGAGCCGGGAGGTGCCATTTTAAACAACCAGATCTCAGAAGAACTTACTGTCACCACAAAATCACCAAGGGGGATGGTGTTAAACCATGAGAAAACCACCTACACGGCCCAATCACCTCCAACCAGCACTGGGGATGACAATTTAACAGGAGATTTGGGCAGGGACACAGACCCAAACCATATCAGTGTATGTACATTTTCGTTTATTTACTTAAAAAAAAACCTATTAGAATCATTCACTGTCACTGTACCTGGGAGAAATACCAAAACAACTTTACTAAAACTTACTAAGATACTATTATTGTGCCCATTAATTGTTTTCCAGGGAGATGCACATTTTTTAGCACAAAATGCCCAGATAGAATTGGTAAAACTGAAAATATTAATTTTAATACGTCTTTAACAATGTAATGTTTTACCAAAAACTTCTCTTATCTCATCCTATTCTTTAAATATAAACTTAGCTCACTTGCAAATGGGGCCATGTCTGCCATATAACCTAGTTAGTAACATCAGTCACGACTATCAAATTATCAGCCCAATCAGAGTCACTTTATGTCATAAAATGTCTGACTTCATTTTTGAATTTAAGTAAATGGACTAATAGACGTTTCAGAAATATTGTTAAAAATTACTCAACCATATATCGTGGAACTTGTGTTTTTTAAGGTAGCATACTAAAAGCAGTCAAATCAAGATTATGCTGATACAAAGCGAATATAGTCTATTCATATAATTTATAAAAACAACAAACACTTATGCTGCTTCTCACTACTTAATTTGAAGTAATGCAGTGTAATCTGCAGCAAATATGTGTTATTTATGGACCAAGAAGTATAAAACTCTCGTTAGTCCTTTGGTAAATATGGGTGCATGTATGAATTGAATCTGTCTCTCAGCTTTTGAAAATCATTAAATCACAATTATGAATAAAATTTCAGAAATAATGCCATTAATTTTGTGTGACATTATGACCAAGATTTTCTCATCTATTTAGTTAAAGAGAAAGGTACACACTGGTAAAAAGAAATTGTTGTTACAGCTAGAGTATCATTTTATTCTTCATTAATCAGATCTGGAAAATACTAAGCATTTTGTAAGAAGAAATAAGCTGAGGACTGACATAAATAGTTCATGATACCATTTTATAAAATAGGTGTTAACTTATTGAATAACGAACACTGAATTTAAAAGAAATCAGCTAAAGCTTTGTTCACATACATTTTAACATTTACTTGTCCTCAGAAACATTCCCATTACATTGAATAGAATCTGTGTCCCTAACCTGTACACTTTCAGCTGTTTCAAGGTGCTTTTCTTTCCGGATAATGCTGCTTCCCAGGAATGAGTATTGAGAATAGCTGAACATAATTGCTTGTGATTAAATTTGTGTAACAAGGTCATTTTTAGCATCCATTATTTCTTCTCAACTCTTAGCTTTTCACCTACCATATTATCCCACAACAGCTGAGCATCTCTGACAATAGTCAGGCCTTGGAAGAGGCGGGGTTGTGAAACACAATGGTCATAGACTGCCATTGTCTGTGCCATCCCCAAAAGGGCCAACACACTCCATGTCTAACACATTTCTTAAAGAAAAACGAGTGAAATCAGTAAGGAGAGGCACCCTCTGTGAGTTTCTGGTGCTTTGATGAATATAGGAGGTTTGGCTTTCTGGAGGCATTTACACCCTAGAACAGTGTGCCAGAGGAAAATTCGGGAATGCCGAGTGGCCTTGGTTTTGTAAAATGGGAAAAGAGCTATTATGAAATGCGTGTGAGGAGGGACAGCAGGGAGAACCTGCGAGAGACCAGCAGACAATGGGTGGAAGTTGAGGAACTGAAAATCAATTTAGTAAGTACATCAGTACAGTCACTCCCGGAACAAGCCCTCAGAGTTCCTGATGCCACTGCTGCACTCCCACTCTTCAGGACACAGGCTAAAAAGAGGTTCATGTTAAAGACTGGGATCAGAGGAGAGGGAGGCCATAGTCCTAGGGATTCTATGTCTTCAGAGTGTGGATACAAAGGCTAAAGCTCAGTAGCTACCCTGTTGGTCTTCAGAGTGTAGGAGGAGAAGAGAGAGGAGGAGAGAGGAGAGAGGACGGGAGGGGAGGGGAGGGGAGAAGAGAGACAAATAAGGGAGAGGAACAGAGAAAGTTCATGGAGGAGAAAAAGGAAAAGGATAAAATTAAAAGTTCAAAATTAGCATCCCAATTCATTTTTCTTCCTCCTAGAGCACTGAGTAGTATATGCCAGAATCAATAACAAGTGCACAGGAAATGAAGACAGGAGTTCATTACGCTCTAGAACTACACAGGGAAAGTGAACTCTTTTGAGACTCCTTCACGTGGCTCCCCGGGCTTTGCTGCTTCAGCGGAGATGCTAACTCCTGTGACACAGGGTGCAGGCATTCCCTTCCTCCAGCAACGCAGAGTATGTGTGTGATTTTACTTTGTTTCTCGTGGACCAAGCAAACACAGAATGTGCACTCTTTTGAATGATAATGTTTAATAATGATGTGTACTTGTTAGTAAACCACCGCCACATCAACAGTCATTGCCTGGCCCATAGGGACACCACCTCAGGTTTCCTTATCGCTGTGATGGGGACTGGGACCTTCTTTGGGAAGGCCTAATGGAGATGCCAGGTGGGCTGTAGAGAGCCATGGGCATCACCCCCAAGGCCATGAAGCCCACAGATGGGGCATTTGGTCTCTCTCTATGCCAGGGATGTAAACTCCTTTTCCAAATAAGCCCAGACCACACCGACTAGCATGGATCTTTCATTTTCTTTTGAAGCAAGAATGGAAATAAAATGTTATACTGGACTGTAAGGTAGGATTCTGGGAGTAGCGTTTCAGAGGATAAGGGAGAGGCTGCAAAAGCACATTGTAATCTCAACCAAGGAGGAGCTCCAAGAAACTCTAGCTGTTCACACTAAAGGATGGGAGAGAACACAATTTTTCCATCGCTGTCATAATCAAACCATGACAGGTAAGCCATGGAGTCCATCAACCCAGAAGACTGTATTGTGCAGCCACTACACAACCAGCTCTTGGGTTCCGTGAGAACCAGGATACTTGGCCACTGCCCACATGACACTTAAAACCTCATCCTTGGCTCAGTGTGGTCTCCAATAAGTCAAGTGGCCACCATGCCATGGACACATTCTGATTTTATTCCATTTTATTCTGATTTGCATGTGTGAGCTAATGTGCCTATTTACACCTGTGTGTAGGACTAATTGGAATGTACACGTGTTAGCATGCATCCATGTGTGTAAGATGGCATGTTGGCACATACACATATGCATATAGTTGTATGTCTATGTCTTTACATATATATATATATCTTTGTGTGACTGAGTGTAACTTTATGTGTTCTTGTGCCAGTGGATGTGAATGAGGTTTATGTATATAGACGCATGCACATGTGCACATGCATAAATATCTTCCTGTATACCTCTTCCTTTGTATGCAGTGAAGTCCTTCAGCCCACCTGATAAACAGACCTCACATGATATTTACTTATCTTGATCGGCTTATCAAGGTCCCTATTAGAGAGATAATTACATCTATGCCTGAGAACAAAGCGGCTCCAGTGCCATTACTGGGTAATCCCTCCCCTGCTACCAACACTTAGCTGGTCTCCTCGCTGAATCACAACACTTAACAAATCCATCCATCCTTCACTGGGCAATATAGCCCAGGGAAACTGGAGGTCTCTGGTTCTCATACTCACTGTGCAGCCATCTCTCCCAAATCATTTAATTAGCCTCAGCAGAGAAATGGAGGTTTCTCCTTTCTTCTACTCTTCACTTTTCTCTCCATGACTCTCAGGTTAGACCTTCTTTCCTTTGTAAGCTGCCTCTGACAGACCAAGCATACGTAGGCCAGTGTGAGTTCTACACACGAGTGGCCTGACTGAACTGTGAACCAGGCATCCATGCACCAGCGTAAGGCCCAACCTTAGAAATGGCCATCCACCTCAGGGAGAGGGGCAACCAATTTTAAGAAAAGAAAAGAAATTGCTTTCATAATCTAAAGCAAACTGGGCAAGTGAAAACAGGTGTGTCCTGGTAGATGCTGAAATTCACCTGCAAGACTTTGTCAAAGCCAGTGTCTGAGCAAGGCCACCTTGTGATCATTGTCATCACTATTTTTGTATTGCCCTTGCAGAAAAAAAGTTAAATCCCCCAGCCTTCTGAGTGGGAAGAGGAGGCTAAACAAGGGCTCAAAGCCAAATAAGGTAAAAAGTGTATAAAAGGGAATCCTGAGGTTGGGCAGGAGTCTTGGGTTTGTGGGGAAGGGGAGAAGAGGCTGGAGGTGGTGGACAGAGCAACAGCATTTTGGGCTTTGTGTTAGAATCACAGCAAAACTGGGCTTTTTGATCAAACACTAAGAACAGAATCTAGTATTTCTCAACACATATGGTCATATAGTGGGTTTTGTTTGCAAACACTGCTGGAGATGCCCCTATCCTGACAGTTCTTCCCCAGGTGGTGCATCATGTCAGGCCTGCTGGTGCAAGGTCAGTTGGCCTGTTACTCAGTGTTCTGGGCCTACCTGGAGGGAGATGGAGAGCCTGTGGCTGGCTTCCGCTGGCATGTCCCCTTGCACCTGAGGTTCTGAGGCTTAAATGTTCCCAGCCATCGCCTAGAGTGCTTGTTAAAATGCAAATTTCCAATACTCAATAGAGTAGTAGAGAATTGGGTTTGAGCCTTAAATAAACAGCAAGGGCACAGCCTAGAGGCAATGAAGGAATAGAACTAGAAGATTCTGCTCAGAATTTGAATCCTATAGCAGGAGATGCTGTAGACCCAGAGGATGCTCCTCAGTGTCTTCATGACAGGTGATTATCAGCCTTGGTTCTGGTAACCATTCACCACGTGATGTAGGGTTAGTCATCTCCCCACTCCAAGCCTCTGTTTTACTCAACTGTAGGATGAGGATTTCTTTTCTGACATTTTGGGATTCTGTTGTCATGAAACCATTGCCCCTCTTGTATTTATTTTCTCTTTGTTCAAATGTCTCCTTGAGGCTTCCGTCTGGATTCCTGGGACTGGTAGAGAATTAGAAAAACCAAATTTTGTGATTCTTGTCCATCACTAAAAAGTTCTTCTTTCTCCACTGTGTGGTGTCAAGTAAAACAGTTGTGTGCAGCTTTGTGGATGGCCTTGAACTGTCAGCCAGGGACAGCTCCCAAGGGGGTGAAAGGCTATTGCATAGGATGAAGGCAAAGAAAGAAAAACCTAACCTCAGTTGTGACTTTTTTTTGTGCTCTAAGCATCAGCAACCCCAGCTCCAGGTGCAAAAGCCATTTACACTTGCAAAAACCAGGAAGATACCAAGAGGCCCAATTCAATCATCCTGTTACTTGAATTGCCACTGTTGGAGATATAGTACTTTGTATTATGGTCTCATTTTTTCTTATTTTAGTGCAAAATGACCAGCTTAATATGGGGAGGTCATTTTTAACCATGGATACCTTCAAGTAGGTTACATTATATTTCATATGCATTCATTTGTAACCTCTTGACATAAGTCTACACATCAAAGAGACACACAGAGAAAGAAATGACTTTTTAAAAATAAGTATAGGCCAGGCATGGTGGCTCATGCCTGTAATGTGAGCACTCTGGGAGGCCGAAACGGGTGGATCAGTTGAGGTCAGGAGTTCGAGACCAGCCTGACCTACGTGGTGAAACCCCATCTCTACTAATAATACAAAAATTAGCCGAGGCATGGTAGCATGCGCCTGTAATCCCAGCTACTCAGGAGGCTGAGGCAGGACAATCACTTGAAACCAGGAGGTGGAGGTTGCAGTGAGCTCAGATCGCACCACTGCACTCCAGCCTGGGTGACGGAGTGAGACTCTGTCTCAAAAAAAAAAAAGTATAGAGGATTGGAAAGAAGCAGATGTGCTGCTGTGTACAGTGAAGATAGTATAGTCACGTGCAGTTGCTAGAAATGGACCCTTCATTTGACTCTAAGCTTCCTTGAAAGAAAATAATAGAAATAAGGTTACTCACAACATGATTAGTTTAAGATGTTAGTAGCCATACCGTCCAAGAACTAGAGGGCTCTTGATTTATTTTTACTTTTTGAGAAAGAGTCTCACGACCAGGAGTGGTGGTTCATGCCTGTAATCCCAGCACTTTGGGAGGCCGAGGCAGGTGGATCACTTGAGGTCAGGAGTTTGAGTCAAGCCTGGCCAATCTGGTGAAAATCCATCTCTGCTAAAAATACAAAAACTAGCCAGGTGTGGTTGTATATGCCTGTAATCCCAGCTACTGGGGAGGCTGAGGCAGGAGAATTGTTTGAACCTCGGAGGCAGAGGTTGCAGTGAGCCAAGATTGCACCATGGTACTCCAGCCTGGGCGACAGAGCAAGACTATGTCTAAAAAAAAAAAGAGATAAAGCATCTCACTCAGGATGGAGTGCAGTGGCATAATCATGGCTCACTGAAGCCTCAACCTCCTAGGCTCAAGCAATCCTCCCACCTCAGCCTCCCAAGGAGCTGGCACCACAGGTGTGAGCCACCACACCGACTAAGTTTTGATATTTTGTAGAGATGGGGTTTCACTATGTTATGCAGGGTGGTCTTGAATTCCTGGGCTCAAGTGACCCTCCCAACTGAGCTTCCCAAAGTGCTGGGATTTCAAGTGTGAGCCACCGCCCTGGTCCAGAGGACCCCTTAAACAAAAGCTTGTTAAGCACCTATTATAGGCCACCTGCACCCAAGTGAGGGTCTGTGAGGTATCCAGAAGATGGAAGTCCCTCCTCTCAAGGTATCAATAGGCTTAGTCATGGAGAAAACACGCATGGATGAGGATAAGCTCGCTACAAAAGGTGTCACATAGTTGTATGCTAGAGATACAAAGTTTTCAGGAAAAGGAGACTTGACAGTGCCTGGATGGCCTGAGGAGATCCATGAGGAAGGCTGGACATCTTCCAGGTCCTATAGAATCACATTGGCTGATGAGGCTGGGAGGAGGGTTGGAAAAATTCAAGGGAGGTTCCAGCAGACCTGATAACACCAATAAGGCTGGAAAGAAATAATTTTCAATATGGCCATCCCCTGGCGAGAGCTTTTCATGTCTTATCTAAACCACGTGTCGAGGAAACATTTCCTGGACTGGTCTCCATTCTACAGGGAGGAGAGCCCCTTTGAGTAGGAGGGCAGGGGAGTCTGACCCACATGTAATCTCATGAGCCAGTGTTGATGAAGCACCTACAATGTGCCAGGCATTGTGCTATGGCGACTAGGATGGGGAGCAGAAGAGGTGTTTGCCATGTATGTCCACTTCCTTACCCTCTGTGGGGAACTCCAAGTCACTTAGAGGACAAGGAGGGTCAGTTTCTCCTTGTGGTAAAGACAAATAGTGTGTTTCCAGAGAATCCAGGTTACATTCTATAGTGCCTATCTTGAGAAGCCACTGGGAGAATACATCAGTTTATTTAAAAAAAAAAAAAAAGTGAACATGTACAAATATAGGGTGAGTCAAAATGACTTCTACAATTACAGGATTTATAAATTCCAAGAAAATTAGAAGAGAAAATTACTCCACTTCTCTTACCTACAGTTGGAAGCCAAATACATGCTGTGCTGTTCTTCAGTGGTCTAACTGCAGAGACTTTCTCCCACTCTGTATTTGAGCTAACACACATGCCCGCATTCATTTCTCCATTTTTTATTTAAGTACCCTTGTGGGGTTTTTTCATGTATCCGTCTTTCTTTCGATTATAGAGTCCTCAAGAGTGACAGAGAGTATGTTTTAGTTCTAATACCTCCCACAGCTGCAAATCTTAGGAGGCAAAGTGATTTAGACAGAGAATCACTAGGCTCCAGTCCTGACTCTCTTATCAACTGACTGCATGACATTGCACAACTTATGTCACCTCTCTGGGCTCCCATATTCTCATCTACACAAGACTGTTGACTAGACCAATCCTAGTAATAGTAATAACTTCCATTTCTTGAGCTCTTACAATGTGCCAACCACTTTATGTAGGTTCTTCCTGATTGTCACAAGCACCTTGAGAAGAACTACGTTCATTTTGCAAAGGAAGATTCTGAGTATCAGAAAGCTAAGCATCTTGCCAAGGCCACACAAATATTAAGTGGCTAAGGCAGGACTGCCTGACTCCAAACTCCAGGCTCTTTCCTCTACCCCCACACAGCCTAACACCTTCCTTCTGGCTCCTCATTGCCATGGTCTCATACTTCCCAACCTCAGGTTCCCTGAGAGCCCAGCTCACTCCACAGACAGAGAAGAAAAGGCAATGAGTCAGAGCAAGAAGTTCAGATGTCAAAGGGCCAATGTCAACGCTCCCTGGCTGAAACCAGCTCTCTGGGACCTCAGAAGGAATCTAGCTTTTCCCAGATGGAGAGTGAAATATGTCCATCTTCCTGCCTATCTCCATTACACACCCAGGCAGGGAGTTTCATGAGAAGCCCTGTTTATAGGTCATACTCTCATTCTTGATCCTCTAGGTGAGCTGGCCCAAAATAGCCAACCCAAAGTGTGTGTGCACATGTAGGGAAAGATGATGGACACCAAAAGTTATTGCTTCCCATGGATTTAAATTTTAATCAGCATCTGGAGATGTTACAAACACACAAACACACAAATACATAATGACTTTGCAGGCACATACACATACATCCCCACAAAGGACTGTAATAAGAGTTGTAGTGTGAAAGTATTTTTGACTCCTTGATTTATTTTTCCTATTATGGTGACCATCTTTTCTGAAACAAAAATCAAACAAATGGTCCAACACACAATAATCATTTAGTGTTATGACACACAAGCCTAATTGTTTGCAATTAAAATGTCTCAGAAAATAGGGGCATGTGGAGTTATCCTAATGAGAGAGAGTTTATTTCTCTGTAACCTTACTCTGCCCATCTGCAAAGTTCAGAACCCAAGGTAGGGGGTATGCCAAGGGCAGGATTGTCTCTATTCCTAGTCCATCTATGGACCAAGGCTATTGGCACTTTTAAGATGTTTGCTCTGGGAATGGGGATCTAGCCTGAGCAGTTATTTTTAGCCTTTTCTTTTGACAAAATAATCAATTTGGCTCCCACAGATTGCTTTTTTTCACTCTGGCCAAGAAGAAAAGTAGTCCTTGGAGCGAAATGGGTTTTCAGTAGGTTCCCTTGTTTCTCTAGGGCAATGTGCCTCTGCTGTTAGGGTGACCCAAGACACAAACAAGGAGAAGAAAGCAGCAAAGTCACTGCTGCTGCTATGAATCAGGTAGTAGGAACCCAAACATAAGTGGCTGTAATTGCTGGAGACAGAGCATGGAGCATGCAAGCTGGAGGATGAATAATTTAGAAAGCCACGCTTAGGGGCCCAAAGAGAAGGCCTGTAGCCCACATCAAGCATTATGTTTGGCAAGGTGACTGTGTATTAACTGCCTGAAAATTCCAGCTTCACTTTTCAACAGAGAGGAGAACAGCTCTTATGGCATTTAGAAATGGATTTATATGTGGACAATGGACACATCAACAAGCTGTTGAACATTTCAGTGGGCCCAACTATGCTTGATAGTGTAGAAAGGAAAATAAAATGTCAGTTCAGAGAGACCTGGTTCCTCCTGTCAAGGATAAACTTGCTAGAACAAAAAGAATGTGCTCTTTTAAGTGAGATAAAATAGAGTTTGAATCTCGGTTTGGTCATTTACTAATTATGTACACTTGGGCAACACACTTGACCTCCATAAATGTTGGTTTCCCCATGTGTTAAGTAGTTAAGTAATACCTCCTTCATAGAGCTTTTGAGAAATCTAAATGAACAACAGATGCAAACGGCCTACCTGCAACAGAGCTGTTAGAATAGGCTCGATAAATGGGAGTCACAGAAAAGAGCCTTAGAGGATCTTGCCATTAATAAACAGCTGGCCCTGAAGTTAACAACCTACTCAATGGCCAAAGACTGAAAGCTTTTCCTCTAAGATCAGGGACAAGACAATGTCCTCTTTTGCTACCTCTGTTCAACATAGTGCTGGAAATCCTAGCCAGAGTAATTAGGCAAAAAATAAATAAGTAATAAAAATCAAATCAAAGACATCTGAATTGGAAAGAAAATACAAAATCTTTTTTTCCACAGGTGTCATAATCTTCTATGCAGAAAACCCTAAATATTTCACACACAAAAAAACTACTAGAACTAATAAATTCAGCAAACTGTGGGATAAAAAAATCAATATACAAAAATCAATTGCATTTCTACACAACTAATAGTGTGCAATCCAAAAAGGATATTAAGAAAACAATTTAATTTACAATAACATGAAAAAGAATACATAGGAATAAACTTTACCAGGAAATGAAAGACCTGAACTCTGAAAACTACAAAACATTACTCAAAAAAAGTTAAAAGAGACACCAATAAGTGGAAAGACAGCCCATGTTCATGGACTGCAGTAATTAATGTGAAGATGTCAGTACTACTCAATGTGATCTACAGATTCAATGCATTCTCTATATAATTCCCAACAATGCTTCTACAGAAACAGAAAACTTTCTTCTAAAATTCATATAGAATTTCAAAATACCTCAAAGTTCAAAAAAGTCTTGAAAACAAAGTTGGAAGTATTATACTTCTTGATTTCAAAATTTGCCCCAAAGCTACAGCAATCAAAACAGTGTGGTTCTGACATAAACATTTGTATGTAGCTTTTAAGTGAGATAAAACGGAGTTTGAATGTCAGTTTGTTTGGTGATTTACTAATTATGTACACTTGGGCAACATACTTGACCTCCATAAATGTTGGTTTCCCCCTTTGTTCCCCATTTGTAATAGAATAGAATAGAAAGCCCAGAAATAAACCCTTGCATATACGGCCAAATGATTTTTGACAAGGGTGCCAAGACCGCTGAATGGGGAAGGAGCAGTTTTTTTTTTTTTCCAACAAAAGGTGTTTGGAAAAGTGGATATCCACATGCAAAAGAATGAGGTTGAACCATTCTCAAACACCGTAAACAAAAACTAACTCGCAATGGACAAAGCAGCTAAACTTACAAAATCTCTTAGAATAAAACACAGAGGAAGAGCTTCATGACATTGGATTTGGCAAAAATGTCTTGAACATGACGTCAAAAGCACAGAAAACAAGAGAAAAAATAAATTGGGCTACACGATAATTAAAACCTCTATGCATCGAAGCATACCACCAACAGAGTTAAAAGCTAACCCATGGAACGATAGAAAATATTTGCAAATCATGTATCTAATAAGAGGTTAACACTCATAATATATAAATAACTTCTACAACTCAACAACAGCAACAAAAAACAAATAACTTCATTTAAAAATGGTCAAAGGACTTGAATAGACATTTCTTCAAAGACATGTACAAACAGAAGCACACAAGAAGATGCTCGATGTCACTATCATTTCAGAAATGCATCAAAACCACAATGAGATACCACCTCACACCCATTAGGATGGCTACTATTAAAAACCAACAAATAAGTAAACAAAAAAATAAATTGTGATAAAAATAGGGAGAAGTTGGAACCCTTGTGCACTGTTGGTGGAAAAGTAAAATGGTACAAACATTATAGAAAGCAGTATGGCAGTTCCTCAAAAGATTAGAAGTAGAATTGCCATATGATCCATAAACCCCGCTACTGGGTATATACCCCCCAAAATAAAAATAGGATCTTCAAGAGATATTTCCACACCCATGTTTACAGCAATACTAATCACAATAGCCAATAAGTAGAACTAACTCAAATGTCCATGAATGGATGAATGAATAAACAAAAGGTGATATATATAACAGACTATTATTCAGCCTTAAAAAAGAAAGACATCCTCTCACAGGCTACAATGTGGATATAACTTGAGGACATTATGCTAAGTGAAATAAGCAAGTCACAAAAAGACAAATACTGTATCATTCCACTTATACAAATACTGTATCATTCCACTTATATGAGGTATCTCATACAGAGCAGCCAAATTCATAGAGGCAGAAAATAGAATGGTAGTTGCCAGGGGCTGGCAGGAGGAGGAAATGGGTAATTTTTGTTTAATGGGTACAAAGTTTCAGTTTTGCAAGATGAAAACAGCTCTGGAGAATCAGAGTGATGGTTGCAAAACAATGTGGATGAAGTGGCATTAAGCCACTGAACTGTACACTTAAAAATGGGTGAGAGTAAGTGTTGTGGTGGGTGTCTATTTCACCACAATTAAATTAAAAAGGAAAACTAGCAGTCAATAAAAACAAAAGCAGTGCAGACAGCAAACACTATGGGAGGTTCCAGCAGGGAGAGAGATTTAGGAAATGAAGCATTCAGAAAGGGTGTCATGGTGGATTTGTGAATGATTTGAGTAAGAGGGTGAGGAGGTGAGGGGACATTGCAGACAGAGAGTATGACCAAGAAGATAGGGAAGCACTAATGTGGCACATCTGAAAAATACAGAAGGGATCAGCCCAAATATATGCAGCAGAGGTGTCAAGTTGAGAAAGGGACACAATAACCTTAGAGTGAAAATAGGGAGTCAGAATGCAAATAGCCTGGGATACCTGGTGGCAGAGTTGTTGAGCCAGACTCTGCTCCTCCTTGAAGGATGAGAGACCCAAGGGAAGATGTGATCATGTGTATTTAGGACCTCTCACAATGCCAGGAAGAGAGGAGAAAGGCAGGAGTGAGGAAACAGTGGAAAACCTAGTATATTTGACCTATCTGAGACCTGAAGCAGATTATGTTTTAACATCCTTCTCCTTCTCCTTTATACAACAAAGTTATTTTGGCAATTATAATGAAATAAAATAAATATACCTTACGTATTAACAAAAATTTGGACTTACCAAAAAAGAATTATTGAATCCCCCAGTTCTCCTTCTGTTTTACTATTTTAAATTATAACCACAAAATATTCCAAAGGATAATATAGAAAGACAGAACTGACATGGCTCAAGTTACGTTTATCTTTACAATCACTGTGCTATTATTATTTCTTATCCACTGTTCAAACACAAAATTATGCTCTCCCACTGACTGTGTTCCAGAGCACGTTTGATAGTTTGTAACTGTTAAATATTCACTCTGGAAATAAACAGGTGTACTCAGTCCTCATGTGTCAGAGGCCGACTGTGTACTAGGAGTTCCACAAATTAAGTTCTATATAGATTAAAATGTTTGTTAAAAGATATGTTATAAAAATGTGCTAATTTGAAGCTCACATATATGATTAAAACTCAACAGTAACTGCAATAATTATTTAGAATATAGATCAACAAAAGAATTATTGAAAGGAAGGGTGTTTTATCCCTGACATTGGTTAGAACTGCCAATGCACAGTCATGACAAAAAGTTAACCAACTTTTAGTGAATATTATTGTTTTTAAATTCTCTGCAGACGACACACATCATTATTGCCTCTACCCAGTTGAAGAACACTATCATTGCCTCCCACTTCCTTGGTATGCCTCTCAAGGGAAATCGAGTAGATGACACAGAAGAGGAGTGAATTTATATCAGTATCCTACTTCCATCAGTCATAGCAGTTAGTTACACCATGTACCCTTCAGCTATGACAATGCACCACTGGCCATAGGAGTTATTTCCATTTGGAGTTTCTTCCATTTGGGGTTCTATGCATTCATTCAGCCTAGTGTATACTTTTCTGGCTAACTCCTTGGCTAATAGAGCAAGAAAACACACACAGCAAATTCATCTGTTTATGCTTCAATTTTCAAAGCTAATGGTTCCTTTAACTAGCAAGTTGTTCTTTGATTACAAGCCACTAATAGGCTGCGGTTGTGTTTGGATTTCATAGATTGAATTTCATAAAACTTGCATTTTAAAACAGTATGTCAAGTTCAGCACATTCTAACACAAATCTTTTTAATCAAGGCATGAAGAGTAAGCTTTTATTTGTAAATAAAGCTGCAAACAATCAGCTTTTAGATGAGGAGAATAACTACACATATATTTCTTCCACAAAGAAGGGCACAGTGTAGTGAGGGCTTAAGATGCGAAACTGGTTAAAATAAAGCCCTTTGTTCACAGGGGTTGAAAGTCAAGAAGAGGAAGTCGACAGGTAAGGACAGATCAACCATAACCACCACTACCGCCACCTCAAAAGCAAAACTGCAGTGTGTCCGAGCCTGCTTAGCCCTTTAAGAACTCTTACAAACACCCTGTGAGGGCACCAGCAGCTCTGCCCCAGGTCTGGAGAAAGTGCAGCAGCCTGCCTGGCCATGTTTCTTGGTCAATTTTCCTGCCTCTGATCGCTGCCTAAGCAATCTGATGACTGCAAACTGATGACTAAGGTAGATTTTTTTAAATTGCAATTCGAAGTCCAACTCAGTCTTTCAGAGCTTTTTAGTTCCATGATCTGCAGCATAGGAGTGCCATGATCTGCAGTTATTAAAAGGAATTCAGACATGGCGTGTATGCTACGTACATAGCTGTATGAAAATACAGTTGGGGAGGGTGGTTCAAAAGACAGCATGGTCATTTCTCTGCAGGCATCATCGGTAAGCTTAATTCCACCAACACTCAGCAAATATTTATTGAGCATCTAGTATGTGCCAAGCAATGTGCTAAATTCCTAAGATAAAGCACTAACACAAAGACAAGGCCCCTTTCCTAAGGATATAACAATTTTTATGAAACTCAAGTATTAAAGGGGAGGGGACTGTAAGTGTTTTTTTGTTTTTTTTGTTTTGTCTTGTTTTGTTTTACCAAAAGGGAGATATAGGCCATAATGGAACCATAAAATTAGAGGATTCAACTTATACTGCAAGCGGGAGGAAGAAAGACCTTTCAAAGGAAACAATCTTCTCTGAGATTAAAGCTTGAGTAGAAGTTTAACCAGGTGAGAAAGGATAGTGAGAGCAAAGGGAACAGTGAAAGGCACGAAAGAGAACACGACACATTTGGGGAAATATAGAAATTTCACCACGGGTGGAGTCAGATTAAAAGAGGGACAATAGTGCCAGATGGTGCTCAAGAGGTAAGCTGATTAGAGAGGCTATCATTGAATTGAGTCTTGAAAGACAAATAGGGTTTTGATGGTATGACAAAGGAGGAAGAATATTTTAGAAAAAGAGCTGCATATGCAACGGTGTGTGTGGATGTAAAGCCCTGTGCCATGTTTTGGTAACAACAGATGGTTTGGTATCACTACCATGTTTAGTGCAGTGGAGAAGAATGAAGTTAGCTAAGTGGGCAGAGATTACATCATAAAAGATCACAAACTATCCTTACATATATGTTCTGAAGTTTGACTTTCTAGTGATGGGTGGAGGGGCACCAAAGGGCTTCAATTAGAGAAAATTCATAAATGAATCTATGCTTTGGAAATTGATCTGTGCCAGTAGAAAGCATAGCTGCAAACCCAGTTAGAAACGTGTTGCAATATTTGGGAAAAAAGATGGTCAGGGCTGCAGCTACAGTGGCAGCTGTGCAGAGGAAGGGGAGAGGAAGAATTTGAGAACACTGTAAGAACTAAAATTGTCACAACTTAATGACTAATTCTTTGGTTGGAAGGGATGAGGTGAGAAACAAGAAAAATGCTGTTTCTAGACTTGAATGACTGAGCTGATATTGAGAACTTTGATCAGGAAAACATGCTGGAAGAGAAGTCATTTTGAAGTTCAAAAAATTTAGCATGTTTCTAATGTAGACATTTCAGGTTCATGTGACAGACAGTTGGCTATGTTGGACTAGAGTCCAGAGAAAGGTGTTTCAAAAGAAAGCTACAGTCATGAGAATAAGTGAGATTTCATAGGGAATATATAGATTAGGAAGCAAGAATGGCCAAAATATGACTCAGAAAGCATTCCTTTATACAGTGAGAAGAGGAGATATCCAAGACATGTAACAGGAAGGAAGAGGATTCAAAAATGTGTAGGCTACAATATAAACGGCAAAGGAGAAGACAATTTCATGACAGAAGGTATGATCTACAGGTTCAAATGAGAGATCAAACAGGAAGAAGAAAGAGGAGGATTCGACAATTAGGGAGGAGGTCAAGGGGATCTCTGCCAGACTTTCCTTAGAGCTAAGGTGACCGCTGTACAGAAACATGTGATGAAACTAAGAAAATTGAAGGCTTGAGTGAAGTGAAGGAAAGAAAACTGTGGATGGAGAATGGAGCATTAGAGTTTTAGATTGCAGAGACAGAGTCTATCAGCATGAGGCCATGACAGCGAGTTTGAGTGGGGAGTTGGAGTGTCAATCACTAATTGTCGAAGTCAAGAAATTACCAGCATAGGCATTGCAGCTGTTCAGAATGAAAGCAGAGGTGATGGAGAGGAGTACTTTGAGACAGAAATCATCCCCCTTGAAGAATGTGAAGGACTAGCCACAAAGGTTGGTGGAATGGAGTGGTGGGAAAAAGTGGGGCAGACAGTGTCTGCATCTCTGGAGAAAGGTTTCACACGTGGGTGCGGGAATAAAACTTAGCAGCAGTAGAAACAAATGTTTGGCAGGTCAACGATACCTCCTACTTTGTGACTGAGGTCTTAAGAGGATGAACAAGTTCCACCTGAGAAACTGCAAGGACAATGGTATCATCAGGGAGAATGTCCGATTTTATCTTAGTAAATATTGAAAAGATTTAAAAAATTTTAAATGATAGACCAGACTTCCCAAGGCACAGCAGGAAGCATTTGGATAAATGTCAGAAGTTCAAGAAAAAGTGAGCCAAGGGGGAAAAAGCACAGGACAGCAAATGAGTGAGCAAAGGAAATTTTATCTTGGCCAAGGCCAAGAAAGGCCACAACGAGGGAGTATATAGGAACAGCTTCAAGATACACTTTCAGATGGAAATCGATCATAAATTGTTTCATTGTTCAGTATGGAGATTTCTCATAGAACTAAAAATAGAACTACCATTTGATCCAGTAATTTCACTGTGGGGTATCTATGCAAAGGAAAAGAAATCATTATATCAAAAAGATACCTGAACTCATATGTTTATCACAGCTCCACAATAGCAAAGATATGGTATCAACTTAATGCCCATCAATGGATGATTGGATAAGGAAAACAAACATATAAAATATAATACATATATATTATATATATACACATATGTATGTATAATGCTGCCACCCTGCAGACTGATTAGGATACATTTTTTAAAATTCCAATTTGATGTCCAACTCAGTCTTACAGAGCTTTCATGTAACCATCACCCAAATAATGTACATTGTGCCAATTAATTTTGAGATACACACACACACACACCATGAAATATTATTCAGATAGACAGTGGAATTGGAAACACTGGAGACTTCAAAAGGTGGGAGGGTGGAAGGGACATGAGGAATGAAAAATTACCTAATTCATACAATGTACATTATTTGGGTGATGGTTACACCAAAAGTCCAGACTTTACCACTGTGCAATAGAGCCATGTAACAAAATTGGACTTGTGTCCCATAAATCTATAAAAATATTTTTTAAAATATAAAAATTATTTCATGGCTGAAGGTCCATGAGTGATCCAGATGTGAAACTTGTGGCCTAATTTCTGAAATTATTCTTTCTCAGTCTGTGTTGAGTTGAGCCAGAGGAATAATTCACGGATTTGCCAAGTGTTTGTCCTTGCCATAGAAGTAACTTGTGTAGCATCACTGGCATGTCTCATCTTTATGGATGTATTATGTGTGTCCGCATGGGCATAGCTCTGTACATCCCAAGCTTGTACTGACTCCATAGGCATATTATCTTCAGCCTTAACCCATGTTAATATCTCACACAGATGTGCGTTTTCCTAGTTATTCTGAATGGCAAAATTACTATAAAAATTATAGATAGGATGAACACAGCTTCAAAATTTTGGCCAACAAATGCAACTGAAACCACATTATCCCTTCCCTTTGTTGAACCTGAATGAAAAGATATTTTGACATTTCTATGAGCTACTCTCATTTTTTTAAAGAAAAAATAATCTAGGTATTTTTTTCCCCAGTCTCTCAACATTGGGTAAGTTCCATTTCTCTTTCTGATTTTATTAGCTGCCAGAGCACAAAAAACCCTTTCATTTTCTGCTCAAACCACTCACTTCGTATCTTTTATGCTTCAGCAATCCACACACAGATCACTTGCGCAGCATGGCTGCCTCGTTAAGGAATTCAGAGAGGACTCAAAACCTCACCTCCCAAAAGAATCAGAGCAGTCACCCAGCCCATACCCTGGGTTTGGAAGGAGATGGCTTTGCCCCAACCATCACAGAGAAGCCTTCTCATAGTGGCTCAAGCATGTCCCACGTGTCAGAATCTGTTTGGATTCATTGGTGAGGTCCTCAGAGAGAGACAGCACATGGGGAGCAAGGGAGAGAGAGAGCAGATAACTGGAACCTCATTACTGTCATCATTTGCAGGCTTGGCCTGTTTCATCCTTCCTTAATGGAGTATGAAATGGGAGACACACCATCCCCTGATAATCAGCATAGCGTGTGGCCTGGGGAACATCATATGCAAAGCCCAGGGCCTGCTGAGGCCATTGCGGGCAGCAACTCAGCTCAATGATCTGAATTGGGACTTTGGGAAATAATGGAGGGAGAGAGAGCCCCTCTCTGGCTCACCAGCTATATGTAAGCTTCTCTTGGATCTCCTTGCCTTATCTCAGGGAGTGCAGTTTTTCCCAGTGAGAAGGGCCTTTCGCCCTGCTGAGACTGTCATGATGACTGAAATTATCACAGGGTAAAGACACTGGGGTCCCCCAGCTTAAAAGCAAATGTTATCCTCTAAACCTCAGAAGGATGACATGAGCTCCAACTGGATAGAATTTCATCACTAAGATGGAAGAGTTACAGTTTACGAGCTGTGTCAGGACCTTGGAGAACACTTTGTTTTTGAGTGCAGTGTCCACACTGATATTATATGAACCTTGGAATAAGGCAGAACTGAGCCAAGTTCTAACAACCTTATTTCCTAACTATGTGATCTTGGGCTGACTCTTTAACCCCTCTAACGCCTCTGTTTTCTCATTTGGGCAATAGAAATATAGATATGCAACCCAAAGAGGTGTTTTAAGGACACAATTAAATAAAATAATAGATGTAATGTACCCAGAAAATACATATTTTACATAATACCTTTTCTTTTGAGATGTGCTCTGACTCCCAGGCTGGAGTGCAGTGGTGTGATCTCTGCTCACTGCAACTTCCACCTCCCAGGTTCAAGCGATTCTCCTGCCTCAGCCCCCTGAGTAGCTGGGACTATGGGCGCATGCCACCACACCTGGCTGATTTTTTATTTTTAGTAGAGCAGGGTTTCACCATGTTGGCCAAGCTGTCCTCCAAGTCCTGGCCTCAGGTTATCCACCCACCTCAGCCTCCTAAAGTGTTGGGATTACAGGCGTGAGCCAACGGCCCCAGTACTTCTTATTTTTAGGTTATCTCCTGCTCTTCAGGAAGGCTCTGAAGAAGTAAGATTTAGGGTGTATGTTTGCTTGGAAGAAAAGGAGAGCCACACGCCAGGATGGGGACCATGCTCTGTGGGAAGAGTCTTAGGAGAATACTGAGTCAAGACAGGATTGGCTATTGTACAAAAGTGGTAGTAAATGAAAGGCAAATAGAGAAGACAATGCATAACATGAGGATTACAAGGAAAACTGATTTGATCACTTGGGTTTGAATCTTGGTGTGGCTGCTTCTTAGTCAGGTGGCCTAGGGCAAGTTACTTAGCCCTAGAAACTGATCTCATTTACTCATTCATAAAAGGGAAATAAAAATAATACTTGCCTCACAGGTGCTCAAGTAACTTTATCCTTCAAACAAGGATGCTTTTAAGAGTAAAAAGGGGAACTATTGATAATTATGCTGGAACAGCAAGAGTAAACCATGACTCTCTTGGGCAAACTCAAATACCCTATTTATGGGGCTGAATGCATTAAGCCACCTAATACCTGCGATGTACTCTGATGGATGTCTGCGATGTTGCAAGTACTCAGTAAACGTTGCCATTACTTTCACTAGTGACTACCTTGAACAAGTCACCAACCTTGTCTAAGTCAGTTTCCTCACTGTAAAATGGAGATAATAGTAGTATCTACTACATGGAATTGTTTTAAGAATTAAATAAAATAATGCTTATGATGCATTTGCCACAGTACCTAGCACAAAGTAGATGCTCGATGAAGTTAAATTATTATTACTGGGTCCATGGTTGGGAATGATATGAGAAGAATAAGACAATTTTAAAACTTCTGAGATTTCTTTTTCTGGGTCAGTGTTGAGGTGTTAAGTCACACATTTGTGAAGTGTTTGTCATTAAAATAAATGTAAACGTCATTTACATTAAATAAATGTAAACGTCATTTACATTAAATAAATGTAAACGTCATTTACATTAAATAAATGTAAACGTCATTTACATTAAATAAATGTAAACGTCATTTACATTAAATAAATGTAAATGTCATTTACATTAAATAAATGTAAATGTCATTTACATTAAATAAATTTACATTACATTAATGCAATCGTCATTTACATTAAATAAATGTAAATGTCAATAAAATAAATGTAAACTGTCATTAAAAAAATGTAAGTCACACATTTGTGAAGTGTTTGCCATTAAAATAAATGTAAAGGCAAATTTAGATAAGCTTTTACTTTTGTTAATAGTGGTGAGTATAACATAATGAAAGGAGCACTGATTTTGAAGTCAAAAGTTCTTTATTGCAGCCACAGAGTCATATTTACTAGCCACTTGACTCTGAGGTCGTTTTCTCCTTAGAAGCCACAGTTTTCTTATCTGAAAAGTAAGGATGGCCAGTCTCTCAGAATTGCTGTGTAGATTATGAGATAGTATGGCTGTAGTTAAACTGTAAAATGTATGAGAATTCAAGAGACTACACTTGATAATGACACCTCCTATTCTAACCCTACCCTGGCTAATGAAGCACTCCCCAATCTTTGTTGTCATGCCTTATGGAAAAAAATGAGGAATAAAGTAACATACGATTACTACCTCCTCCACCCACAGTCCCTAAAAGAGGCTTCCTACTTTCAATTCTCTTCCTCTTGATACTCTTGGCCAGTGAATGTATTCCTAACAGATCCAGGCCATGGGAAACCATCCCACTATCATGTTCAGTTATTCAAAATGCTTCCTGTTCTCTTCATCCCTATTTCGTTCAGCCTATGCTTCTCAACCACCACTCTCATGCCCCAGATTATTCCTACCAACAGAGGGCCAGTTGAGCTACTTCCTCTCAACACTAACATTAGCATATCTGAAATTCACACTTCGATTATGATTAAGACTGGTTTAACTTTATTGTAGGTACTGTAAACACCATTTCCCAGTTTATATCATTCATCAGGCCATTTCTCTCATCCTTCCAAGCATGCGAATCTTGGACACACACAAACACACACGTTTTGCCTCGGCCAGCAAAATAGCCAGATGGGTGATAAAGGGTTTCTAAACATAGCTTTTATTATTAATACAGTTTTTGGTTAAGAGAAGGCTGTAAACATTCTCTGAACCATATCCTGACCCCTACTCTACACCACTCTCTTTCCTTATGTTATCTTCTTTATTTCCATAAGTCAGTGTCAGGCCAACAAGAAAAAGCCCATTGATAAGACCCCAGACTTTCTTCTGTGCTCTCTATATAAGGTTAGAACATTCCTGACACTCTCACTGATGAAGTGGTGGAGCTTGATCTTAGTCAATAAATTGAGCTTGGTTTGGGGGTTACAATTCTTAGTAGCTCAGCCAGATGGGACTGGAGATAAACTATTGTACAAGTATGGTTTGAAGAAATTTACATCTTTCTAGAAAATGTGTCAGTTCTTTTACATTATTCTGTTAGAATTTAAGAGCTTAGATTTAGCGACTTAGGCACCCAGGTACCCAGCAACAGAACCATGAAGCTTTTTAAATGCTCAAAAAGCCTGGGTCTTAACTCTCATCTATAAAATTAGCTCATCTATCACCTGAATAGCAGGTAACGCAATGGGTTTTCCACAGCACAGGTAGGAGGGTAGAGTCACAACTGTGTAACTGGCATTAGAACAACCTGCCCCAGCAGGCCACCTTCCAAAGTGCACATAGGTACAGAAAACATCCAAAGACTGAGAATTAGCCTGTCAACTCTTTCAGCACCACTGACAGCTCATCTGGGAGGGTGGAAAATCTGGCCCTTTAAACTCAAGTCCATATAACACATTTCTGATGAGAAATCTCTGCAAAACTAATAGGGAGAGGCATAAACCAACATCGGCAGAGTTCACAGAAAACAGGAATTCAAAAGGTCTATAGGGTTTGCTTCATCACTTCATAAAATTGCAGAGGATTCAGAATCAGCCTGGGAAGAAAATTAGCAGCCAAACATAGGCAGAGCCTCAAGAGATGATAACTTTCTATTATAAGAATATAGAGAATATGAACATATGATTAAAACCATTTATTCAAAGACAAAAAGGCATTTTAATTTATTCATAATAATTTAATGAGAAAATTCCTAGTTGGGGAATTCTACATATCATCTTCATCTCTCTCAGACACATATGTACACACATGTGCAGACACAAACACATAAACTCACACAGGCATGAAGTCACACTCACTTCAAAAGTCTTTTCCTAGTGTCTTTTGCAGCAATCCTCCCTATTCTTCTCTTTGTGCTCTCTCCCCCATCCCTCTTTGTTCCTACTTTAGTTTGCTAACTCAAAGGGTATCTGCATTGTACAGGCAAAATCATGAAGTCAGCTTATAGCACATGAGCTTTGAGAACAACCTCAAGGCAACATAATTGATGTGGGATGAGTAAGAGGTCACCTGTGGTGCTTAATACAGCAGGAGTATAGTGAACTAACACTATAAATTCTTATTCAAACAACTGAATGCTGACTGTGTCAGGCCTAATTCTAGGCTCTAAGAATGTATCAGTGAGTAAGACAGAGAAGAATCCTGCCATCATGGAGTTTTCATTCTCAGGGAAGAGACAGATAACAAACAAGTCAGCAAAATATGTGATACATTTTGGGAAATGATAGATTTCATTAAAAATATTACCTGGGACCAGGCACAGTGGCTCCAAAGTGCTGTAATCCTAGCACTTTGGAAGGCCGAGGCGGGTAAGCCACTTGAGGTCAGCAGTCTGGGACCAGCCTGGCCAACATGGTGAAACCCCATTTCAACTAAAAATACAACTATTAGCTGGGTGGGGCAGCACATGCCTGTAATCCCAGCTACTCTGGAGGCTGAGGCAGGAGAATCACTTGAACCCTGGATATTTAAAATATTATCCACTGATAGGGTTTGGCTGTCTCCCCACCCAAATCTCATCTTGAATTCCCACATGTTGTGGGAGGGACAGTGTGGGAGATAACTGAATCATGGAGGCAGGTCTTTCCCCTGCTGTTCTTGTAACAGTGAATCAGTCTCAGGAGATCTCATGGTTTTAAAACATGGGAGTTTCCCTCCACAAGCTGTTTGCTGCCATCCATGTAATATGTGACTTGCTCCTCTCCTTGCCTTCCACCATGATTGTGAGGCTTTCCCAGCCACATGGAACTGTAAGTCCATTAAACCTCTTCTTCTTCCCATTCTTGGATATGTCTTTATCAGGAGTATGAAAATAGACTAATACATCCACTGAAATTATTAATGGGATAAAACTACCTGGAGTGTGAGTTGTAGAATACTTTGAATAGAGAGGCCAGGAGAGCCTTTGTAAAGAGGTAACATTTGAACTGAGACAGTTAGCTTCACCCTAATGACAACCATTAGTAACTGAAGGCAGATGACATTATCAACAGTTGTGAGAAATGTTGTCATCTGGTCACCATTTACACAAGGAAAGAAATCATCTCATCATGCAAATGAGCACAAATATTCTCTATGTCTAATGGAGATTGCAAGTATGTTTGTTAAGGTAAAACTGACTGGTGTAATAGACAAATCCCAAGATTTCCATGACTTGAGACAATAAAAATTTATTTCTTGTTCACTAAAAGTCCAATCCAAAGCCAGCAGCAACCAGGGGTGGGGTGGTCTGTGGTCATTTGTGGCACTGACATTCATCTCTAAAGAAAGGGAAGAGAAAGCAATGAAAATGTAATGAAAGATATTTTGGAGGCCAAGCATTTATCACATCCCAGTAGCTGGAATTCAATCACACAGCCACTCCTAATGGCAAGGCAGACTGGGAGATTTGGAGAATAAATGGGTTTCATGAACATGTGAGTAGTCTCTGCCACGATGAAGCAGAAGGAAAACTTATCTTACACTTTGAAAGAGCATCTAGATTTCTGGAGGACTGAGTAAGCCAGAAGCCAATAAAAATGTGGTTCGTTTCATTCACTCTAAGGGATGAAAACCAACAAAATTGTCAAATAGTAACAAAATAAAGCTTTAGTGAACATTAACTCATTTGACTTTCATGTATCCTATAGTTATTACATAGGCAGAACAAAGGTATTATTCCCATTTTAGAAAAAAAGAACTGAGAAACAATCTTTTAGCATTGAAAGAATCTAACACAGTTAATCTAAATCCATCATTACAGAGTTGAGAAAATGATCCTCTAAGTAGTGATGCAGTTTGCCCCATGTGTATAGAGGTAGCCACTGGCCAAACTGGGACTTCTCTTTATTTTCCCTTTAGAAGGGAAGGTTTCAATGTTTAGGATAAATGTTAATTGCTGGGTTGGACAAGGGTAGAGATAAGGACTTGAAAAAGATGAAGATTCCTTGGCTCCATACCCAGAAACTTTGATTCCACAGTCTGGAGTCTGAACCATGGATTTGCACATAGCCAGAGGGGTGACTCTTTGGGAAACACTACTTCAGACACTGTTCCTCATCGGCCATCCTTGGAGCCCCTGGCTGTGCTGTTGGAGATTAGATGTGTACAAATAGACAAAAATACAGTTAAAAAGAATAAAATATAAAATATAAAAACTATTAAAAATTAAATTATTAAAACCCAGAAAAATTGGGATATTATCTGATTTCCAGATAGAAAATAACTTTCCAAACTCAAAGATATGGAATATATTACCAAATAAAATACAGTTGTGACTAATTATGTAAATTACATAATTATAAAAAATATAATTATGCAACAATATTCTTAGTAAATTTTCAAGTTCTTTTATTTTATGAGTTTATTACTGGTTAAAATAATTGCTGGTTCTTTGTTTAGAAAATCAATTATAAGGATGCACAAAGAAAAAACCTCCTGCAAAACACATAGCTTGGGATAATTAATATTAATATTTAACATACTGCTTTCTGGTCTTTTGCATACATACACATAAACATATACATGAATATGTAAATGTACACATACATATGTATCACAAAATTGGGTCTGTTAATATAACTATTACATTGAAACTATCAAAGATAATTTTAACAGCATTTATAAAATGCAGAAATACAGATTTAACAATAATACAGGAATAAAATATCAGAGTGTTATTAAAAAATAGGCAAATAGAAAATAGAAAAGAAAGTAAAAGGTGCTAATTTCTAAAACAGGAGTCAAAAGACACAGTTACACTTTTCACACTCACAACTAGTGAGAGAAAACTAAATATGTTGGTTTCCTTTAGCTTATAAATTACCATTTGAAATTTTTTTAACTGCAATATGTGACCAGTGGCTGAAAAAGTTAATTCAGCAGATTACACATCAGCATTTTTATCAGACTAGAACAGCAAATATTCGAGTGCATCATATGTAATAGTGAGGGTAAATTTTACTGCATGGAACTTTTTTATTATACACCTCTAGAAACACACACACACACTCATGTGTACCAGGTCACAATCTGAAAGCCGATTACCAGCAATGATAACAGGAAACACAAACACAAGTTCACTGGAGGTAATAAACAGAAAAGAGCATGGCTCCGCTGCCTCCTGCCAGTTTTCCACTCACTGTATAATGCTCACATTCCTCCAAGTTCATCCTGAGACCACTCTGTTTTTCTCCATGATTTCTTCCTCGCCAACTTCAGGGTTTCAGCTGTCATTTAGTCACGTTTGGTGACAACATTTAGAGCTCTCTCCTGGCTGCAGACCCGCAGGTATCCAGCTGCTTCCTGGATATGACATCTGCTTCTCCAGTAAACAAAACTGAGCTTCTCTGCTCTCACAAACCTCATCCTCTTCTAAGCCTCCTCTACTCGGTGTTCAGCACATCCAGCCACCCACTTACCCAAAAGGAAAACTGGGATTCATATTGCCTTTTCCCCAATTTCTTACCCAATCCTGTCTGAAGTTGAGCTCCCTAAAAGTGGAACCTGAGATGGGGGTTCTTCTGCAGGTGGCTGATTAAGAAAGTGATCTCAGGAGAAAAGGAGGGAAGAAGAATGGAGCAGGGGACGAGCTGAACAAGGAGGTGGCCTCAGCTGGAGTATCACCTTGAGGCCAGGATGCCAGCTTTTTGTAGTCCTATGTCAGTCAGCCATTGGCTACAGGCTCCAGTGAGGGAGGGTCGCCCCATCTCACAGATGAGTCCAGTCCTATTCAGAAAGAGTCAGTGTCCCAGAAAAGGGGTCACTGTGAGGACTTGGCAGTCAACACTCAGCAGCTAGGGATGGACGCACCTGCCTGGTGGATGATCTGGGCGAGGTGCCAACAGCAAATACAATGCCTTTCTTATCCAATTAATTTTTAAGGACTGCTGATTAATCTCCTAAATATGAGTTTAATACATCCCCTTCACTCCATCTCCAATGTCCTTCTCCTGGCCCAGACACTCACTGCCTTTCATCATCTCTCACCTAAATAAGCCCCTGCCTCTTTCACTCCTAGATAGACTTCTGTGTGTTTCATGTATGATTTGCAGCCTTGTGTCTAGCCAGTACCTTCCAACCTCCCCTGAACCCTGTCTACACAAGGCTTTTCCTGTTCCCTCATCCTACCAAGTGCTTCCACACCCCTGCTCTTTTGCTTTGTCAGTTTCCTCTGCTAGGATTGCTTTATTTCACCCATGAATGCTTATGTATCTTTCAAGTCCAGGTTCAAATGTTGACTTCTCTCTGTAGTTTCTGCTGACTTGTCTTTCTCCCCAGAAATAGTCACTCGTGTTCTCATTGTACTGTATATGTTCACCAATTATAGAACTTAGACTCAGTTACCAATAAGTTCAGCACAATGAATGATTTCCCCTTTAGATAGTGGTACAGCATCTCCTTAGATCAGGGGGTGTGACTTATTCATTTTCGTGCCTGTGGTGCAGCACACAGTGACTGGCACGCAGCTGGTGCTCAATAAATGACTGAATAGACCTTTACTGTGTATGTAATAAGTAGCGGCCATTGAAACTGGATTTGAATAATTTATCAGTGGAAATCCTGAACTGGGTAGAGAAGAAATCTAGGCACAGACACACTCCTGTTCCCACACTCTCCTCAAATATTATCCAGCTGTTAAATGCAAGCTCACCTGGTCTGCCCTCTATTCCATCCCTCACTGATCTATCCCTTTGGCCTTGAAGTTCTAATTATTTCGTGGTGACTCCTTGCAAGCTAGGCCCTTGTCTTGTAATTCTAGGTATTCCACGGAGTGCAGGGACAACACTAAGTGGGAGCTCAAGAAATTCTTTCTGAATTGATGATGGCAAGAAGTCCTGGGTATGGAGGCTTTGGCATTCAGAAAACACACACACATACACACACACACACACACACACACACACACACACACTCAAACCAGATGATAGTAAATACAAAAGGTAGCTCATCAGCATCAACTACCCACTACTGCCCTGTGACATGACTGCATACCATCTGGTTGACTGTGAGGTCCCTAAGCTATCTGATCTGGGAAAGGAGTCACACCTGACTTGTTGAATATCATAGCTGCCTACCCCAGGAAGTGCTGCTATGGCCATATGGCCCATGTTCAGAGTTAGGACAGGGGGTAGTTCTTTCTCAGTTTAACAGAAAGAGAAAAAAAAAAAGATAATCCAGTAAACCTGGAAACAGTTCTGCACTCTAGGATCCAAACTGATTTCTTCTCTCTCTCATCTGAGGCTGCATGCTGTAGGGCCAGCATGCAGGCTGGGATCAATAAGACATGAGTCCTCTATTAAAGATAACATAAAACATATTTTTGAGGCAGGGTGGGTAACTGAAAGTCTGGCACTCGTAAGATTGAGAGATTAATGAAGTCAGTAGCAGGAAGACAGGTCCTTTTCTGGTGTCTTGCTCAACCCTTCCTCCATGCCTTGGTTCATACTGCCTATTGATCACAGAAATACAGCATTTGCCTAATGGTCTAATGGCTAAACCTGAACTGGTCTATTGAATAAGAAAAGGGTATGTTCAGGTTTGCTTTATCCAGCACCCATATCCCTGCTGAGTCCTGGCTCCCTCATTTATAAAACGGGGATAACAACAAATTCTAGAACACACTTGCACAGTAAGATGCATGAGTATACTCGGTGTTTAATAAATATTAATATCTCTTTTCCTTTCCCCTGCTGCCATGGAAAGTCCAGGTCTTCTTTGAATGGTCTCTGCTTTCTTCATAATGAGCTCAACCTAGATTTGAAATGTTTCAGCCTGTGGGTTTGGCCTTCACTGGAATCACTAGCATCTGGAGTTACAAGCACCACTCAGCAGAGATGCTTGATCTCATTTTTTTCCCCCTCTTGTTGCTTCATGCATGTAACTTTGACCTCCTGGGGTCAAGTCCAGGAACGCCCTCCACTGGCAGACAGGAAGAACTAGGGAACAAAAGCTCCATGAATAAACGGACCAGGCCCATCTGGTATTCCCAGCCCTGAGGAGGGTGCCCAAGAAATATTTGTGGAATACGTGAATGAATAGCAAAAGATTTTAATTCTATTTGTAGATTTGAGAGGCACTAGGAGGAATATAGTTAAATAATAGAATTTGGGAACTTTCAATAGCTTTTGTGGAACCGAGTATCTGTAATGAGTTTTGTTACATAAAACCCAATTTTATAGCTATGATAATTAGTATGGTTCTGGGCATTTTGGAAATCTTGAAGCTCCCTGTCCATGTTAAGTAACATTGTTATTTCTAATTATTTAAGTATTCAATAGTTATGAACTGAATGTAATCTGATTTTGCTGTAAACAACCATAACTCCAGCAATGAATACAATGAAGTGGGAGTCTCCAGGTTTGAGAGCCATCTTGGTTCCTTCATAGCCCTGTGACTGTGTCCATGGATGTAGACATGTGTGCATCCAGTACGCCTCTCAGATATATTTCCTCATCTGTAAAATACTGATATCTAATAACTATTCCAGTTTGGGGGCTAAGTTCAACTTGACAGCTCAGGTTGAAATTACCGCAAATTTCCATTCTTTTCCTTCTTCTTTCCATCTTTCTCATTTTTAATTATTGTTATCTACAACAGCAATGTTTTAATTGCCATGAGAATTTTGTCACCAGATGACAATGTAAGTTCAGGATGGAAAGCATGGCACGGAAACACTAATTAGGATCCAAAGCGCTGGATTTGCAGAAGGTCTGTCCAGTAACATTCTACTGGAGTTATTGGTCTCAAATCTCCACATGTTTAGTTTCTATATCACAAAAAGTTAGAGACCTGCTGGGAACCATAGAGGTTTCGAGTGCAACCCCTTCGTTTTATAGATAGGACACAGCAGACCAGAGGTGAGAAATGACTTGGCCAGTGCTACACCACCCATTGTAAAATCAGGACTGGGACCCATCTCCTTAATCCCAAGCCAGTGGTCTTTCCATAATCTCTGTTTTCTTATATAAATGCAATTGTTAATCTAAATACGTACTACAAAAAGTCACTGCTTACTATGAGCCCACAAAGATTTAACACCACCCTGACCAAGAAACACACGAATACTGTGTTTTTCCTTTTTGTTTATCGGTTGATTTTCAATTGAAAGTAGTCATACTCATATAAAAGCTTTAGGGAAAAGAAACCATAAAAATAGAAAGGAGAAAAAATATAGAAGTTATTCATTCTACAAATATCTAAACCCAATCATCATTAACAAGGTGGCTTGGTCCCTTCCTACTTTTTTGTAATATGCATATTTATAAGTAGTCATATGCATACCAGATATGCAATTGCATATCTGGCTGTTGTCATTTAAATTATGAGACATGTGTTTTCCTGTTTTTATGTTGTAGTCTTCCATTTTGAATACCATTTTGATTGCTATTAGAACAATCTGTCAAATGGATTTATCAATTTACATAAACACCCTGTACTTGAACATTTAAGTTCTTTACAGTTTTTAAATATGTATATGTCTATACCTGTATATAAAACAATGTAGTGAACATCATTGTTATGTATATTTTTGATGTTTAGATTTTTTCTTTAGCATAGATACTAAGAAGTGAAATTTTTAGTTTAAAGGGTACTGATGAACATTTAAAGCCTCTTGATATAGTCAGTTACACTGATTTACAAGAGGTTTTGTGTCACTTTTCATTGCCACCTACAATGTATTAGAATGATACTCTTTACCTTCAAAAAAAGTATTTATATCCAACATAGGACAAAGAAATTTATGTATACAATGAAAACCATCTACAAGACCTTTTCTACTAGAGAGAGTAGAAAATGCCCAAACCGAGGAAACAATTGCTGATGACACATTTCTGGGACCCCAAAGTGGAATGGATAAGCAACAGAGCAGAGAAAATACGTTACAAGCACAATTTGAAAGGCTTTTCATGTATTGCTTTCTCTATAGATGAAAATTTATGAAGTTATTGAACTTTTCTAAAGATTTTTTCTTTTCAGTCACAAAGCAAATGGATTGAAGAGGCACTTAGATAAAACATCAGTGGGAATAAACTATCATAATTTGTCAGACAGAATGCAATGTGGGAGGGGTAGATGTGGAGAAACCCTGTATTTCCAATCATACTTGATGACCAATAAGGAACAGATGCCAATTTAATGTTAGGAACGCTCTGCAGGAAATAGTGGGAACCATCAGTAAAGCCTTGCCTGGGATCCCCTCGCCACCAACATCTGTGCTGCTCATTCACCTTCCCTGCAGCCCTGCACTCTTCTCAACTTCCCTGACCTCCACTTCCCACGCTTTCCTGTTGCTCATTAACAGCACTGAGTCCTGAGAAATGAGGCCCTGGAGAACCAGCCCAATCCACCCACACATGGGGCATACACAGCCCATGTGCCTTGAGTTGGGGTTCAGCCCAATTTTTTCTTTTTCTTTTTAGTTGAAATCTCACTCTACCCGACAGGCAGGAGTGCAGTGGCATAATCATGGCTTATGGCAACCTCCACCTCCTGGGTCCAAGTGATTCTCTTGCCTCAGCTTCCCAAATCACCAGGATTACATGCACACACCACCATGCCCGGCTAATTCTTGTATCTTTAGTAGAGACGTGGTTTCACCATATTGGCCAGGCTGGTCTCAAACTCCTGGCCTCAGGTGATCCTCCCACCTCAGTCCGCCGAAGTGCCGGGATTATAGGCGCGAGCCACAGTGACTGGCCCCAATTTTCCACACATGGTTGTAGAAGAGGAAGAGGAGGACAGGGGGCCGCTTCTACTTCTTTGTGCATGGATTAATAGAGGAGTACAGATTTTTATCCAAATACTACCATGGATAGAAAGATTGCTAATTTAGTCCCTCTCCTGTATATTTTATGCAGACATAACACATTGATACAGCTTACTCATAGCTTATTTATTTATACTTATTTCTTGATTTGTATTATGTGAAATTTTAATCACAGGTTGATGGGGAGCACTGGTACTTTCAAAGGATAAGAAAGGTGAGACTGCAGAATAATGTATTTTATCTGGAATGCATAAGTCAAAAAGGCTCTCACCTCAAGATCAAGGTCTGAATCTACGCAGCAGAGTTGCACCAGACCCTAAAGGCTGAGGGAAGCCCATAGAGAGCCCAGCTCTTTAGAAAACCTGCTTTGAAAGGAGTGCAAAACCTAACCCCTGTGCTGACCCTTGGCCATGTAGAATTCTCCTATGTCTATCACATGTGGGAGGGAATGATGTGCAGGCTCCCAAAGGAGCAGAAGCCCTTTTCTCTCTCTGTCTTACTCTAAGATGCCAAAGCTGACCCTGCAGCCAGCTGAAAGTGTTCAGCAAGCTCTAATGTGCAGTGCCACTTCCAGCACTAAGGAGGCACAAGAGTTTGTCAATAAATGCTACCCAAGGGCTGAAACAAGACAGGGGACCTTGACATGGTCACCTGGGCTCATCAGATGCTGATGACAGCTCCTGACTTCTCCCAAGAAACCATTTCACCTCACTCCACATCACTAAGAAGTTCCCTGAGCATCCCTCTCTTTCGCCAGCTTGTAGATCTCCAGCTTGTAGGAGACTCCCCAGGTCTCCAACACAGAATTTGGTCTTCAGGTCAGCCTGGATTCTAATGGGCCCTGGCTTTTACTTGCTTCTGTGTTTTCTGCTAGCAACAGAGCTGCATTCAAAAGGCAGCGGCAATCTTCCTGATCTTTGAAAACATTAAAGGAAAGAGGAAATCAAAGGGCTCACATCTGAGCTACTCCTCAGGGCCAAGTTCTCTACTGATCTGTGCAACTGAAGAGGGGAAGGAACACACTGTTGCTGAAGAAAGAGGTCTCTGGGGAGAGGCTCCATAGACCCCACAGCTAAAATGTGCCCTCAAAAGGAGAAAGAGATTAAGGGAAAACTAAGGACAACAACTTGCATGTAGAGAGATTGTCTAAGGTACAAGGTATCAGAGGAAGACTTACAGATAGCAAAGCACTTCCTTACCCACTTGTTCATTCCTTAATGAAACATGGAAGGTGTTTTTTTTCCTCCATCATATTAGATTAGTAAACTGAGGCTTGGAGAGAGATTGTCTAAGATCTTAAGGCTCCTTGATCTTACTGGCCCCAAAGCTTATGTTCTTTCCCTGGATGTACTCGAGCAAGGCACAACTTGTGGTGAAATGGACTTGACGGGAGGCCGCAACACCAGTGGCAGCATCACCTCTGGGTTTAAAGCCTCCCCTCCTTGGCCACAGCTTATGCAGAAAAAGAACTACTGACATTGCTCTTCCCAATTACCATTCTCCACTCCGGTAACTGATATTGCCTCTAACTGCTTCCATAGTCTTACTACTTCAGGAGAGATTTTAGATGCCAGGACTGCAATTTAACACATGCTATCTTCATGTCTAATACAGCCAAGACTTTACCACAGGCTTAAGCCTAGAAAATGCACCAGGTACCCTATTCTTAACATCACTTACCCCCATGTTTTCTCATGGTTTTCATTCCTGCTTGTGATGGTCTGCAAATAATTCAAGCTCTCCCAGACTGAGAGTGCTGCCTTGCTTTCCTCATATTCCCAAAGACAACAACTCTTTCCTTGAAACTAAGCACTGCAGCTAGTGGCCCTAGTCCTTGCTCTCAGGACTCCCAAAGGCTAACTTGGCTGCGTGCTTCAAAGCTGTGTCTTCTTACCGTATGCTTCCATGTATCCCCTATTAGATCAAGAATGACCCCCTACAGGGGTCATTCTTACTTAGAGCTCCAGCCAAGCTTCCATCTCCCATCCTCTCACTCATCTTGGTCTAGACACGTTGTCTTAGGATAATAAAATGTAAAAGGAGTCTCTCCAGTTATGTCTTCTATCTCACTGGCTCAGGCTGAAGGGAAACGCTGGCAATCTCCATTGCTACTGTGTCCCACTGCCCTTGTGTCCTGTAGACTGGAGGTGTCACCAAGCAAAGAACATGAAATGGGTGAGCACCAACACATGGACACACATGCATGGCTTAACAAAGGGTTGGTGGTGGACCATTGAAGGACAGGGCACTGAACTCAGCCTGTCTCTGACATAAATGGGGGTCACCCAAAGTCAGCAAGTCAGAACCAATCTTCTGTGGTCCTGCAAGAAAATCGCAAAACCAGCTGGCAGAACTCCACACACCAGGCTCCTCTTGAAACCAGGTCCCAGCCATAAGGCCTGGGGACCATTGCAAATGTTCCTTGGTACATCTGGTCAACCTAGACATATATATCCCTAGGGCAGGTATGTGTGTGTGGTATGTGTGTGGTGTGTTTGTGTGGTGTGTGTGGTGTGTGTGATGTATGTTGTATTTGTGTGCTGTGTGTTTTGTATTTGTGTGGTGTGTGTGGTGTGTGTTTTGTATTTGTGTGGTGTGTGTGTTGTGTGTGTGTGGTCTATGTGTGTGTTGTATGTAGTGTGGTGTGTGTGGTGTGTGTGTGGTGTGTGTGTTGTGTGTGTGGTGTGTGTTGTATGTGTGTGTTGTGTGTGTATGGTGTGTGTGGTGTGATGTCAGGGGATATGGGTATGTGTGATGTGTGTGTGGTGTGTGTTGTGTGTGGTGTGTGTTGTGTGTGTATGGTGTGTGTGTGTGTTTGTGTATTGAGCGAGGGATGCAGAGGGTCAGAGAGTGATGGAGAAGGTAGAAATGGGAACCACGGTGGTGGGGAGCCCTTGTTTGAACTCTGGGTTCTCTTCTGGGGTGTACTGACAGACCCAGCTTGTCCAAGGCATCAGACGGAGTTTTAGAAAATGTCAACAAGAAACTCCAAAGCATGGGGTCCCCTGAAGCATAGGCCTGAGGCAAGGGCCAAGGTCTCAGGGCAGTGCTGTCTGAACAAGGCTTTCTACAACTCAACTTTTGCCTCTCCAAACTCTGTCTTGTGCATAATGTGCTAAGCCTGTTGCTGGCCCCAGAGTACTGAATATATCTGTTTCAAATTGGATAGAATCCTGAGCATTAAGAAATATTGTAAAAAGCAAAAAAAAAAAAAAAAAAAAAAAAAAAAAAAAATCCAAATCTGGCCCCCCATAACCACAGCAGGCCCTGATAAAGATCTCATTAACATGCTTCCAGCTAATCCTCAAGGATTAGCAAATACAACTTTATCCTGCTATGAAATACTCCCTACCTCCAGGGCTCAAGTAAAGATTCAGAAAGAAGGGTGGAAGAAGCCTAGTTAAATGTAGCTTTGAATCCAAGCATTGGGTAGCATCCCTAATAAGCCCTCTGAGGCTTAATGGGGCTTTCCAACAATTCCCTGTTCCAAACTCCTATATGCCTTACCATTTAGTTCATATAATTCTGTCTAGTAGATAATCAGGGTATCACATTCAAAGTCACCTAAGTTTGAATAGGCTTTCCCAATGCCCTTTGAGTGCTTACATGTTTTATGTCTGCTATGCCCAGGCCTTTCTGGGAGCTCACTGCTCCAGCACTGGATGGCAAGGAGTCAAATGCAAAAAAGCTCATATCCTCTTTACAGCGAATTTTCCAAGGAAAATTATACAAACCCTCTAGGGAGCATTCAACCACCCACCACCAACATGGTGACCAAACTGACCCCCACTGCAGCCCTCTCTGCCTCCGTATTATCATAAACCTACAACTCCTGAGTAACTTCTTAAGAGTGGCTTACTTCACCTTAGGCAAGCTATAGACACACATTCCCATGGTTCTTCCTTGCAGCAGAACAAAGCGCAACTCGTCACTATCCCTATTTGCCCTCCTAAGAGGCCTCTCCAAGTAATGGCAACCTGAGGAAAGTAATAGTCATTAACTTGCTTTTAGCAGTGTTCCCCTCTAAGACTCAGATCCTCTGAAGGTGTCTGACTACAAGCATTGCTGGAAAGAGAAACTTTTTAAAATGTTTTGAAACAGAAGCAGGGTTTTGTCATGTTGCCCAGGCTGGTCTGGAACTCCTGAGCTTAAATGATCCTCCCGTCGCCTTAGCCTCCCAAAGAGCTGGGATTACAGGCATGAGCCACCACACCCGGCCAACACTTTTTACAGCAGGAGGATCCATGTGAAAAATCAGTTGACGCACATGTGCAATTGGCCTGAGGGCACAATGCCCATATAATGGGCTGCAGCACCCAAGGGCAGGCAAGGGCTTCACAGATGGCTGCTTCATTGCTAAAGCATGCTGTGGGGAAAATTGCATCTGTGCCATTCTGGCATCAGTGCCACACCTGCACTTGCTGGGAGCCCTGCCTGGTCTCAGATGCTCTCTTGGTCTTGAGCCCTCACATTAACCCAATACCATCTTGGTGTCTCCTTACTCTGCCCGAACCAACCCTGGGACAGGAAGACTAGCCTCAGAGACTGATATGTGGATTCCCTAAGGCTGCTGTAACAATGTGCTACAAAATGGGTGGCTTAAAACAACAAAAATTTATTCTCTCACAGTTCTGAAGGCCGGAAGTCCAAAATCAAGGAGTCCACAGGGATGGTTCTGGAAGCTCTCCCCCAGAAAACCATCCCATGCTGCTCTTTTAGCTTGTGGTGCTTGCTGGCAGTCCTTGGCATTCCTTGGCTTGTGGCAGCATCACTGCAACTTCTGCCTCGGTTGTCATGTGGCCTTCTTCTCTATGTCTCCTCTGTGTCTCTGTGTCTAAACCTCCCTCTATTTTCTCCATAAAGACGCCAGTCATTGAATTCATGATCCACACTAATATACTATAAACTCATCTGAATTTACCACATCTGCAAAGACTGTTTCCAGTTAAGGTCATATTTTGAGTTTCCAGGTGAACATGAATTTTGGTGGGATACTGTTCAACCCACTATACCTGATCTTGGCCATGCTGCTCTTGGTGCTGATGGTGCCAACGAACCTGTCACTGCCCCAGGAGTCCAGTGTTCAGGACAAGAAAGTGCCCCTTTCTTCCTTGCTTGCCTTCTAGAGAAACAAATGCATTTACTCCAATTGGTTCTCTGCCCTTCTCGGAAGTATTTCTGATTATTCTCTGCCTGCCTCAACCACCAAAGTGCAAGCAAGCCTCCCATATAGTCCGTAGCAGGCATATAATGAATAAATAAATGAACCAAGTCTACAGATGAATGGCGGCCTGTTCTAACCTCACCATAGATATTCATAAAATGATGAAGCCGTTAAAAGTTATTCTCAGAATTCCTGTACGTAGAGGTCCACGGCTCCATTCTCCCCCAGGATTCCCAGAGTCTTCAGCTACACTCATATGACAGCCCATCCCACTAACACCCTGGTCTTCCCTTTCCAAAATGTTTCAGAGGGTCCAAAACAAGGGTCTAAAGCCATTCGACATCTATTTTATACAAAACTATTCACAGGTAGCAATGGAATTTCTATTTTAGCAGAGACTTTCGATGGTCTACTAAAATAGAGCAAGCAAGCTAAGAATTTGGGGCATGGCAGAGAATTGTGGAAATTGATCTGGGTCCTGAAGAGCCCCTTAACATCCCTGCCTGGCCTGGCAACCCTGCTGGCACCTGTGTGAGGTCAGTTCCAGGCCACACGTGGCCCGCATGCACTCTTATTCCTCCTTTCTCCCAGCTCCCCTGCCTGTTCCTCTACTTGTCCAAATTATCTGCTTCTAGTTCTCTCTCCTTCCAGTTATCCTACTATAACTTTCCTACCTTTCCTTCCATTCCCCCCTAGCCCTCGAACAAAATTCCTTCCATCTGAATTGCAAGGTCTGAAAAAAAGCCTATTGGTTTTTTTTTCATCTTTCATTTCCCAGGAAAACTTTTTTTAATTCCAATCATCAGGGACAAGGTCATACTTTCAGGATACCTGACCTTTAAAATCACTTTAGAGAGGCTGGGCGCAGTGGCTCACACCTGTAATCCTAGCACTTTGGGAGGCTGAGGCGGGCAGATCACCTCAGGTCGGGTGTTCGAGACCAGCCTGACTAACATGGAGAAACCCCGTCTCTACTAAAAATACAAAATTAGCCAGGTGTGGTGGTGCATGCCTGTAATCCCAGCTACTTGGGAGGCTGAGGAAGGAGAATCACTTCAACCTGAGAGGTGGAGGCTACAGTGAGCCAAGATCGCCCCATTGCACTCCAGCTTGGGCAACAAGAGTGAAACTCTGTCAAAAAAAAAAAAAATCACCTTAGAGAGAGGGCTGCTGTTTTTTTTCTTCTCCCTCAGAGACTTAGTGATGTCCAGCTTACAGTTTTTGTTCATCATTCCTTCCAGTCAATTCACCTATAAGAGCCAGTGATAAGCACTTTGAAGAATTCATTTTTTAGTAGCCACTAGCGGAAAAGTCAGTAACCCAGTGCAGGAGGACCCTCTCTGAAACCCATTTCCATGGCATTTCACCCAGTAGGACTTTCCTTGTTCTGTTTCCTGGCCCTGTTCCCTGGGGCTTTGTCCTAAACAGATGGGCAAGCCATAGGGTAAGCCCTTAAGTAGGAGCGGGAGGCCTAGCATTGTCACCCTACAACCAAATAGTAGCTGCCACGCCAAGTGGAACATATACTCTCTGCTCTGCTGAAATAATGGGGTCATTTCCTCCCAGCCACATCCTGGAGCCCTTCACAGTCCAGGTCCAGCAGAGCTGCACCACTGGCATCTCAGGTAAGTTTTGTACATGCTCAGAGTGAAAAGGGTGAGTGGCTTCACTGAGGCACATCTATGTCTATTATTCTGCCTCTGACAGGTGACCAAGGGAAGGCTTTTTCATCACCAGATGGGTCTGGTTGGTCTACTACTCTAAATAGATCTATACACAACTAAGTTCCAGGCTATGCCACTATTAGTTGGCTGAGTATTTGATCACATTACCGGGAGCTGGTTTGAAAAAGAGAGGTGCAAGCTGTTGCCTCCTTTCTGTTTTAAAAACAGTCAGGCCCATCATACGTTGCCCACATGTATTATCTGACATTCAATTTGTAATTCTATAGTCTAAAACGTCAGGCCCTCTCACATTCATCACAGGGAACACGTTTCTTCATTCAGAGGGGCCAAGAGGTACAAGAATCACATGATCTATCCTTCAGACTAGGACAATTCTGAGAGTCAAAGAGGGAACCACTAATTATTATACCAGAACAGTGAGCATAAACCCTAACTGTCCCAGGCCAACCAGGATGTTGGCCATCCAATCCATTGGGATATACAGGGGAAAGAGACCCAAATCAGTTGAAGTAGAGTGTAAAGAAGAGGCATGGTGACATGGACTTGATACCAAGGTCTCAGACCACCTTACTTCTGGTGCTGCAGCTGGAATTAGGGGTAGGACTTCTGGTTTAGGAGCCCTTAACAGCTGATTCAACTGAACATGCTCAGCACTGCATAGCATTAACAAGAAAATCATGTGCCTGGTGACAGCTGGAATCAGGGCTGTGAAAAAGCTTATAATGGGGTCAGAGGTGGAAACAGTAAGAGGAGACTTCAGACTTAATCTGAGATTGAGGAAGCAGAAACAGCAAGATGTAAAGTTAAAGAAAAGAGCCAAGTGTGATGGCACAGTCCCAGCAACTGGGGGGCTGAGACAGAGGATCACTTAAGGTCAGAAGTTAAAGACTGTGGTAGGCAATGATCACACCTGTGAATCACCACTGCACTTCACCCTGGGCAACATAGCAAGACCCTGTTTCTAACATAAAACATTTACGATTTTTAAAAAGAAAATAAATTATCTCAAACAATGAGTACTCAATGATTTAGAAAGAATACTGAAGCAAAAGTACAGTCCTATGTGGGAGGGAAATTCGAGAAGTCAGAAAAGCAAGTCTGTTTGTGAAGTTTGTTTAGAGATGAAGTCCAGCATAGTAGTAAATAGTGTGAACAGTGTTCGGGTGCAGTGGCTCATGCCTGTAATCCCAGCACTTTGGGAGGCCAAGGCAGGCAGACCACTTAAGGTCAGGAGATTGAGACCAGCCTGGCCAACATGGTTAAACACCATCTCTACTAAAAATACAAAATTTGCCAGGCATGGCGGCACACGCCTGTAATCCCAGCTACTGGGGAGGCTGAGGCAGGAGAATCACTTGAACCCAGGAGGCAGAGGTTGCGGTGAGCCGAGATCGTGCCTCTGCACTCCAGCCTGAGTGATAAAGCGAGACTCCATCTCAAAAAAAAAAAAAAAAAAAAAAAAGTAAAAGAAAAAATAAAAGAGTGTGAAGAGTGTGTATTCTGCGTCAGACTGACCTGAACATTCACTCTACATTTTCTAACGGCGTGACATCAGTTGTGTATGTCTCACTTTTCTTATCTGTATAAGGAGAATAGTGAAGGTATCTTTTCATAAAGCATTAGGGTAATGGGTAAATGATAGATACATCAAGTCACTAGGAATTCTAAGAAGGCAAGTGGAAGAAAACACTCAAGGAAGATAATCAGCATTGTAAGTTTCACATGAATAAAGAGTGTGTAGAGTGGAAAGGAAGGAAATGGCCAGGAGGCCATTGTTACTTTTCCAGGCCCTGTGCAGGCTGCCCTAGTTATGGCCTACGCTGGTTCTTGACATAAAAGCAGAATGAGAGGGCTAGGCTTGGTATTAGCAAGGGAAAGGAATTCTAAGGCATTAGGACAGACGTGGTCCCAAAGCCAAAGAACCTGAAGCTGAAAATAACCCTTCAAAATAGTCTAGACCTTGGCCTTCCACAACACTGTATTAAAACTATTTTAAGGTTAAGACCCTGGGTAGGAGGCTGAGTGCGGTGGCTTATGCCTAAAATTCCAGGCTTTGGGAGGCCAAGCTGGGAGGATTACTTTGATACAAGCCTGGGCAACATAACGATACCCTATCTCTGTAAAAACTACAAAAATTAGCTGGGCATGGTGGTTCATGCCTTTACTTCTGGCTGCTCCGGAGACTGAGGCAACAGGATCACCTGAGCACAGGAGTTCAAAGCTGCAGTGAGCTATGATCACGCCACTGTACTCCAGCCTGGGCGACAGAGTAAAACCCTGTCTCTTAAAAAATAAAATTAAAAGCCTTGGTAGAAGAAGATGATGGGTGCTATGGTCCGAATGTGTCTTTCTAAAATTCATAGGCTAAAATCCTAGCCCCCAAAAGTGATGGTGTTAGGAGGTAGGGCTTTCGGGAGATGATTAGTTCATGAAGGCAAATCCCTCATAAATGGGACTAGTGCCCTTATAAAGGAGGACATAGAGAGCTGCCTTGTCCCTTCCACTCTGTGAGGACACAGCAATACAATGCTGCCTACGAAGTCGAGAGCAAACCCTCACCAGACACAGAGTCTACGAGGGCCTTGATCTCAGATTTCCACCCATCAGCACTGTGAGAAATTAATTTCTCTTGGTTCTAAGACTATGGTACTTTGTTACAGCAGCCCAAGTGGACTAAGACAGTGAGTTATGAAAGATGAATATAAATTTTGATGTAAAAGAAAGAATTGAGCAAGATGTTTAACTCTAAGTGGAACCCAGATGCCACCTATCTTGGATGGCTTAGAAAGTTGCCAGACTGATCCGGGGCTGATCCTTTTGAGATCCCTTCTATAATATTAATAATGTAAGACTATACTTTCAGGGATCATTCCTATAGTTCATCATTAGAGAAGTTCTCTGAACATGTAGAGCACCGAGACAAGAAATAACTAAGATCAGAGGAGAACTGAAGGAAATAAAGACATGGAAAACCCTGGAAAAAAAAAAAATCAATGAATCCAGGAGGTAGTTTTTTGAAAAGATCAACAAAATAGATAGACCGCTAGCCAGACTAATCAAGAAAAGACAGAAGAATCAAATAGACACAATAAAAAATGATATAGGGGATATCACCACTGATCCCATATAAATACATACTACCATCAGAGAATACTATCAACGCCTCTATGCAAATAAACTAGAAAACCTAGAAGAAATGGATAAATTCCTGACACATACACCCACCCAAGTCTAAACCAGGCAGAAGTCGAATCCCTGAATAGACAAATAACAAGTTCCAAAATTGGAGCAGTAATTAATAGCCTACCAACCAAATAAAAGTCCAGGACCAAACAGATTCACAGCCAAATTCTACCAGAGGTACAAAGAGGAGCTGGTACCATTCCCTCTGAAACTATTACGAAGAACTGAAAAAGACGAAATTCTCCCTAACTCATTTTATGAGGCCAGCATCATCCTGATACCAACACCTGGCAGAGACATAACAAAAAATGAAAATGTTAGACCAATATCCCTGATAAACATCGATGCAAAAATCTTCAGTAAAATACTAGCAAACCGAATCCAGCAGCACATCAAAAAGCTTATCCACCACAATCAAGTCAGCTTCATCCCTGGGATGCAAGGCTGGTTCAACATATGCAAATCAATAAACGTAATCCATCACATAAACAGAACCAATGATAAAAACCACATGATTATCTCAATAGATGCAGAAAAAGCCTTCAACAAAATTCAAAACCACTTCACGCTAAAAACTCTCAATAAACTAGGTATCAATGGAAAGTATCTAAAAATAATAAGAGCTATTTATGACAAACCCACAGCCATTATCATACTGAATGGGCAAAAACTGGAAGCATTCCCTTTGAAAACTGGCACAAGACAAAGATGCCCTCTCTCACCACTCCTATTCAACATACTTTTGGAAGTTCTGGCCATGGCAATCAGGCAAGAGAAAAAAATAAAGGGTATTCAAATAGGAAAAGAGGAAGTCAAATTGTCTCTGTTGGCAGATGAGATGACTGTATATTTAGAAAACCCCATCATCTCAGCCCAAAATCTCCCTAAGCTGATAAGCAACTTCAGCAAAGTCTCAGGATACCAAATCAATGTGCAAAAATCACAAGCATTCCTATACACCAATAATAGACAAACAGAGAGAGAAATCATGAGTGAACTCCCATTCACAATTGCTACAAATAGAATAAAATACCTAGGAATTCAACTTCTAAGAGATGTGATGGACCTCTTCAAGGAGAACTACAAACCACTGCTCAAGGAAGTAAGAGAGGACACAAACAAATGGAAAAAGCATTCCAAGCACATGGATAGGAAGAATCAATATCGTGCAAATGGCCATACTGTCCAAAGTAGATTATAGATTCAATGCCATTGCCATCAAGCTACCATTGACTTTCTTCACAGAATTAGAAAAAACTACTTTAAACTTCATATGGAACCAAAAAAGAGCCCGCATAGCCAAGCCAATCCTAAGCAAAAAGAACAAAGCTGGGGGCATCATTCTACCTGACTTAAAACTATACTACAAGGCTACAGTAAGAAAAACAGCACAGTACTGGTACCAAAACAGATATATAGACCAATGGAACAGAACAGAGGCCTCAGAAATAACACCACACATCTACAACCATCTGATCTTTGACAAACCTGACACACACAAGCAATGGGGAAAAGATTCCCCATTTAATAAATGGTGCTGGGAAAACTAGCTAGCTGTATGCAGACAACTGAAACTGGACCCCTTCCTCACACCTTATACAAAAATCAACTCAAGGTGATTAAAGACTTAAATGTTAGACCTAAAACCATAAAAACCCTAGAAGAAAACCTAGGCAATACCATTCAGGACATAAGCATGGGCAAGGACTTCATGTCTGAAACACCAAAAGCAACGGCAACAAAAGCCAAAATTGATAAATGGGATCTGATTAAACTAAAGAGATTATGCACAGCAAAAGAAACTACCATCAGAGTGAACAGGCAACCTACAGAATGGGAGACAATTTTTGCAATCTATCCATCTCACAAAGGCTAATATCCAGAATCAACACAGAACTTAAATTTACAAGAAAAAACAAACAACCCCATCAGAAAGTGGGCAAAGTATATGAACAGACACTTCTCAAAAAAAGACATTTATGCAGCCAACAAACATATGAAAAAATGCTCATCATCACTGGTCATTAGAGAAATGCAAATCAAAACCGCAATGAGATACCATCTCATGCCAGTTAGAATGGCGTTCATTAAAAAGTCAGAAAACAACAGATGCTGGAGAGGATGTGGACAAATAGGAACGCTTATTACACTGTTGGTGGGAGTGTAAATTAGTTCAACCATTGTGGAAGACAGTGTGGCCATTCCTCAAGGATCTAAAACTAGAAATACCATATGACCCAGCAAACCCATTACTGGGTATATACCCAAAGGATTATAAATCATTCTACTGTAAAGACATATGCACACGTATGTTTATTGCAGTACTGTTTACAATAGCAAAGACTGGGAACCAACCGAGAAGTCCATCAATGATAGACTGGATAAAGAAAATATGGCACATATACACCATGGAATACTATGCATCCATAAGAAATGATGAGTTCATGTCCTTTGCAGGAACATGGTTGAAACTGGAAACCATGATTCTCAGCAAACTATCACAAGAAAAGAAAACCAAACACCACATGTTCACACTCATAAGTGGGAGTTGAACAAAGAGAACGCATGGACACAGGGTGGGGAACAACACACGGTGGGGCCTGTCAGCGGATTGGGGGCTCGGGGAGGGATAGCATTAGGAGAAATTCCTAATGTAGGTGACGGGTTGATGGGTGTAGCAAATCACCATGGCACATGTATATCTACGTAACAAATGTGCACGTTCTGCACATGTACCCCAGAACTTAAAAGTATAATTCAAAAAAAAAAAAGAAAAATAATTGGCTAAAAAAAAGATGTGATTTTCTTTTCTTTCCAACAAATATGATTTTATATGTTTGAAACACAAACAAGAGTGGTAAGAAGAAGATATGGTTGGGGCAAAATGTAATTCTACCACTGCATCTTTCTCACCCTTCCCACCCTATTCATCATGAAGACATCATAGTTTCCCAACAGGATCATGCCTTTAAACAGGATAGACTCTCTGCCTGGCATGTCTTCTTCCCCTTCCATGTTTACCTAGAAAACTCTTCTCTATACTTCAGCATTAATTAAAGAACCACCTTTTTCAGGAAGCCTCCTATGATATGCAGGTTATTCTCCATTTGTCCTCACCCCATGTCCACTTTCTGACCTTCTTTCCTGCTCTGTGCCAGGATGGCTGAGCCCTGGAGAGTGCCCTACTTAGATCCTTTTGACAGCTGACTTTCATTTGGGTTTTACTGCTGGAAAACAGCCACAGGAGTTGAGAAGATGGAATGAAAAAGTGGTTGGAATATTTTTTGCCTGGCCCTTTATATCTGGGGAAAGCTGCATCTCTTTGAGGCCATGCTCCTAGCTGCCACCCCCTCCTTTGTAGCTCTAGTTCTTACTGGGCTCTGGTAAAACCATTTCCTTTCCTTGACCTTTCAGCCTCAAAGTGTTAAGAGCATCCCATGATTGCTAGACTCTGGGTGCCTCAACGTCTCTTTGTGGCTTCTTTAACCTCGAACATGCCCCTGTAAAAAGTCCCTTTAAGAAGTTCACTCACTTGAACCATGAAGGCTGAAACTGACATCCTGCCAAGACTCTGACCCCAGATTCTCCCTTTTGAGAATCTTTTCTGTGCCCTTCCTTTTTACTCCTGTAGCATCCTCCACTTACATCTGCCATAGTAATTACTACAGGGTATTGTAATATTGGTTCCCTTGGGTGGTTCACTGGGTGGCTAGTTCTTTAAAGGCATGATTTTGATTAGTAGGCCTGGCACGTGGCATTCAGTAAATACCCAGACCCACTCATTCTGACTTAACAATTTCTGAATACTTTAATGCCTGTCTCAAAAACAGATAAAAGGAACACTTGATGTAACAAAAACTCAATAAGTTATAATATGAACATAATATTGGATAATTTTTCCATCTTGCAAAGCGCTTTTATATCTCTCGGCTTAATTGTGATGTGTCTTTTCATGAAAAAGCACATTCAGCTAAATTCCAGAACCCAGAAGTCTGAGTGAGTAGAACCTACCACTCAGTCAAGAACTGAACCCAAGTACCAATCAGCCTGCACTCAAATGCTGGTTCTTCTTCTCTCCAGTTCTGTAACTGATATGGTTTGTCTGTGTCCCCACCCACCTCTCACCTTGAATTGTAATAATCCCGACATATCAAGGGCGGGGCCAGGTGGAAATAATTGAATCCTGGGGGCAGTTTCTCTGATACTGTTCTTGTGGTAGTGAATAAGTCTCATGAGATCTGATGGTTTTATAAATGGGAGTTCCCCTGCACAAGCTTGCTTGCCTGCTGCCACGTAAGATGTCTTTTTGCTCTTCCTTCATTTTCTGCCACAATTGTGAGGCCTCCCCAGCCATGTGGAACTGTGAGTCCATTAAACCTCTTTCCTTTTTAAATTACCCGATCTTGTGTATGTCTTTCTTAGCAGCATGAGAATGGACTAATACAATAACCTTGGATGTTACCTAAACTCTCTGTGCCTTAAGTTCTTATCTATGAATAGAAGAAAATAGTACACTTCACCTTATAGTGACCATTAAATAAATTGATAGGTATAAAGTTTTAGAATGGAGTCAGACACCTAGTAAATGCCCAATACATATTATTTTCTTAGTCTTTTTAAGATCATAATCTCACAAAGATGTCCAAAAAAATACTTCTTAGCTTTTCTTGAACCAAACGCCTACCATAACATCTCAGAAAGAAAAACAGAATATTCCCTGGCCAGAAGGCTTAAGTCTCAACTCACCAGAGCCCCAGAGCTCATATTTTATGTTTTCTTCACAAACACATTAATATTAACTAACATTGATTAAGCAACTTTGGTATGGCTGGCTTTCCAAGATGTGCTCTGTCTCCTCCATTACAAGAGATAAGGAGATAAACAGAGTTGGAGACAGACAGCCCCAAGTCCAAATCCTGGTTCTGTCCCTTGGTGGACATGAGTAGCCATGTAAGTTTTCTAACTTTTTCTTTATCTGAAAAACTGTAAGGATAATACCGACTCATTGAGTGCAGATGCAAACTGATTCAGACAACACATGCTACGTAGTAGCCACTTGTAAGTGTCATTGGGATCCTCTTCCCTCTAATGGAGAAGACCAAATGAGGAAAGAGGTACAGGGCCATATAAAGGAGGCCTCGTGCTCACTCTGCCTGGGCCCAGCAACACTTGTGCCCCAGAGCATTCCTGCTATCATTAGGTACAGTCCTCAACTTCCTCATCACCACCCCCTCCAGAGAGGGAGAGGAGAAAAAGTCAACAGACCCAGGTAAACTTGTATTATCTCAGCCTTGGGATTGCCGTTCCATTTTCCTTCACCTTCTCAAACACTGCAGTCCTAAAGTAGAACCAAGCAAGGTGAAGGGATCAGCCCAGTGTGAAGTTTCTGGGTATGAGCTGTTTAAGAAAAATCAAAGTCCAACATGGAGGTGAGCCAGTGTGGGTCTCAGAGCCCAAGAAGAATGAGGAGGAAGTCCAGGCTAAGGGCTGGCCTACATGGTCTGTGTTGGGACAATCAAAGGCAAGGTGTTAAATCTGAGTAGGCTGAAGAGGCATCAGCAAAGGGTGTGAACCAGGACGAGATATTGGAGCTTAAACAGTGACAACTGGGCACTTACCAGGTTGGGGGAGGAGACAGCAGCATTGACGGGAGATTGATCATACACAGGATGAATGAACATGTAAGCAAATATATCAAGGGTAATAGAAATCAAGTTCCTCACTGGAAAAAGAAGCGAGTTACAACATGGAAAGGAGAAGAAAATAGAATAAACTCTGTAGTATTGATTTGAAATTAGAGGTATCACTGTGAAGTCTCCACTTTTAGTATTTGTAGATACAGACATTAATATAGACATAGTGGGGTAGTAGGTGTGTGTGTGTGTGTGTGTGTGTGTGTGTGTGTGTGTGTATCCCTTGCTTCATCCACTGGGAGGTCTGGGAGTCAGTGTCAACCCCAAAGCAGTGAGCACGTCTAGTGGCCCTTCCTGGACTTCTGTATACTATTTTGCACAAAAAAAAAAAAAAAAAAAAAAAAACCCACAACCACCATGGTTCCATGGAGAAATGGCTGACTCCAGGGCTAAGGTGAAAAAAAAATACAAGACAAATCTGGAATATCTGGTTGTATCATAAACTAAGGAGCTACAAAAAGGATGGTGGCATAGCACAAGAACACACAAGCCACCTTATATCAACATGGGATTGTCCTTTCTATTTTACTCAATGACTTGTAACCTGTGACTTTCATCATTTATTTTGATGCTCAATTGGTCCTAGTTTTGGCCAGTGGGAGCATCAAAATAAATGAATAAAATGTTTGATGAGGAACAGGGTATTTAGAGATTATTTAAGTAACTCCTCATCAAATATTTATTAATCACAAATGGGAAAAGTAACTTTCAAGATGCCTAGAAGGCATCATCTTAATAAAATGATTAAGAAAGATGAGAACAATCAAAACCATGTGTCACATAAGATGCAATAAGGAGGTGGCTGGCAAGATGACTGAATAGGAACAGCTCCGGTCTGCAGCTCCCAGCGAGATCAATGCAGAAGGTGGGTGATTTCTGCATTCCCCAACGAGGTACCTGGCTCATCTCATTGGGACTGGTTACACAGTGGGTGCAGCCCACAGAGGATGAGCTGAAGCAGGGTGGGGGGCATTGCCTCACCCAGGATGTGCAAGGGTTTGGGGAAATCCCTCCCCTAGCCAAGGGAAGCCATGAGGGATTGTGCCGTGAGGGACGGTGCTATCCAGCCCAGATACTAGGCTTTTCCCATGGTCTTCAAAACCCGCAGACCAGGAGATTCCCTCTGGTGCCTACGCCACTAGGGCCCTGGGTTTCAAGCATAAAACTGGGTGGCCATTTGGGCAGAGAGCCAGCTAGCCGCAGGAGTATTTTTTCATATCCCAGTGGTGCCTGGAACACCAGCAACACAGAGCCGTTCACTCCCTTGGAAAGGGGCCTGAAGCCAGGGAGCCAAGTGGTCTAGCTCAGCAGATCCCAACCCCACGGGCTAGGGGAGGGATAACATTAGGAGAAATACCTCATGTAGAGGATGGGTTGATGGGTGCAGCAAACCACCATGACAGGTGTATACCTATGTAACAAACCTACACACACTGCACATGTATCCCAGAACTTTAAGTATAATAAAAACTAAAAATAAAATTTAAAAAAAGATTCAATAAGAGGATGGCAGTTTCATTTCTAGCACACTTCTGAATCTAATCTTGAGAAAACATTACAGAAACCCAAAATAAAGGACATTCTCCATAATTAAAAAGTCACAAAGTAATAGATGTTGGTCTGGATGTGGTGAAAAGGGAACACTTTTACACTGGTAGTGGGAATGTAAACTAGTACAACTGCTATGGAAAACAGTGTGGAGATTCTGTAAAGAACTGAAAGTAGAGCTACCTTTCTATCCAGCAACCTCACTACTGGGTATCTATCCAAAGAAAAGAAGTCATTATATGAAAAAGACACTTGCACATGCACATTTATAGCAGCACAATTCGCAATAGCAAAAATACGGAACCAACCTAAATGCCCATCAACCCATGAGTGTATAAAGAAAATGTGGTATATATACACCGTAGACTACTACTCACCATAAAACACAAAATAATGGCCTTTGCAGCAATTTGAATGGAGCTGGAGGGCCATTATTCTAAATGAAGTAACTCAGGATTGGAAAATCAAATATCACACGTTCTCATTTATAAGTGGGAGCTAAGCCATGAGGGTGCAAAGGTGTAAGAATGACATAATGGACTTTGGGGATTTGAGCGAAGGGTGTGTGGGGGGGTGAGGGATAAAAGACTACATATTGGGTACAATGTACACTGCTAAGGTGATAGGTGCACCAAAATCTCAGAAATCACCACTAAAGAACTTATTTACGTAACCAAAAACCACCTGTCTGCCCCAGAAAACGTACTGAAATTAAAAAAGGTAAATAAAATGGAGGACATTAGCAAGACACCTGAACTGTGTTCAAAAAGTGAAGGTCATCAAAGTCCAAGAAAGACAGAGGAACCCTTCTAGATAGAAAGAGACATGTATAAATGCAATGCATGATTCTGGATTGGATCATCCTGCTGAAAGACGTAACTGAGCAACTGCAGAAATGTGAATGGGGTCTGAGGATTAAATGGTAATCAGGTACCGATGTCACCTTCCTGTTTTGATAGTTGTTTTGTGGTTGTTTAGAATAATGTCCTTGCATGTAGGAAATACAACTGAAGAATTTAGGGGTGATGGGGCATTAAGTCAGCAACTTCTCTTAAATGGTTCAATTAAAATAAGTTATTTTTATTGTATTTGCAAGTTTTCTGTATGCTTGAGGGTATTTCAACATTTAAACATTTGTATATTTTTTAGAAATCTACAACTAGACCTGCAAATTTTGTTCAAGAGCAAGAGTGGCAGGCCCTGCCTTTCACAATTACAGTATATCTTCAAGGGTTCTTTTTTTCCCCCTTTTATTCTGTTGGGCTAGTTTTGCTGATGCTGTGTGTTTAATTTTATACCCTGTGCTAAGAATGTTTTAAATCAGAGAAGAAGGCCAAGAAGGCAGAGTAGGAGTGAAATAATAGACTCCAGTGATCTTTATGGATTTCCAGGGCCCTGAAAATGCAAACACTTATTATGTTGACCTCCCCAGCTTTGCCCGTAATTGAAGGTATCATGACTACATAAGAATCTGGCTCAGTAATTGCTACCATAAACTACGCGCCACAGACCTTGCTGCAATACACTTGGCTCTGGCTGCCAGCGGGATTCACGCAAACCCCTCCCAAGGTTCCATCAATGGGGCAGTCTCAAGACAAATGCCCCTTAGTAGGAGAGAAATCTGAATGCAACTTCTTATTTCATCCGGAAAACAACTGCCATGCTATTGCCTTGGAACCCAAAACCATTCCTGAACGGGGAGGCTGCCAGGGAATCTGTGGCACAAGCAGGAAAAAAGACTAGGTTTAAATTTGGCTGAAAGCCCCCAAGCACCGCAATTTTAGTGTGTTCAGGTGATACAACAAATGCCACAGGGTGGCTCAAAAATAACAGAAATTTATTTCTTACAGTCCTGGAGGCTGGAAGTCCAAGATCAATGTGCCGTAGATTCAGTGTCTAGTGAAGACCTGCTTCCTCTTAGATGGTTCCCTCTTGCTGCGTGCTCATGTGGTGGACAGGGTGAGGGGTTTCTGTGGGGCCTGTTTTATAAGGGCACTAATCCTATTCAGGAGGGCTCTGCCCCTGCACCCTAATCACCTCTAAAGGCCCCATCTCCTAATAGCATCGTCTTGGGTAATAGCATTTCGACATATAAATTTAGGAGGACACAGATGTTCAGATCACAGTACCCCACAAATGTGTTTTGTTTAATCTGTGGTTCTGGGGCTCAGAATTCAAGGGAGAAACTCCTCCACTATCTCGTGGCTGCATCAGAGTAGGGCTGACGAGGGAGGAAAGGTGAACTTTGTAGTTTTGAGCCCTCTTAACATCTAAAGAGACTGATTTCAGTATTCAGAAGATAACCCAGAAATTATATAAATGGAAGGTTTAAAAGAAACAACTTTATAGTAAGTTCCTTAAAAACAGACCTTAACCTCTTACTTTAATTTGAATCATACAAAAACCGAAAACACCCATCTAGAGCTCTTGCTCTGACAAGGCCCAGTTCAAAACCACTTGAAATTTACAGACATAGGAACAGAGTCTATAGAGTAGACTAGAAAAATTGCTCTGGAGTCAGACAGACGTGGGTTCAAGTCCTAGCTCAGCCAATTACTAATAATTATTGTCATCATCCTATGTATAAATATCTCCAACTATGAAATGAGAATCTGACTAATACTGCTTGGTATATACAGTTGTTGGAAGTATTTTAAGATATTAAATATATAAAACACTTAACAGTTGACTCATGAGAGACACTCAGCAAATATGAGCTATAGCTATTATTATAAATGTTGTTGTATCATTTTATTAGTCAAAATACAATAAGCTATTCTGCAGTTACAAATCCTCAAACTCTCAGTGCATTAACAAAATAAAGGCTTATTCCTCACTCATATCAAGCTTAATGTGAATCAGACCACCCTTCTCTGTCATGTAGTTTATGCCATCTGGGACACATTAGCTTCCAAAGCTGAAGTGGCAGGCAGAGGAATAGTGGAGGGCATCTAAGTGCTGACCTGAAAGAGACATACATCACTTCTGCTTATATACCTTTGAAAAGGCATCAATCTCGTAGTTCTAAGGGCAGAGCATAAGGTCTTTCCACGTGCTAGAAGGAAAAAGGCATATGAACACATAGCAGTATCTCTTACACAATAAGCAATAAGTAAGGGCCGTAAGAAAATAAGATCAAAAAGCAAAGGTCAACTGACTTAAGGACCTTGAGCATCACAAGGGACACTTAGGTTTAAAAAGAGCCACGGGGCTGGGAGCGGTGGCTCACACCTGCAATCCCAGCACTTTGGGAGGCCGAGGCAGGCGAATCACTAGATCAGGAGTTCAAGACCAGCCAGGAACCAACATGGTGAAACCCCTTCTCTACTAGTAACACAAAAAAATCAGCTGGGCTTAGTGGCAAGCACCTGTAATCCCAGCTACTCGGGAGGCTGAAGTGGGAGAATGGCTTGAACCCAGGAAGTAGAGGTTGCAGTAAGCCTAGATTGCACCACTACACACTCCAGCCTGGGTAACAGAGTAAGACTCCATCTCAAAAAAAAAAAAAAAAAAAAAAGAAGAGAAAAGAGCCAAGGAAAAGGCGAAATATAATCAGAGTCATAAAAACGTAGACATGTAGACATATTGGCCTGAGAGCATAGAAGAGAGACCTCTCTTCAGAGTAGGAGCAAAAAAAATGAAAGACAGATCTCATGGCAGAAAAAGCACCCAAGTTGGAACCTGAATGATATATATGACTAAACCCAGAGTTGAAAACATGGACGTGCTCAAAAATCAATAATTTTATGTGGACACTCTCACAGCCAATTGCACAACTCATAATTGTAAGCATGTTTCTAAAAACAAGCTAATTCTCTGGGAGAATTCAGTACGTCCACACAATTTCCTCCAGCAAAAGGTGAGGAAAGCTAAAATAATACTGCAGGAATCTAACATATGGAGTTAAGCAGGATGTGAGCCTTCGTAAGCCCAGTTTCTATTCAGCCATCGATACGTTGTTCTCAGTGGGCTCCGGGGAAGACTGAAGAATTTTCTGGGTCATCTACTATTATGTAACAAATTACCCCAAGACATGAGTTCATGTTGAGTTCATCTGGGTGAGTTTTCTGTCTCATGTACCACAAATGATGGCCACTTATTGGTGGATGGTCTGATCTGGGGGTCCCAATGTGGCTTCACTCACATACCTAGCACCTTGGCAAGGATGACTCAAAAACTGGGCTTAGCTAGGACTGCTGACCTTAGTGAAACACTGATCTTGGCCTCTCTGGCATGGCAACCTCAAAGTAATCCGACTTTTCACATGGCGACTCAATGTTCCAAGAGCAAGTGTTCCAACAAGCAAAGTGGAAACACTATGACCTTTTCTGACTTAGTCTCGAAAGATCCACATCAATTCCACCATGTTATATTGGTTATGGAAAACCACTGAGTCTAGCCCAGATTCAAGAGGATAGGAATTAGACCCTATTTATTGATGTAAGAAGGGGTCACATATTTGTAGTCATTAATTGGCCACACTGAGGTTTTGAAAAATTAAACATAGGAAAATACTTTAAAAGCTAAATAATCAAGTGATTCTTGATTAAGTCTTTTCTGTTTATAGGTAATAGTGCTAGGAAATGAACATAAAGTCCTGATCGGGGCCAGTGGGTAGCAGACATTCACTCAATAACATGAAGTCTCATTTTTGGTTCCAAAGAGCAGCATGTACCCAATCAAGTAACTCCACCTCCCATGCATCGGTGTCCATGTCTGTCACGTGGGCACAGCCATGCTTATCCTGCCATGGCTGAATTCATGGAAGGCAGGAAAAGGCTTTGAAAAGTGTGGAACGCTCTAGTGCCAAGCACTACATTATTGCCAGCCATGGAATATACCTTCAGGGAACTGTCTCGTTGGGAAAGTAAAACCTTGCTGGCATGAAAAATAAAGTGCAAAGAATACAAGATGGAGAGTGACCAAGAACTGGACTGTGAGGCTCTGACTATAAACACTGCATGAAGGAAGAAAAAAGAGGGACTGGTATAAGCTGTTGGGGAAAAATTGCCAATATATCAGACTTCTTTTCCACTGAAGAGAGATGACGGATTTGCAACTCTGGGGGAACTCAGGGAATTAACATTCTAAACATGCTTGCACACACTGTTGTTTTGTCTTAGGATGATGCTTTACGTGTACCTAGTTCAAATAGTATCTAGCCAGACCTATACCCTTAACCTTGGCCATCCCCGACTCTGTCAAGGTACACAGAAACCACAAAGGAGGCATGCTGTGGCCCAGTGCTGTTGGCAAAGCACAAGCTTATGAAGACTTTGGTCCTCCATACTGCCCTTGACTTCATTGAACTTTTAGGAGGCTGAATCTAACAAGCCCTGAAGCCTCTCCTCAGGCCTCCTCTTTGATCTCTCATATCTGCTTCTGAGTGACAGCTTCTGGAGATTGTGTCACCTTTGTCCAGAACAGAAGGAGCTCAGCTCTTGGGGACCAGTTGCTGGTACTAGTAGTTGGCCAAGCTGCCAAGAGGGCTCTGGGCTGGGCTAGAGGCCATTTGGCTCTAGTCTATGGGGGTAGCAGGGAAAAACCAGATGTCAGCCCAAAAATACCCTCCCTTGAATCATGACCTCTGTCCCTGGTTCCCTGAGACTTGTTAGGTCCCATCAGAGTCTGCATAGAACAAACTTCTTTCAACACAGCAAGCAGAGGCTGGACATGGCCAGGAATACATCTCTGAGCCTAAGCTCCAGTCTCTGCTAACTCAGGGTCTTCTACTTTGGGGTTCTTCTCATACAGGGGTATCTCGGCCCATCCTGGCTGGAGGTGCTTACAGCCAGTTTCCAAAAGGGAACAGAAGTGAATGAACCAGGCAGACACTCCACACATGCCATCACAGATGACATGACAAAGGCTCTGAGAAGCCAAGGGACTCTAAAGTCAAAGGTCCAATAAGGAAGGAAACCCAGACTCTTAGAGCCCATGTGGCCACCCTGCCCAACACGTTTTCCAGCTGACAACTTATGAAATTTGTTCTTTTTCTGCTTTGCCACCAGCAAAAAGACTAAACTCTGAGTGAAGAGACTCCTTCACTCAAAACCCTGTTTTCGGTACCACGTTCCCTGTTGGACCTGCATTTTTGAGGGCCTATGGGAGCTGAAGGTTTTTTCTCCATATTTTTCCTACTCTCAGATATTTTAAATATGCCTTCCCCACCCATGCTGTCAGTCCTCAGCAAGATTGTGCGCAGTTTCCCTCTAAGACTTCCTTTCTTCAATGTCCAAATGGAGATACTGGCTTTGGGCTTGTGTGTGTGTTATGTGTGTATTTGCACATGTAAATGTTAGAAACTTTACTCTGTTTTATTAAAAGTTCTAAACCTTTTATTTTTTTGAGATGGAATCTCGCTCTGTACCCCAGGCTGGAGTGCAGTGCTGCAATCTTGGTTCACTGCAACCTCCGCCTCCCGGTTTCAAGTGATTCTCCTGCCTCAGCCTCCTAAGTAGCTAGGATTAAGGCACGCACCACCATGCCCAGCTAACTTTTATATTATTAGTAGAGATGGGGTTTCACCATGCTGTCCAGTCTGGTTTCAAACTCCTGGCCTCAAGTGATCCACCCACCTCAGCCTCCCAAAGTGCTGGAGTTACAGGCATGAGCCGCCATTCCTAGCCAAAAGTTTTAAACGTTTTTTAATGACTTCTTTTCCACATCCTTTCCTGTGGCTTCCTGGGTCTTCACACTGATGACTAATGGGCCGGGCATTGACATGGGCCGCATGAAGACTGGCAAATTCCTTTAAGTTCTCTCCTTTCTCTTTTACTACATTGATTTTTCCTTCCTGTATACATGTTTGTTGGGGCTTATGGATCCTGTCAGCGGGGATTGTAAAGGGGGACTCAAATTCCTCTGTAGAGCCGTTTCACTTCTGGAGCAGAGGACCTCCTGGGGAAGAGAATGTGCTTGAACTTCCTCTAGCCACTGCACATAAGCTGTGCATTGTGGCTTCTGAAGCCACAGAAACACCCATAGTCCAACCCATTTTCTTAGACCACTATCTACTTTTAGGTCTCTGAAGCAAACCCTCTGCCACCCCGAACTCCCCTATGATACCTCACAGTGGGCTTTCTACCGCCGGCCAGATGGGTCCACATGCAGGTGGGTGAAGTTCTGTGGTGTGTGCCTTCAGGTCTGCAGATTTCCTAGCCGGCTGGTTGAACCATGAGGCCACTGCTTCTCAGCCTTGTGGAAGTGGGCTTCAGAATTTTGCCATTTCCACCTGGAGCCATGTCTGTCCAGTGGATTAATTGCTACCCAATTCAGCAATGAAAGTTGGGGTCAGAGTTACCATTACTATTATTATTGACAGGGTAGGGGTCTACAGTAAACAAAGACAACAGCAAGGAGTAGGGCACAAGTGGAGCAAGAGCTGAGTTCTGGATTCATACCAAGCTGAGTGTACATCCTGACTCGGACATTTGCAGTGATGCCTTGGACAAGTCATTTATGCTCTGTGAATTCCAGTTCTTCAGCTATAAAGTGTGTACATTAGTACCTGAATTACATGATTTTATAAGAAATAAAGGTAACAACAGATACAAATTGCTCAGTAGAATAGACATTCACCATAGGTAAACTCCCATTCCTTCCCCACCTGAGTAGAGATTTCAGCATCTCAGACCCATGAGATGAGTCTGGTAGATACTGGTAGGTATTTGGAGGCATGAGGACTCCTATATGGTAGCTCAAGACTCAGCACATGGGCAACCTCTACTCTGCAAACTGGCCCAGAGGCAACTGCCCTCTTTTGCAAGGCCCCGGACTTTCTTCCCCAGAAGCCCTGCTCGGCTTCTTTCCTGGCTTGGTCCACTGGGATTCCGTGAGGAGGCAATCAGCATCCTTATTTTTCAGGAGCCAGAAGAGTCATCCCAGGTGAGCACATGAACACAGACCTGCCTGACTTCATGCTGCGACAGGAAGACAGATAAACCAGAAAACATCCACCCCAAATGGAAAATTCCTCCCCAAAGATAGATTCACTTCATTAATAGGACCCTTTCATCAATAAATTAGCTGAGAGATACTCTAGGGGCTGCAAACGTGAGCCCTACCACAGAGTAGTTAGGTCTTCACCCAGCTTCAGTTACATATTTGGTTGTATTTGTCTCCCCAGTGAAACAGGCATCTCCTTCAAGGCCAGAACCCTGATTCCTACAGCACCCAGCACAGCACAGACACTCCATAAATATTTTCTGAAATGAACTGACAGGTACCATCCGTGCTGCCACTGCTGACTCTAAGAGACTGAGGAGGGTTGAGGCCGCCAGATCTCACTTCTTCTCTAGGACAAGTCTGGCTTCAGCACAGCTACATCTTCCGAGATTCCTTATGCACAGGCAAGTGAGAGCTTCCCCCTTTCTTCATACTTACTAACTTCAATACATCTAATTATTATCTGTACAGTTGGGTAAGTTTGAATCACCTGACCTCTCTGAGTCAGTTTCAGGGTTTTAAATGATTGACAGCTCCAATTAGCTGTAACTAGCAAGGATTAAAAACATGCATCAGACAAGTTTTATGGCTAGACCCCCAAGCTTCTTGTATCTTCATTCGAGATGAGGGTGGAGGCAGGGACAACCTCATACTAGTCTCTCTCCCTCTGTCTCTAAACCAGATGCAAGAGACCCAGGCAATGTGAAGTGGCAGAAGAAAGTCATCTTGCTCACTGGAGGGCCACCCTGCCTTGGTTTGCATCGTGTTATGTTTGGTAGCTGATAATGGAAAGAGAGCTGAACCTTAAGCAGAGTGAGGAGGGAGGGCATGGAAAAAGAAACATAAAAGGATGACTTTAAAAAAAAATCGTGGAGGCCGTAATCCCTATTGCAAAGGCTCACTAGGAAGGCCCGGCATAATCACTCTGGCTCTGTGGCAGTTATCCAGCTTTTGTTTACCTAACAGTTTGACAATGCATATTTATGCAAATCGGCAATGGAGCTGTGTTGGCTCTTCATTAATTAGCATCTGATTCCTTGTGTAGTAGCCAGGCTTTGAGAATTCAGCTAATTTGATAAACAGTTGATTTTCCCTTCAAAGGTCTTTCATGTGGTGGCTCAGCTTGGATTGAAGCTGAGTGGCAGGTGGGAATGACCTAAAGGTGGGAGATGAGGACATCTGGGAAAGAAAAAGGTACCAAGCAGAAGGTATAGAAACAGAAGCCAGGGAGACCCTTAGACTCCAAGAGCTGGAAGGTGTCCTAGAGGTTATGGAGTCCAACCCTCTCAATCTAGATTAAGCATTTCCCTCACCTTTACTATTTTGGAAGAGTCCTTGTGCATTAGTCTCAATTAACCCTCACAAAGGCCTAATTTTTAAAAATTATGGAGCTGCACATGATGGCTCATGCCTGTAGTCCCAGCTACTCAGGAGGCCAAGGTGGGAGGATCACCTGAGTGCAAGAGTTTGAGGCTGCAGTGAGTTATGACTGCACCACTGCACTCCAGCCTGGGTAACATATCAAGACTCTGCCACTACAGAAATTTTTAAAAATTATCTGGGTGGCCAGACACCGTGGCTCACACCTATAAACCCAGCACTTTGGGAGGCCGAGGCAGGCAGATCACAAGGTCACATGTTCAAGACCAGCCTGGCCAACATAGTGAAACCCCATCTCTACTAAAAATACAAAAAATTAGCCAGGCTTGGTGGCAGGAGCCTGTAATCCCAGGTACTTGGGAGGCTGACGCAGGACTATCACTTGAACCTGGGAAGCAGAGGTCACAGTGAGCCGAAATGGTGCCACTGCACTCCAGCCTGGGCAACAGTGCAAGACTCCGTCTCAAAAAAAAAATTAGCTGGGCCTGGTGGCACATGCCTGTAGGCTCAGAGCTTTGGGAGGCCAAGACAGGAGGATCGCTAGAGCCCAGGAGTTGATATCAGCCTAGGTAACACAGTAAGACTCTGTCTTTATTAGTCTGTTCTCATGCTGCTATAGAGAACTACCTGAGACTGGGTAGCTTACAAAGAAAAGAGGTTTAATCAACTCACAGTTCTACAAGTTATCTAGGAGGCATGGCTGGAGAGACCTTAGGAAACTTGCAATCATAGCAGAAGGTGAAGGAAAGGCAGGCACAATATTTACGTGGCCAGAGCAGGAGAGACAGCCCAAAGTGGGAGGTGCAACACACTTTCAAACAACCAGGTCTCGTGAGAACTATCAGGAGAGCAGCAAAAAGGAAGTCCGCCCCCATGATTCGGTCACCTCCCACCAGGCCCCTCCTTCAACACATGGGGATTACAGTTCAACATGAGATTTAGGTGGGAACACAGAGCCAAACCGTATCACCATCTCTACAAATAATTTTATAAATTAACCGGGAATGGTGATGCACACCTGTAGTCCCAGCTACTCTGGAGGCCAAGTGGGGAGGATCACTTGAACCCAGGAGTTTAGGGCTACAGTGAGCTATAATCACACCACTGCACTCCATCCTGGGTCAAAGATCAAGACCCCGTCTCTAAAATAAAAATTTAAAAAGAATTTAAAAATTATGAAGCATTATCTCTGATTTCATCTCCACAATAGCTATATTGGTAACATCATCCTGTTTTTCAGATGCAGGAGCCATAGTTCAAGGAAGGCTGGCTAAAAACAGCTGAGGTAAGATTCAAACTCAAGCAGCTTTTCCCAGCCTCACTCACTGTCTAAGAGGCTGAGAACATGGGAGCTCAGAGAAACACACCAATGTGGGGAGAGGCATTGGGAGGCTGACCTCACACTTCATCCAATCCAGACAGACAAACCCACCTGCCTCTGCTGGGAATTAACAGCCTGAAAAGGCAGCAGAGCCTGGCCTGGAGGAAAGTGAGGGCAGCTCAGGGTAGAGCTGTCAGCTGAACACAGTGATTGGTTCTTTAGGTTTTTATTCTGGGATGCTGGTGAGCAGAAGCCACAGTCTAAGAAAACCACAATTCCCTAGACAGCTGTGTCAGGGTCCCACAGCTCTCACCTGGAAACACCTATTTGTTCCACCTCCTGGGAAGCCTTAGGCACTTCTGGTATTGTTACACCTGCTCCCCACCCACTCAGCACCCTATTTTCAAGGTCCTTTGTCTTACCTGTCTCAGACCACCACACACACACTTCACTCACACTCTTGTACCGAACTTCCTCCCACTCTACTATTCTGAGCACAGGAACCTGGCTCAGCCCCAGAACTGACCACCCTTTTTGACCCTACCCCACCCACTCTGGCCTCTTTCCAACCCAGGCTTTATTAATATATCCATCTAGTTTGCATCCCACAGAAGGAACACAGATGTCGCTGCTTTTAGCCACATTCACCACTAAAGACAAGGAAAGCACAGAAGACCTTTATCCCTGCAGAAACAGCAAGAGCCTCTATGGCAGCCTGGAGCTCCCAGGGACTGGGGAAGGCCCTGGAGCTGGGAGGATTACCCTCTCCAAGAGGCCACCCTCCTGGCCCAGTACATTTCCAACAACATCTCACACTTGGGAGTTTGCAGCCCCCATTCTGAGTGGGAATCCATTGGCTGTGACAGAATATAAATTGACAGCTGATGTTAAATGAAGTCATACTCTCCCACTCAGAGGCTCTGGAACATGCCCCTGTGAGTCCCTTCAGCTGTCTTCTCTTTTCATCATTCATAATGTCAACACTTTGTTTGCAGAAGGAAACAGAGCATGAGCAACCACATTCCCACACCGTTGCATGCTAAGTCCACTTGCCTGCCCTTAACTTCCCCAAGCCAGTTGTCTCGGCATCCCCACCCAAACATCCCTGGGTATACAGAGGCAGTGGAATGGGACTGGTCATTAACAAACCAGCTGTAGGCCGGGCACAGTGGCTCACGCCTGTGCCTGTAATCCCAGCACTTTGGGAGGCTGAGGCAGGCAGATCACAAGGTCAGGAGATCGAGACCATCCTGGCTAACACGGTGAAACCCCATCTGTACTAAAAATACAAAAATTAGCTGGGCATGGTGGCAGGTGCCTGTAGTCCTAGCTATTTGGGAGGCTGAGGCAGGAGAATGGTGTGAACCCAGGAGGCGGAGCTTGCAGTGAGCTGAGATCGCACCATTGTACTCCAGCCTGGGTGACAGAGCGAGACTCCGTCTTGGGGGAAAAAAATAAAATAAAATAAAACCAGCTGTAGCTGCCTGCAGCTTCCCTATGCTCCTTTTGCCCTGCCCAGGACCTGGGTCCAAGCCTTTGTTTCAGAGGGATTTAGGGATGAAGGTCTTTAGGTCAAAGCCAAAGGGGAGCCAGGCTGGGATTAACCCTCTGAGTCTCAAAGTGATAAACTGCCACATGCACACCCTCAACTGGCTTCCTGAGCCCTGATGCTCAGCTATGCCAAAAAGTTTTCTCAAGGCCCTACTATGTGCAGGGCACTGAGGCTGGTGTGCTCTGAAAGATTCGAGCTGGGAATTAAAACAATGAAAAACAAAATGGCTGTGATCACAGCTTTGCTCAGAATACATTTGTAACTGCAGTAAGATAAGCTTTAGCCACATGAAAGAAAACCTTGTTGGAATCCCAGGTCTGCCTCCAGTAACTTGGGAAAAGACCAAGGTTTGATAAGGCCCCATCAGCACTGATATTCTGGAAAGAGAACCATTCGTATCTTATTATTAGCACCCCCACCTGTTCAGCCTTCTTAGCTTGGTTTTAAATATATGTCAGTTAAGGAGGGCAGGGATGATAATTCCCAGTTTGTAGATGCAAATTGCAAGATCACAGAGGCTGAGTGATTCTTCTATGTGTGTCCAGCAATTAAGTTCTGGAGCTGGACTAGACATCATCATGCCCACCACCCCACAGCTGACCTGGAAAACGCCTTCAGGAGCAAAGCATCTCACAGCTATCCTCAGCTCACAGACGTTCCCCTGAATTGGTCTCAGAATGTGGCTTTGGTGACTTTTCTGCCACCTTGACATCCTCCCCACATCAACTCTGCTCTTCTCAAAATGTGGCTTTTGGAGATGGCTGGGGTGCAGTGGACCTGTTAGCTAAAGGCGGCCTCCCCGGCCTCATCAAACCGTGATTCTCCCAGGCCGAATTCTCCCAGGCCAGCATCCGGTTCTTTTCTGCACTTGACTATTTGTGGCTGCAGAGCACCCGAGGGTGCCGAGTACCCCTGGAGCAGGAACGTTGACGGCACACAACTGAGGGTCTAGTCTTCTGAAGCCCAGACACAGTGAGGAAGCCTCCTGGGCTTTCAAAGACAATCTGAGAAGACCCCTCTCCCTTCTGCCGAGAGAGAAAATGTTGTACTTGGAAGAGGCTCCCAGCCCCTGACTACAGCTTTGACTGAGCTAACATATGGCCTGGGGCTATTTCCAAGGCTTTATTACTCACCAACAAGAATTATTTGTTCAACTGAAATCCACCTAGAGCCTTGTTTTGCTGGAGCCCCATAGCTTACTGTTCATCCCAACCCCCCCCTTCCAACCCTCCCTATCATGATCCTCACTCCTAACCTAAAACATGGATTCCCACTTTGCTGGGACTATCCAAGCCATCCATCCTCAACTCCCCCGAAATCAACAACTGCATCTCCATTGAGTCCCGTACCCTCCTGTCATCAGGGAGTATCCTGGACCCCATGTCTTGTCCTTCTCAGCAGCCTTAAATAATGTCATCAGTTACTACCTCTCTCCTGCACCGTTAACCTCCCCACCCTCTTAGATCCGTCGTATTGCCATTTGAGCATGATCTAATCTTTCCATTAATGAAAGTAAGAATATTTGTAATCTCTACATTTCGAATTCCCTTCTAGCTTTCTTTTCACAGCCACACATTTCCCCCACCCCTAAAATTGTTTGTGCTTGGCTTCTCCGATTCCTGACTTCCCATTCATGCCTCAGTCCAGTCCAATATGACTTTTGCCTCCACTTCACCAAAACAGTTCTCAACGTCACCAATGGCCTCCATTTCACTAAATCCACTGGACAGTTTTCAGCATTCCTGTCAAGTGACCTCTTAGTGGTTTTCAACAACCCTGTTAACCTCTCTCTCCCTTCTTCTTGAAACACTCTTGTCTGGGTTTCTCAATCACTGCAGACAATTCTCCTAGTTTTCTTCCTTTCTGGTCAACTTCTCAACCCCATTCCAGCCTCCTAATCTTCTACAGCCTTTAACTACTGGCTTTCCAGGGCTCTCCCCATGCCCATTTCCTCTTCTTTCTGCATTCTCTCCCTAGCTGATTCCACATCCCGTATTGTTACAGACAGGAAACAGGGAAACATTGGGTAAAAGGGCGGTTCCCCAGCAAAGGCCCCACCCTCAAGCCTGGAGGCCTGCAGCCCTACATGAGGACAGGCATTCCTGTTTTCACACCCAAAAAGTTGCCTTTTGGCCAGCCGTGCCTTCTATCCTGTACCAATATAAACCCCGAACCCCAGGGTGCAGAGGCAGACGAGATGAGGAGACAAGCAGACAGATGGAAGAACATGGCAGAGAAAGAGAGAAAAGGAGGAACATCTGAATGCCAAGAGGAGTTCGGCTGGGGGCAGTTGGAGAGGGGTTCAGCTGCTGGACAGCCAGGCTCCAGAGGAAGATCATCTTCCCACTCCATCTCCCCTTCCAGCTCCCCATCCATCCTGCTGAGAGCCACCTCCAACACCCAATAAAACCCCGAATTCCTCCTTCAATCTCATGTGTGACCCAATTCTTCCGGGGATGCTAGGCAAGAATTTGGGATACAGAAAGCTGTCACACTGGCCCTCTGCCCTTGTGAAAAGGCAGAGGGCCCACTGAGCTGGTTAACACTAACCACGGACAGCAGGGCTAAAGGAGCCCACTGTAACACATGCCCACTTGGGCTCCTGCACCTGTCCATCTACATGCTCTCCTTCCCCTCAGGGGTTTGGGCAACGATGACGACCAAACAGGTGAGCCACACCCCTGTCACACATTCTGCAAGGGGGATCAGGGAACTCTCCTGTTTCACTGTGACTACAATTTCCATCTATCTGCCAATCTTGTATCTCCAGGCTCTAGGGCTTGAGAACCATTTGTCAAAGGCTGCCTCGGCAACTCCCCAGAGCACGGCACAGCACAGGAGCCTCAGTCTTGAGATCTGCTCCAGTGGGGCCCATCTCAAAATAGCATCCCTTTCCCATCCTCCCAGTTGATCATGATGGAAACTCAGGAGACATCTTGCAGATAAGCCTTACTGCTTCACATCCAATCCATGAACAGTCCAGTTGTTCCTTCTAGCTAGGCTTCTCTCAAAACTGTCTTTTCTCTACCTTCACTGCCACCCTTCTGGTCTATGTCACCATGATTTCCCAACTGGACTCCCTTAATAGTTAATAGCCCCCCTACTTGTCTTCTGTATCTACTGTCCCGTGGCAACTAAAATATTTCTAATATAAATTTAATCATTGCTCTCATTTTCCTACAACTTTTCAAAAACAAAATTGTTACTATGATCTATAAAGTCCCACATGACCTGAGACCTCTTGTCTACAGCTCCGATCTCATCACACAACTCTCGCCCCGAGTCGTTCTTTCCAGAAACATCACTTTATTTCCTAACATATTTCAACTTCTGACCCCAGGGCCTTCTCTTCACCTCAGTCCTCTCTATTCTTGCTTAAACTGGTTCATTTCTTTTCTTTTCACTTTTTTTTTTTTTTTTGAGACACAGTCTGGCTCTGTTGCCCAGGCTAGAGTGTGATGCCACCATCTCTGCTTACTTCAACCTCTGCCTCCCAAGCTCAAGCAATCTTTGCAACCTCCCGAGTAGCTGGGACTACAGGTGTGCATCACTATGTCTGGCTAATTTGTGTATTTTTTGTATAGATGGGGACTCACTATGTTGCCCACGCTGGTCTCAAACTCTTGGGCTCAAGTGATCCACCCACCGTGGCCTCCTAAAGTTCTGGGATTACAGGCACAGTAAGACAGTCCCTGGGCCGCCTGGTTCATTTCTACCTATTCTTCCAGTGTCAAATGTCTCACGTTTCCACTGTCAATTGAGTGCCCTTGCATTTCACTCTTATGGTATCCCCTAATGTCATTTTGTAGCACATATAATAGCTATATTAAAGTATTTTTGTATATATGTCTCTCCTAGGAGACATATATCACTCCATGATGGCAGCATCTACTTTACATGTATATCCCAGGATCTATTACATAGTAAATGCTCAATAAAAAGTTGCTGAAGAATACTACACTTTGAAAATAACAGAAATAAACTAGAGTCTTCAGAAAAGAGAGCCCACAAGGCACAGGGGCCTTAAACAATGCCATGAACTAGGATTTATCAAGAGTACCGATATACAGGGCAGACCAGCCAGCCGTATGTTAGGCTAGACAGGAAAACCACTAACACTTGTAAAAAACATGCAGTTCATATAGCATTTTCACTTAGCACCCTCCCTCAGCAACCTCCACCTGGCAACATTCATTTAACGCAAAACAAAGAGCCTCAATCCCCTGTATGGCCTGTGTTCCATGAGATGAGTCAGGGGTTTGGATGGTCCTCAGAGATGAAGAATGAATCTCCAGGTTAGCTACTCATGGATTCCTTAGCTTAGAACTCCCAACACACATTCTTTTTAGACCCCAAGTGATTCTCATGGTGTGATTAAGTTATTGCCTTCAGGTGCATCACCATGCAGAGTCAGTCTCAGGGTGGGCTTAAGTTATTGCTGTCAAGTGTGTCTGCATACAGCATCTTCCTCTCTGACAGCCAAAACTGTCTGCAAATATTGCCAAATATCCTGTACTCACCCCAACATCACAGCTTGCAGTGTCTGACTGAGGAAACATCAGACTGTGCGGGAGGGGCTTTTTCTTAGTTTCAGCTACAGACAGGGTCCATGTCACATGGCCACAAAAGATTAGTCTCACAGACAATTTGAAGTGTGAGAATAAAGGGGTTTATTGGGCAAAAAGGAAAAAAAAGGGAGGGGGAACAGGGACTCAGCAGAGTGAAAGTCCTCCTAGTATATGCTTCCCACCTCACAGATTGAATTCCAGATTCTACCTAGGAAAGGAGGGGCCAGGCTCCTCCCTGCTGCAAACGGTACAAAATTCTGTGGCTCTAGCCCAGCACGCGCTCCTCCCAGTGTGCAGGCTGGTTGGAGTTTGTAAGGAGCATGACTGTGCTTTGGTCAAGGATAGGCTGAGCTAGGATGTTTACATCCTGCAAGACTCAGTGAGTTTAGAGCGCAGACACATAACTCTACTTGTTATCACAGCCATGTAGCCATAACATGGGAAGGCCATCTCTTGGCCCTACACCACTATTGTCTGTAAAAGCTGTAATTGCCCTGCTGACACTGTACATGAGCTTGCACCCAGAGAAAGAGTCAGAGCTCTCTCTCTTTGCAGATGGACTGGGGTCGGAGGGGTAGGTGCAGGACACAGCTTGGCTCACTGCAGAAAGAGTTAAGCTACTGACCCTGAAGCCAAGGGAGAACCAGCTGCGCAGCTGTGTGGGGGAGCTAGCTGCTGAGAGGAGCCACAGGGCTGGCTCATGCAACCCAGACAGGGCTGACAGTGTGTGAAAGCCGCTGATTAGAGAACAGTGTAAAAGAGCTAGTGTAAGTAAGCTGCTCATCAGAGAGCTGCTGAATAAAGCTGTATTTCACCTGCCTAGGGCCCCCCACGTGTTCTTTCAGCTATCTGCTCATCCACCCACTCCCTTCAGACCTCAGCATGGGCTGGAACCTGACCTTGAACCTGACAGTTTCTCTGGGGACCCCTTCCCACCTGGCTGTCTCAAGGCCACAATGTCCATGCAGACAAGAACACACCCACTGCAGAGTAGGTTCTCCTTAAGTGTTAGCTCTCATCTTCAGGAGCAGCAGCAACTCCAATCTTTACAGTGTCAAAACTTGGGAGTGACTCAGGACAATGGTTCTCAAATTTGAGTGTTCATCAGACTCATCTAGAGAGCGTGTGACAGCACAGTGTGCTGAGTCCCATCCCAGAGTTTGTCAATCAGTAGGTCCCTGGCTGGTCCCTGATCATTTACATTTCCAGGTGATCTTGATGCTGCTGGTCTGATGCTGCTGGTCTGGTAGGGTGACCAACTACATAGGTTTGCCTGGGACTGAGAGAGATTCCAGGACCTGGGGATTTGCAATGTGAAAACCAGAAAAGTCCCGGGCAAACCGGGATGCATTGGTGACTTCATGCGGTCGAGACCACACTTGGAGAACCACAGTGTAAGGAGATAAGATCAAGTGGGCTTGATGAGAATTTAGATGTGAAGGGTGAGAAAAGGAGGAATCAAAGGCAACCCTCAAGTTTCTAGCATGAGAGAATTGGTCCATGGTTATTCAGTGGATCTCAAATTTTTCTGTCCATTGGAATTACCTAGAATCTTTAGAAATACTGATGCCAGGATCCGACCGCCAGATATTGGGACTTCATTCGTATGGAATGTGACCCAGGATGCAAGATTTTAAAAATAAAAAAAAACCCTGGTGATTGGAATGCACAGCAAAGTTTGGAAGACACTGGGTTATTCCCTTCTCTTAGAAGGGAATCCAGGAGCAATGTAGGAGTGGGGGAAATTAATGTATTAATGGGCTCTAAGTGTTTGAGCCATCAGTGGTTCTCAACCTAGCTACAGATCAGAATCCTCTAGGGACCATTTTAAACACATTCACACCTGGGTCCCCACCTCCCCAAGATTCTGACTTAATTAGCCTGGATTGGGCCTAAGCATTCATTGGTGGTTTAAAAATCTCCTCAGGTACGTACATGGCATATTATTCAGCCTTAAAAAGGAAGCAAATTCTGACACATACTAGGACATGGATGAAGCTTTAGGACATTATGCCAAGTCAAACAGGGCAGTATCAAAAAGACAAACATATGATTCTATGTAAATGAGATACTTAGAGTAGACAACTCCACAGAGACAGAAGGTAGAAAGATGGTTGCCAGGAGGGTGGGAGAAGACATGAAGACTTCTTGTTAGATGGATACAAAGTCTCAGTTTTGTAAAATGAAAAGTGTTCTGGAGATTGGTTGCAGACAATGTAAATGTAATTAACACTACTGAAATGCATACTTAAAAATGGCTAAGAATGGTCAATTTTATGTGTATTTCTACCACAATTAAATATTTTTAAAACAATTAAATATTTTAAAAAGGAAAAACACAACAGAACAACGCCATGATAATAGGAAATGTTTCAACCATACTTATATGCCAGGTACTGTTCTAAGCACTTTATTTATATTACCTGATTAGTCTTCAGAGCAATGCTATTAGCAGTTTATACTGTTTTTTTGTTTGGTTTGAGACAGAGTCTCGCTCTGTCACCCAGGCTGGAGTGCAGTAGTGTGACCTCGGCTCACTGCAAGCTCCACCTCCTGGGTTCACGCCATTCTCCTGCCTCAGCCTCCTGAGTAGCTGGGACTACAGGTGCCCACCACCATGCCCAGCTAATTTTTCTTTTTGTATTTTTAGTAGAGACCGGGTTTCACTGTGTTAGCCAGGAAAGTCTGGATCTCCTGACCTCATGATCCACCCTCTTCGGTCTCCCAAAGTGCTGGGATTACAGGCCTGAGCCACCACGCCCGGTCAGGAGTTTCTACTGTTATCATCCTCATCTCTTCGATTGGGGAATGGAGCCAAAGGGACTGAGAAGTTTCCCCAAGGTTGGTTGGTCTCGGTCTCTGTCTCTCTCACACACACACACACACACACACACACACACACACACACACACACAGCAGAGAGCTGCACACCAGGCCGTCTCCTGGGCTGGAATTCTACCAATCCCCCCCCCCCCACCCTGTCTCTGTAGGAACTCAGGAAGATCCCACTGAAAGAGAAAAAACAAACTTTCTTCAAATACATGAAGTGCTGGCATGAGGATGTAGAAAGCTGTTTGCTCTGTGTTTGACCCAGGGGTTAGAATTCGAACCAATGACTGATTGAATGCAGGAAAACAAATTTTAGGTCAACATAATGGGGAAAACTTATGATAGCTAAATTTGTCAGAAAATAGAATGCACTGCCTCAGGAGGTGGTACTTAAGTAAAAGTTAGAAATCAACTGGACACTATAAAAGAGAAGCATATACTAGGTGGGCAAGTTGATGAGAACCTTTGATGTCTGTTGCATCCCTGACAATCTGCACAATTTATCTCCCATACTTTATACATTTCCATATATTGGGCTGGACTATGATAAATGCCTTTAGCACCATAACCATGAATCCCAATTATCAATTAAAGATTAATTGACTATTAATAAGGAAGGTTCCTTAAAGTCTCTTAAAATGAGACAGGGTATGAACATTTTTAAATATTTAATTAAATACTAAGAGAGGTAAGTGGGCTCATTTTAGAGCAATTTGCAACAAGATAAAGGTTTCCTAGCTAACACATAGCTAATCAGAAATTCAATTAATCAACACCAACATTACCCCAGCATTCTAGTCAATCCAGGATCTCACATAGAGCATTTTTCCCCTCTCCACATCTTTTAGCCACTTTGCCTGAGGGTGGTTAAATTCTATATCAATTTACATGTTTGTTTACACAATATATTGCAGACTGGGGAAAAAAATCTAGCCAGTCTAGCCTGTCATTCCTCTGCTTTTAAAGTAATTTCAGGGGTAGGGAGCGGGAGAGAGGGGAAAGAAAGAAATAAAAAAGAAAGTAAGAAAAAAAAAATGAAGGGGCTGGTAGGAGAGGCCTAAACACTGCAATTTTCCAACCATTTTCATCCAAATTGTCTGCAATTTCCCAGTGGCCCAGGCTCCAAATTGCGACTGAATGCTGTGGTAGTAATCCCGGCTGGAGCCCAAGTGCTGTCTCTGTAATAACAGCCAGACCCACAACAGAACATGCAGACGCACACCCTGCCAAGACAGAGTCCATGTTTCAGGCAGGGGAAGGCCAAAGAAATGATGCCTACATCCCTAGTCTCACTCTCTTGCTTACAGAAACAGTCCTTGGTAATTTGAGGTCTCCGGTAATCTGAGCTGGAGATATTACCAACTCTCTACCTTCTAATTCCCATTTCAGATATTACAAAGTCTCTACCTCCATCCCCTCTCTTCTTGTCACTTTACAGATAAGAAAGCTGGCTGGGCACAGTGGCTCACGCCTGGAATCCCAGCACTTTGGGAAGCTGAGGCTGGCGGATCACTTGAGGCAATGAGTTCCAGATCAGCCTTACTAACATGGTGAAACCCCGTCTCTACTAAAGCCACAAAAATTAGCTGGGCGTGGTGGCACACCCCTGTAATTCCAGCTACTCAGGAGGCTGAGGCAGGAGAATCACTTGAACCCAGCAGGTGGAGGTTGCAGTGTTGCAATGAGCTGAGATTGCACCATTGCACTCCAGCCTGGGCAATAGATGGAGACTCCGTGTCAAAAAAATAAAAAGAAAGCTTAGGCCCAGAGAGATGAAGTGACTTCCCTGAGGTCACACAGTGAGTTACTGTCACAATGAGGCTGAGACTTGGGACTGCTGGGTACCACTTCCTCCTCTACTTCCTTCTCTCTGACAAAAGATCTTGAGGAAAGATACTCATCTCTTTGCCAAAGCAACTTCTCTATGTGGGAATAAGGAGGAGAAATAGGAATAGAAACTAGAAAATTTAGTATTCTTTACCAAGGAAAGTCAATTCTATGACCTGAGTGAATAAAATCCATCTATAAATGAGAAAGAAGTCACATATCTAATGGTATGTGAATATCTTGAAAGTTCATTAACATTAATAATGAAGGTGATAATTAAATACATAAATATATGCTGTGGCAGGCATTAAATCTAATTATTGCACCTCTGAAAATCAATTTGTATGCATGTGGTTATTAATTTGTGGTTGTCATTAATTACAAATGACAAGATCAATACATAGCTCTTTCTTGGCTGCCACTGCCATGGGTCCATACAAAAATCCTGGTGATGTTAGGTTTCCTGGAGAAACCAGTTACAAGTTCTATCAAGAATTTTTCCCAAGAGGAAGAATTCTGAGCTGTGGTTCAGGACAGCTAGCTTCTCTACCATTGGAGTGTGAGTACCGGCCCTAAATGATCACTATGATTCCCCGTCTTTGTGTGTGACAAATGGGGACAATCTGAGTGTCACCTGCTCTGCTTCACCACCTCTGACTCAGGAGTAAGTTAGATGCAGATTCCAATCTCCTTTCTGCTACCTCCTCTTACCATGGGATATTGGAAGCTATTTAATCCCTCTGAATCTCTATTTCCTTATGCAATACAACAGATAATTGATGAGAGCATCTAAAACACAGCATCCAAGGCTAGGCACGGTAGCTCATGCCTGTAATCCCAGCACTGGGAGGCCGAGGTAAGCGGATCACCTCAAGTCAGGAGTTCGAGACGAGCCTGGCCAACATGGTGAAACCCTGTCTCTACTAAAAATACAAAAAGTAGCCAAGGGCAGTGGTGCATGCCTGTAGTCCCAGCTACTAGGGAGGATGAAGCAGAATAATCACTTGAACCTGGGAGGCGGAGGTTGCAGTGAGCCGAGATCATGCCACTGCACTCCAGCCTGGGTCACAGAGCAAGACTCCATCTCAAAAAGAAAACACAACACTACAACACAACAACAAACAAAAACCAACGACAAAAAAACATGGCATGCAAACAGGGCCAGGCACATGGCAACCGTTATTACTTACCACATTTATATCAGCCTGTTTCTATAGGAAGGTAAAGATTTTATAATAATAAATACTAATATATACACCTAATGGAAGTTATTTTCCTAGTTCTGCTGATGTCTCAAGGTTGCTAGTTGGTAGGGGATCAATGAAAAATAATATGTAAGTGTTTTGCCAACTGAAAAGCTCTCTGGCAACTTAAGATCAATGTGCTTCCTTATATGGAGAGAAGGTAAATCCTGGGGGCCCAACCCCTGGTGGCATCTCTGTCTCCACCAGGTACCTCCCATGGGCAATAACAGCTGCTCCTGCATCCTTGTGCAATCCGTTCTGGGAGAGCAACCGTGAATCCACCATATTAGGGTATTAGAACCAGCCTGATCCCTGGATGTGGTAGGTTGTTGTGTACTTTGAATGGCTTTAGAGGACAATGAAGAACCACTTTAGACCTTTAAAATGCCTTCATTAGGTACTTTTTCAAAGAGAACTTATTTCCAATCACAAATGTTCTTCACTTACGTAAACTTTAGTCAGGCTTCTGAACCATTTCCTAAGCCCTTCTGTGCACTTACTTATAAGATCCAGTTTAGCAAAGAAACTTGCTAAGTCACTTTGGCAAGGACCCTCCACCCTCAGTATCTGAATATCCTCAATATGTTCAGGTTCTTCATCCTCCACCATCTCCCAGGTGACTTTTGATCACCATGGCCTGTCTTGAACAAGAATCCTGTTACGTAAGTTTAGTCAGAATCCCCCTTACCCTGATGTTTCCTCTTAGTAATTTTCCAGCCCCTGGCCACCAGACTGGCCCTTGGCTATAAACTCCCAATTGCATATGCTGTGTTTGAAGTTGAGCCTAATTCCTCTCCCCTACTGCAAGACTTTGTTGCAGTGGTCCCTTATCTATCATGATGGTCCTGAATAAAGCCTTTTTTGCCGGGCTTTAACAACCATCATTGAATATTTTTCTCTTTAACCGTTATGATGCCATGACTAAGATCAGATTCATTACTGGACTCCTAGGCCTGTCACCTAGGATCCTAGGTGTGTACCTTTGAAGTTTTTGTCTTCACTTCTAACCAATCCAGGATTCACTGGTGAGTCAGATTCCTCAACTCGTGCTCTGGACAAATATCTTTCAATCCGGGAAAGACAGATTTCAATTCTGAATGTACGAGTAGACTCTGAAGCTGGGTTAGAGTCTCAGGCTTCTTTTCAAAGGCACCTCCTCAGCTGGAAGGTCTTCTCCCTGGCTCCTTGTTCTCAGTGGGGACTCTTCCCTGACTTTCTTGGCAGGAAGTCCTTCTTTCTGGCTCTCTGTGTGGTCTATTTTCTCTGTTTTCTCTATTGGATCCTGCTTCTCCCATAGGAACTTCTCTGTCACCTGAAACCCCTCTTTCTCAAGCATTCGCTGACTCTATGCTCTGCCAACTCTGTCTACCCCTGCCAGATCCTGTCACTTCCAACTCCAGCCCCTCACTCACTTGAGATTTAGGCTCCCTACTCTCTACTGGGGTGTTTTCAAGGGACTCAGCAGCCACTCAAAACCAAGCACCTGAGACTAAAAATAGGGAAAAAGATAAGCTATTTGGAAATTGGGCAACTAAAAACCCTAAAAGATCATCTTCAAAAATATTGGTAAAAAGCTATAGCCCTTGTTGAACAGGTAACCTCATCTTGTCCCATTTTTATGGAAAACACAATTTGAATAAATATATGAAGTAGAGATACACCTACAGGTTTGTATTGTTCTGTTTTACTGACTGAACTAAAATTTTAAAAATGAAAAGCCAGAAGATCTGGTTGCACCTGTATGTATATTTATGTACATATGTATGTTATGTGTATGTGTTTTTCTACCTCTGGATAATGTTGCCAAAACATACAGAAGAGTTCCATTTAATTGGCTTAAAAAATAACTGCTTATTTAACCCTTTTCCCATTTGTCCTGAGAATACTCACTGAGAATCTTGGAGTAAGTGCTGCTGCAGCACCTACCCCAAGATAACGTTGCCCCAAAATATCTTGCTTTTATTATTATTTTTGCATTGCTCTAGTATATTAACTGTGGAAACAAAAGACATCATTCTATTTATAGCATTGTTTTTGGTAATGTATTTCCATACATGAAATTTAGTCATTCTCAACCACTGAAATGTCAAATCCTAGAAAATGTAGCATTTCTATGCATAATGTTAACACGATTTTCGAACAGTTGTTGGCTGAAGATTCATTTGATGAGTCCAATTTTTTTGAAATAGATGATTCTGATGATTCACATGATTCTAATGTCTGTTCTGTTTAAAAATAATTCCAAGAACAGTTTTTACATTTTCACATTGAAAATCAGTCAGATTTGCTTCTGCCTCAAAGAGCATGTTTATGTAAAACTAATGAGTGCTGGCAGAGAGCTGCACTTTTTTCTCTAATCAGGAAGAGGGTTAAAGTATTATCTCAGAGAAACAGAAACTAACCCAATTGTCTTCTAGTTCATGTAACTTGGGTAAATGATGGGTAAATGAGTTAGTTGTAAAATTGTTGGTAAAATAAAAACAGGAATGTCTTCAAACTTATCAGCATTAAATACAATACAGACATTTATTTTTGCCTGGGTTTTATGGCCAGATATGTTTGTGTTGTCTCTGCTAGATGTTTAAGGACATAAAACTATAAATTCAACCTAAGGACAAAAGTGCACAGAGAAAGTAAATTCCTTAATTGTTTGATGCATGTCAGTCATGGAAGAGGCAGAAAAAGAGAGAAGAACCACTTTTAACTTTTTAGTTTATTTGCTTTTGTGATGTTTTTGATATTTGCCTGATTTGTCAACAATAAAAAAAAAAAAAACTTAAAAATAGAGGTAACTTTGTTTAGTGTCTCAAATTTTTCATGAGTAATTCAAACATAATTGTTGAGAATGAATCAGGTAACTAAGTGGAATAAAAGCTTTTAAGCAAACTTTTCAAAAATATGCTTTAAAGTATGTCTACTTAAAAATGGTTTAAAAAACTTTTTCAATGTAACTTGAAACCTTAGTTCTGCTAAATTAAATTGAATAGTACATACACATTAAAAATCTAGACCCAATAATGGAAAATGAAACTTATTTTGTGTGGTCAAATTGGCTAAGATTAGAAGATTTTACTGATAAGGTTCGATTAAAAAATTAGTTGTAGTAGTACACTGATGCAAAACTAGAATTTGGTCTTCTCTAATAAAATTACAAAGTTTTCTTGGAGTACTGATCTGAGAATGTGAAAGTTTCTTTTTAGTAATTGGCCTAGAAAACAAATACTATGTTTTGTCAAGATAATTTTTTATGCTTGATGTTGTCTTTTATCATGTCTTTTATTAGTTAAGAAAACCAAGTCTTCTCAATGTTAAAAGAGCTAAGTGTTTTATCATAAGTATGTAATCTTCTGTATTTCCCTTTAAAATATCTTATTGTCAGTTCCACTACATAAATAACCAAGACCATATTTAATTATGTTAAACCTGTTGACATTTTTGACAAACTTCTCAAAATTAAATTCGAATTAATTCTTTGTGACCTTGAATTAACCTTGAGATTTTCCAGTTGGGCCCCTGGAAAGTACAAAGCCTGTCTTTCTCCTTTAAAAAGATATATACTGAACTAATTACACCTGTTTTATATGTTAAATAATATAAGAAGCATTGTCAAATAAATGATGCTGAACATTCTTTAAGTTATACTTATGGGTATGTTATTGATATGAGTTTTCCAAAAATTGTATGAGATGTCTAGAAATCGAATATATACATTATTTTGGTTATTATGTTTAAATGTTGTATGCCACAGAAATAGCCAAATTTTCTTGTCAATTTCTATTTATAATGAACTCATATTTTTAACCATGGCCATTCTAAGTCTTTGTCATGTTGTTCTGATTTTTCTATAAAAACATCTGAAATTAGCTACAGTCCAAAATTGCTTCTCCTTCAAGGAGATTCATGTAAAAAAAAAAAGTAACACATACTTTTGAACACAGGTTTCTAACACTAAGATCATACCATTAAACTAAGAATTTTCAGAACTCTAATGAAGAAATTGATGGCTTCATGAAATTGCTAATTAAATATCAAGCATAAAAAGAATTATATGGAACTAAATGGACTGTTGAATATTAATTACATTTTGTTTGAAACATTGCTGGTTTTCCAAATGTTTTGTTGCGCAGATTTAAGAAGCCTTTTCCCTTAAAGCTATCTATAGCTTACAATTTGGTAAAGTATGCCTTTGTAAACCAAAATTGAAACAATTTTTTTCCCTACCTGATCCCTCCAGAATTCAGAAACTATTCATAAGTATTACTACTTCTATGGCAATATAGTTATTTGCATAAGTGCAATAAGAATCTGTTCTCCTTGTAACAATACACAATTGGAAACAGTGGTTATATTATCAAGGCTTTGACTGGAATACCATATTTTCAGATAGGATAGACAACTTTAAGGAACTAAGCTTGACTTTATGAAGCCAACAAAGCAACACTTTGACAAAACTGGCCTGAGGGTTTCCAGCCTTATAGGTGAGTAAGTAACGCCATTTTCTAGCAGGGCCAGGAACCTCATGATATTTTAAAGACTGCAAGAAGAGAGAATCTTATCTACATCTATAGGTGTCACAGATGCAGCCTGATGGTACATCCTTGGTTTGGCTTCCTAGGCTTGAGAGGCCTTTACAAGTCCAATCTGACATTTCTTGCCAAAAGTTTGAGTAAAGCAAACTTTAACCTGTATGGCCTATCACTATTTTTGTTGCACTATGTAAATAATCTAGTCATATTTAATGAGACTAAACTCATTTTGCAAACACATCAGTCTTACTTTGATTATCTTTGGTAGAAGTTGAAGTGACAGTATAGAGAAAAACTATGTTTCAGAGGAAAACTATAGTAAACCCAATATTAGATTCTAGCCTTGTTTGTTTGCTTTGAGGTTTTATTATTTTTCTGCAATCTGGACTTCATCCTGAATCCTTCCGATTTCCTCCAATATTTGACTATGACTCTTGACAATAATATTTCCAATATTCTTCCATATTTATGACTTGTAATCACTAAAATTAAAACTGCTTTTTTCCTGAAGCCCTGTAAGCTGAAGCTGGACAAATTGACATAAACTTCAGAGAAATCACCACAACAGTTTATGTATGAATAATTTTTGTGACATTCAAATTGCAAACCATTTGGAATGGTTTGCTAGAAAGTCTGTTAGATTGTCAATGCCTATCCTCACTCCAATTGAAGGTGCTTCAAGTTCACCATCTAGAAATCTTGACTGGCTGCCTCCCAGACTCAGAAACTGACTTCATCATTTGTTCCAACAATTAATCTTTGTTTTATTCTTTTATTTTCACAGAAATTAAACTCCCCTCATTAAAGACCTGATGGCTCACATTATCCAGGAGTCCTCCACTAGTAAGTCCCAACAGATGATTCAGCTGCTCCTTAATGAACACAAGGCAAATAAACAAGAAAACTGGCATATTATTCAAAGGAAAAAAGAATGTATTTTCTTTCTTTGAACACGAAGCGGGGCTGAAAAATTCTTTAGCTGGCTAAACTTAAGTCAAGATTCTGAACCTTCTCCTAGGCCCTTCTGTGAACTTCCTTGTCAAATTCCATTTTAGTAGAGAACACTGCCATGTCCATTCAGCAAGAACTCTCCATCCTCAAGATCTCGTTATGCTCAATATCTAATCACGTGTGGGTTTTCTTTTTTTTTTTGGTTTTGTTTTGTTTGTTTTGAGACAGAGTCTCACTCTGTTGCCAGGCTAGAGTACAGAGGCACAATATTGGCTCACTGCAATCTCCGCCTCCTGGGTTCAAGCCATTCTCCTGCCTCAGCCTCCCAAGTAGCTGGGATTACAGGCACGTGCCACCACACCCAGCTAATTTTTGTATTTTTAGCAGAGATGGGGTTTCACCATGTTGGCCAGGATGGTCTCGATCTCCTGACCTTGTGATCCGCCCACCTCGGCCTCCCAAAGTGCTGGGATTACAGATGTGAGCCACCACACCCGGCCCTGATCAGATTTTCATCTTCTACCATTCCTTAGGTGAAGTCTGATCACCTGGGCTGTCTTTAACCAGAATCATGTGAGATTGGTTAATACAGAATTGTCTTTACCCCTTGTCTTAGTTTGTTTTCCCCTGCTATAACAATACAACAGACTGGGTCATTTTTAAGAAATAGAAATGTATTTTGCTCAGCTTTCTGAAAGCTGAGAAGTGAAGAACATGGTGCAGCATTTGGCGAGGCTCATCTCATAGCAGAAAGTAGAATTGAGAGTGTGACAGACAGAAAATCAAGTACAAACTTATCCTTTTATCAGTTGCTCACTCTCATGGTACTGACATTAATCCATTCATGAAGGTGGAGCCCTTATTACCTAATCACCTTTTAAAGGTCTCATCTCTTAATATTATCACAATAGCAATTAAACTTCAACAGAAGTTTTGGGAGGGACATTCAAACTATAGCGCCCCTGATGCTTACTCTTAACAATTTTCCATCCACTAAGCCCCGCACTGCTCCTTGGCTGTACATTTCCACTTGTTCATGCTGTATTCAGAGTTGAGCCCAGTCTCTCTCCCCCACTATAAGACCCCATTGCAGTGGTTATATAGCTATTGTGATTGTCCTGAATAAAGTCTTCCTTACTGTATTAGTCCGTTCTCACACTGCTAAACTGAACTGCCCAAGACTGGGTACTTTATAAAGGAAATAGGTTTAACTTACTCACAGTTCTGCTTGGCTGGGGAGGCCTCAAGAAGCTTGCACATGAGGTGGAAGGTGAAGGGAAGCAATGCACCTTCTCTGCAAGTCGGCAGGAAGAAAAAGAACACAAGACGCACTACCACACACTTATAAAACCATCAGATCTCGTGAGAACTCACTCACTATCATGAGAATAGAAGGGAAAATCACCCTTCACGATTCTATTACCTTCAGTTGGTCTCTCCTTTGGCACGTGGGGACTATGGGAATTATAATTAAAGATGAGATTTTGGGTATGGACACAGCCAAACCATATAACTTACCATGCTTTAACAAGTACAGTATCATCAAATAATTTTTTCTTTAACACCAGAAGTAAGAGAGAAACAGATGTCCCGGTGCCAAAAGGCACTGACACTAACATGTAAATGACTGCTCCCAATCTCAGAAAATTAAGGACAGGATGACTCAAAGAGATGACAAGACTTCAAAGAATCAGCTGGAGGACCCAAAAAATAACCCTGCCAGCATCCCAGTTTTGCCTGGGTGACTCTGTTAACAGGTATCTACCTGATCCACACAAGGCTTGGCTGCAGGTATAATTTGAATAGATTGGCAACCACACCCCTCCTCTCCCAGCCCCTCCTCTCACATCCAGCCCTAGCACGTGGACTAGTCTTCCCAGCATGGAGTTTCTGGAGGGCACACATCCAAGCTAACAAGCAACAATACACTCAGAGTGCTTGATATTCCACGATGATCAAATTGGCTTTCCTGGAGAACCCAGAGATTAATGAAGCCTCCCACTACCTCCCCGTCACCCCCTACCTAGGAAAAGGCTTGCATGATTGTTCACTTCAGGGGAGGAAAATGAGAGAGATGTAACATCACACCAGGCTAAAACACTCATCGTAAATCATTTCTCCCAGACGTGACTCACTAGGGCTGTACATGGTTTCTTCATCTGAGAGGACAAGAAGACCCAGCTGAACTATTTCAGCACACACGAATGGCCTGCTCACTGGACTGCTCCCAAATCTCTGGCTTGTAGATTTTCAAGCGCAGCCTTTACCCTCAGGAGTAACATATTACCTAGCATGCTGGACCTGTTTTTGTTTTTCCTCCAAAAGCGTGTAAGACAATCTCTGCAAAGTGCCATGGTCTGTTAGCAGTGCCAGAACCTCTAGATTTTTCTTTGTACCTGTTCACAATTGTTATAGTTTATGCATTGAAAAGCATTTCCCTTTTAATTGATACCAAGGGGCAGCTCGCTCCCTTAAAGTGATTCAGGATTGGCACTGCTCGTTACAGGAGAAAATAGAAGGTGGGGCTGAAATGTAGCTAATTATGTCAGGCTCTAGAAAGAGAGCAGGCGAAAGCTTTTCATCTGGGACCTTTGCAGATTGCTAAATTAACAGTCTTGAGCTGATAAACCGGTTGGAGCCAGCCAATGGAGCACACCGGGATATAAAGGCCAACGCTGCTGGGGAGGTTTCTACTATCATCCGTGAGCTCTGTGAGGTGGTGAGGATTGGGCATGGGAGAGAGGGAGACGTGGGAGAAGTAAGTGTCCCTCAACCTCCCTGCCTACTTCTCCATAGTCTCATGATTTGAAGTCCTGGGAACATAGGTGAACCTGGAAGGCACTATGCTAAGTAAAATAAGCCAGTCACAGAAGGACAAATACTGTAGGATTTCACTCACATGAGGTCTCTAAAATAGTCAAACTTATAGGAACAGAGAGTAGAATGAGGGCTGCCAGAGGCTACAGGGAAAGGGAATGGGGCATGGCTATTCAATGTTATAAAGCTTCAATAATGCAAGATGAGTAAGTTCTAGAGATCTGCTGTAAAACATCATGCCTCAAGTTAATAATACTGTGCTGTAAACGTCATAATTTGCTAAAAGCGTAGACTTTATGTTAAATGTTCTTGCTACACGAAATTAAAAATATCCTGGCAGGGGCCGGGCGCGGTGGCTCATGCCTGTAATCCAGCACTTTGGGAGGCTGAGGCGGGCAGATCACGAGGTCAGGAGATCGAGACCATCCTGGCTAACACGGTGAAACCCCGTCTCTACTAAAAATACAAAAAATTAGCTGGGCGTGGTGGCAGGCGCCTGTAGTCCCAGCTACTCGGGAGGCTGAGGCAGGAGAATGGTGTAAACCCAGGAGGCGGAGCTTGCAGTGAGCCAAGATCACACCACTGCACTCCAGCCTGGGCGACAGAGCAAGACTCCATCTCAAAAAAAATAAATAAATAAAATAAAAAATAAAAATATCCTGGCAGGAAAAAACAAGGGGGTCAGCAAACTATGGCCAACTCTGGCCTACTGCCTGTTTTTACGTTTTTTTGTGGTTAGGAGTCAAAAAAAAAGAAGAAATATTGTTTTGCGACATGTGAAAATTATGTTAAATTTATATGTTAATGCTCTAAGTAAAGTTTTATTGGAACATGTATTATTTACACATTGTCTATAGCTGCTGTTCTACTACAGCAGCAGAATGGTGTAGCTGTAACAGAGACTGGCCCATAAAACCTAAAATATTTGCTATCTGGCCTTTAGAAAAAATGTTTGCTGACGCTATTTGCTGACCCCATTTGATGAGAGTTGGACTGTAGCTGTGAGGTATAGAAACTGCTTTGAACTTTGGGTGAAGAGATCTAGGTTTGATGCCTATTCCCAACTTTGGGGAAAAATTATATACCTCTCTGATGACAAGTATCTCCATTTGTAAAATGGAAACCATATATATTCCATAGATGTTGTTTTGAAATTTAAATAAGACGAGATACATGGGAGGAAAAAATTGGCACGATGCTTGGTATAGAGTAGATGTTCAATAAATAATAACAAAATGAATAAAAGAATACATTCACATATAACCTTTATCCTCTGCATTTTAAAGCTCCCATTTTGGTTCTAACTCTTCAAGAAACTTCCCCATCTTCCCAGCTAAACTTGTCCAAAATGGCCTCCTCCTCCTCTGAATGTCTGCAGTGTTTGCCAGACTTCTCTCTCTTTTCTACCTCGACAAGACCTCTTGGTGTTAGTTTCTATGGGTGTCTAGTTCATCTTCCCCTCCGGATTGTCAGGTCAGATGACACCATCACTGTTGTGCAGAATGTAGTTGAGAAGATGTGTACATGCTGTCTGTAAATGAGGAATGTCAAATACGGAGCTCAGACAACAACTTACAGAATTTCATAGAGGACTGAGGTGCTCAGTGAAGGCTCCACAGAGGAGGTGGGCCTGGAGCCGAGCTTGAAAGTTCACAGTGTTGCTTGTGCAGAATCTCCCCCAGAAAGAGACAAGTGGCACAAGCCGTGACAATAATACGTGAGCCAAGTATGGAGACTTATTTCAGGAATGCAGCAATTGGATTAGGGTGAAAGATGAAGACTGGTGTCAAATGAGTCAAGATACTTGGGGCTGCAAATGGCAGACAGCCATGTTCAAACTTGACAAAAACCTGAGAAAAATGTATCATCTCGCTTGACTAGAAGTTGAGAAAATAGAACTCTAGGCACAGTAGAACTTAGGTTCAGTTTCTCTGCAGTTCTCTTGACTCCATCCATCTTTGGGTAGACCTTGTTCTGAGACCTCGTTTCCCACGTGGCGTCAAGATGGCTGCCTGCAGCCCCTGCAGCCAATGTGCTCCCTTCCTCATACCCAGAAAGGCAGGGAGAGGGAAGACAGTCTCTCTCCTACCTGCGAAAGAAACGCCCTTTTCTTCTCTCTCACTGAGCCAGCTAGAGTCACATGATCACTCCCGGACCAATAGCAGCCTGACTTCCTGAACCGGTCTCCAGCAAGAGCCTGTAGTGGAATCACCATGACTGGCTTAGACTAATCAAGATCCACCCCAGCAAGAGCTTCACCCAATCACATAGGCTGCAAGGAAAAGGGATGGATTCCGGAATAAATTTGGGGTACTGTGAAGAAAAAGGAAGGAGGGCAAGATGCTGAGCAAGCTACTATCTGTCCTCTACAGCTAATAAATCACTACGAATGGCCTATTGAATGGGAATATCAAAATCAGAACTGCAGATGGTATCCTGAAGAAAAAAGTGGGTTTCTATGATTGCTCCCTGCCACAAGCAACTCAGACGTGGGTTTGTAATAGCCTGAACAAACCTCATAAAGTCTGGGCCAAAACATTTAGGAGAAGGAGGAGAGAGAAATAAGTTGTTATAACCCAGATTTCACTTTGACTTTCTGTGAAGCAGAGACAAAATACAGATAGATTAGATAGATAGATAGATAGATAGATAGATAGATAGATAGATAGATAAATATATATATACACACACACACAAACACACACACACACACGCACACACACACACACAGGGATTCACTCCACGACCTTTTATTGGCCCAAACGATAGCTTCAGTCTTTTAATTACTACTGCCCAGGAAAATAATTCCTCTCCTTGGCTTCCTCTCTACTGCAGCTTACCCAGAATAGCACATGCTGTATATTTTTTCAGAAATGACAGAAATATTCGTGGTGCTTGGGTTAAGTAATTAAGATTTGCTGTGGGAACACCAAGGAACCCCATTAAAATGGCTGTGTAGCTTGGCAAATTAACTACTTAGTGTTTAATTACTAAAAATTACTATCAATTACTAAATGTTACTGCAAATTACTTGCAGAATAGACACATTTGTTTGTGGGTATTAATGATTTCAATTACTCCTCATAGGTAATTGGTTTCTGTGCACACACGGGTATCAACTGTCGAATAGGAGCTCAGCAATAAACATTGTTCCTCTTCTTTTAGCTCATAGCTGAAAAATTAAACACTGGGCCCATAGTTCCTCTAGGTTTCTGTGCTACTTAACATTGCTTGCCTGAGACTCCTAGGGCTGGAAAGGACCTCAGAGACCTCTTCCAGGGAGCAGAGGAGGAAGCAGGACACAGAGGTTAGTGGTTACTCAGAATCACACAGCCAACACTACAGTATAGATCAACATCAAACACTTTCTGCACAGTGAAAGGATCTAGTCACAAAAGACCAAAACTGCCTGATCCAATTTATACAAAATGTCCAGAATTGGCAAATCTATAGAAATAGAAAGTAAATCAGTTGCTGCCTGAATCTGGAAGGCGGGGGAAAGAGCTGGGGAGTGAGAAGGGACAATTAGGGGAGTGAGGAGTGACTGCTAATGGGCACAAGATTTATTTGGGGGGTAACAAAGATGTTTTAAAATTAGATTATGGAGATGTTTGTATAACTCTATAAATACTCAAAACCATTGAATTATACACCTTAATTGGGTGATTATTGTGGTATATAAGTTATATCTCAATACAGCTGTTAAAACAAGTATTTTTAATCATATAATTAGAGAATGATAGGGCTGGATCAAAGAGCTGATGCTCCTGACTCCCGCTTTATCGTTCTTTCCACTGGACCATCCTGCTTCAACAGATGCCAAGCTTGCTGGAATTTGTAACTCACTGAAGAAGATGGCCATTAAGACTCATTGTTGAAATCGTGGTCTTATTTATGAAGGGCTCACTTCCAGCTATTTGTGGATTATTAAGAGAGTATAAACTATGTTCATTAAAGTAGCATAAAATGCAACCATAAAATGCATATAATAACTGAATACCAAATAAAATGATGTCTTAGCTTAGAATATATTCATCATGCATAAAACAACACAGAACTTGTGACAAGGGCTTGCCAGTATGTAGTTTATTTGGGATGGCAATCCTATGGAATGGGTTGGAGGGAATGGGAAGAGTAAAAAGGGAAAGGAGAAAAAGTCAATCCCAGTGTGTATGACTGAGTTGATTCAGTAGTCGCAAATAACTGAGACTCAATCCCACCAGGCCCTTGAAGAGTTGTGTACCCTGCTTCAGAATTGTCCACAATAAGGAGAGGGAAATATTCATGCATTGGCTCCTTATCCACCGGTAAAGAATTTGCCCAGACATTGTTTAACTCCCTAGCTCTTCCACATGGGTATTTGAACCAGCACAACTGAGCAATATCCCACAGCATCCTCCAAGGTAGACACAGAGAAGCTCAAGAGCAGAAAGTAAGAGAAAAGTCACAAGGCTCTAGCCACTCTGATCAGACTACCTGTGCATGCAACCTGCTGTTGCAGTAATTGCCAAAGTCACAGGTAAGTAAGTCGGGAAGGTGTAAGATGGAGGGTCCAAGATGTCCCACATATTATAAGAGAAACAGAAGCTCATCAACCACTCTAAGAAGAATCAAACTGAGGAAAAATTGAATTGGCAATGTGGGACGAGAAACTCCAGTCTAGAATAGAGTTCACCTATGCCTGGAAGATTGGAGAGCTGAATGGAATTCTAGCCTTCCAGCACTTTGGAGGAATATTACATTGGCCAAAAAGTCCTGCCTATACTTCTTCAAATAACCACACTCAAAAATAATACTTCTGGCCAGGCAGTGTCTCATGCCTGTAATCCCAACACTTTGGGAGGCTGAGGTGGGAGGGTTGCTTGAGTCCAGGAGTTCAAAACCAGCCTGGGTAACATGACAAAACTCTGTCTCTACAAAACATACAAGAAAAAAAAATGAGCCGGGCATGGTGGTGCACACCTTTAGTTCCAGCTACTCAGGAGGCTTAGCTGGGAGGATCACCTGAACCCAGGAGGTTGAGGCTGCAGTGAGTCATGATCATGCCACTGCACTTCAGCCTGGGTGACAGAGTGAGACCTTGTCTCAAAAAAAAAAAAAAAAAAAAAAAAAGAATACTTCTATACCCCTCCTACTCCCCAGCATCCTCCAGTATTCTTAGCTATTATCTGCCCAATCTTATTCCCTGGAAATTTTTCTTTAGATCGGTCAGCTCAATACCAGTTTGTATTAGTCAGGTTCTCTAGAGGGACAAAATTAATAGGATACACACACACACACACACACACACACACACACACACACACACATATTATATATATATTTAAAGAATAGTTTATTAAGTATTAACTTACATGATCACAAGGTCCCACAATTGGCTGTCTACAAGCTGAGGAGTAAGAAGAGCCAGTCTGAGTCCCAAAACTGGAAAACTTGGAGTCTAGTGTTCGAGGGCAGGAAGCACCCAGCATAGGAGAAAGATGTAGGCTGGGAGGCTAGGCCAGTCTCTCCTTTTCACGTTTTTTCTGCCTGCTTTATATTCGCTGGCAGCTGATGAGATTGTGTCCACTAGATTAAGGGTGAATCTGCCCTCCGCAGCCTACCGGCTTAAATATTAATCTCTTTTGGCAACACCCTCACAGACACACAAAGGATCAATACTTTGTATCCTTCAATCCAATCAAGTTGACACTCAGTATTAACCATTACACAGTTCAATATCTTCGCTCAACTCCACACATGTCTTCCACACATTGGAGAAAGGACATCCCATCAATAAATGGCGATGGGACAAGTGGATATACACCTGCAGAAGATTAAAACTAGACCCCTGGCTGGGTGCAGTGGCTCACACCTGTAATCCCAGCACTTTGAGAGACTTTGAGCACTTTGAGGTGGGTGGATCACTTGAGGTCAGGAGTTCAAGACCAGTCTGGCCAACATGGTGAAACTCTGTCTCTACTAAAAATACAAAAAAAAAAAAAAAAATAGGCTGGCATGGTGGTGCACACCCGCAGTCCCAGCTACTCGGGAGGCTGAGGCAGGAGAATCACTTGAACCCTGGGGGCGGAGGTTGCGGTGAGCCAAGATCACACCACTGCACTCCAGCCTCGGTAACAGAGTAAGACTCTGTCATAAATAAATAAATAAATAAATAAAACTATACCCCTATCTCTCACCATATACAAAAATCAACTCTAAATAGATTGAAGACTTAAATGCAAGACCTGAAACTATAAAACTACTACAAGAAAACATTGGAGAAACACTGCATAAAATTGGACTGAGTGCAGATTTTTTCAATAAGACCTCAAAACCACAGGCAACAAAAGCAAAAATAGGCAAATAGGATTACATCAAACTAAAAAGCTTCTGTACTGGAAAAGAAACAATAGAGTGGAGAAACAACCTACGGGATGAGAGAAAAACTGTGTATCTAACAAGTAGTTAATATCCAGACTATATAAGGAACTCAAACAACTCAATAGCAAACAACAATAATCATCAGATTTAAAAAGGGGGAAAAGCCTGAATAGACATTTCTCAAAAAAAGACATACAAATTGCCAACAGATACATGAAAAAGTCCTCAACATCATTAATTATCAGGGAAATGCAATTCAAAACCACAATGAGATATCACTCTGCCCCAGTTAGGATGGCTATCATCGAAAAAACAAAATGTGACAAGAGCTGGTGAGGATGTGGAGAAATGGGAACTATTAGGTACTATTGGTAGGAATGTAAAAAAACTATAGCCTTTATAGTATAGTATGGAAGTACCTCAAAAAATTAAAATGTAAACTATTAAATGATTCAGCAATTTCATTGCTAGGTGTATATCCAAAAGAAATGAAATCAGTATATTGAAGAGATATGTGCACTCCTGTGTTTACTGCAGTGCTATTTACAATAGCCAAGATATGAAATCAACCTAAATGCCCATCTACAGAAGAATGAATACAGAAAATTTTATATATATATATATATACACACACACACACACACACACACACACACAATAGAACACTATTCAGCCATAAAACAGAATGAAATCCTGTCATTTGCGACAGGGTGAATGAACCTGGAGGACATTATGTTAAGTGAAATATGCCAGGCACAGAAAGACCAACACTGTATGTCTAGCTCATATGTGGAATCTTAAAACGTTGATTTCATAGAATTAGAGAGTAAATAGTGATTACCAGAGGCTGGGAGGCAGAGAGGAGAGTAATGCAAGAGGTTGGTCGATAGTTACAAAGTTACAGTTAGACTGAAAGAATATGTTCTTGTGTTCTATTGCACAGTAGGGTGATTATAGCAAATAACAATGTAGTGTATATTTTGGGAAAACTAGAAGAGTTTGAATGTTGTCACTGCAAAGAAATGATAAATGTTTAAAGTGATGGATCTGCTAATTACCCTGATTTGATCATTATACAATGTATACATGTATTGAAACATCACACTGTACCCCATAAATATGCATGCTTATTATATATCAATTACAGATTTAAAATTAATTTTTAAAGAGAAACTTAAAATGTTAAGTGGTGTATGAACCCAGAAAATCTCACTGCAGAACCTACACTCTTTTCCACTTGTACCAAGCTGCCTCATAGATGTCAGGGGGAGAACAACTGAATGTTTGAGCAAAGTTTAATGCAGAGGCTGTTTTACAAAGTTAGGAGAAGCATTAAGAGAAGTAGTGAAATATGTCAGGACAACAAGGGCTGTTCCCATCCCTTGGCTCTCAAGGCAAAGGAGGGAATAGCCGCCAGAAAGACACTAGAAAGTTATAGGTGACCGCAGCCCTGGTGAAGCTGTGGCCTTACACAGAGAGATCAACCTCTGCCAATCTGCAGGACAGAAGGAAAGAACCAAAGGAATAATTATTCCAACCTCTCTCTCTGATTTCCTGTTGGTGCCTCCCATCGGCTAAACCCAGGTAGAAACCAGAGGGCAAAAGGGCAAATTGAGACAGTCCCCAGAGGTCAATGTCCCTGGACTGAGAGCAAAGATTGGGGTAGAGAAGGATGTGGAAGACAAACAGAGGAGATGCAGCATGAAGTCTGAGCTAAGATCTAAGCACTGCTCTGATTTTAGCTCTCCAGTGTTTTTCCTCGAGGGGCTCAGAGTTGCTTTATACTTAGGCAAAGGGGACAGCTGTCCCAATCCGGTATCTAACTAAGAGGAGCCATACCTAAAAGAGGAGCAGGTGCAGTATCTGCCAAGGCCATCCCTAAATGACATCATCGAATGTTCTCATCTTCAGCACAATCAACCCAGCATGGCAATAAGGTCCCAGTTGCTTCCCCTAACACAGACATGCCTTTGAAGATCTGCCTCACTCTAATAATCGTAAATGACCCTGGGGAACAATCCCTTTTGAAAATGAGGCTGACCAAAACCTGTATTGGGTATATATAACAGTTCTGAAATTCCTCTCTAGTAAGCACAAAAGAGGACTTTCAGATCTTGTCTATACATACTAATATAAGCAGTTCCAATAAAGGTATTGGAATACAGGTCTTTAGGTCTTGACTATGCAGAACTAATTTAAATGGTTCCAAACCAAAAAGACTTGCAAGAAACTCTTCTAAAATACATCCTATAATTATATACATTTTTCCTATTCTAACTTAAATGAGTCAAAATGTGGAAGAAGTGAAAGAGTGACCTGACCATCGTGGTTTTATCTGAGCCCCAGAAACACCGAACAGGTCCCTAGCAAGCCAAGGCCTCACATGTGTCCGTTCCATGTTGACTGAGTTTGCACTCTAAACCAGGCACTGTGCTAAGCACGTAACTAGCAGTCACTGCTATAGCCCTCACAGCAACCCTAAGAATAAAGTACTATTTTGAATCCCATTTCATGAACAAGGAAACGGAGGCATGTGGTGATCAAGTCAGAAGTGATTCAGTGATCTTGTTCACTAGACTAAGATCACAGGAGTACACAAATGAAAAATAAGACAATGAATTTTAGCTGGGAACAGATGACACTGACAAAACAATCTGTGGGAAGTGAATGGCAATAAGAATTAAGGTTCCAATGGTTCAGAAAGTAAGTTATTGGGGTGGGTGGGGGCACTCAGGGGAGTTTTGCCCAGGGCGGTAGAAACCAGGCTGAGGACCAGGAGAAAGACAAGGAGGGGCAGTGGGTGGGGAAGACAGTGAAGGTGGAGTCTTGGAGAGGGGGTGGCCCTGGTGGACTTGACCAGGACAGTGAGGAGCTGGGCTCCTGCAGAAGTGTCAGTGGTGAGGCGGCAGATCAGAGAGGGGATCTTGACTGCCCTTTCCATCCTCTCCCAATTGCTGGCTCCCTGCTGTGGGTCTGTCTCTCTGCCTCACACATCAATGAGCCAGCCCTGATGCTCACTTCCCTGCCTCTCGGAGCCCTGTCCAGTCTCAGACTACACAATTCCCACTCCCTGCAGGCTCTGTCTGACGGGCTGTAAATAGCCTGTTTGAAAAGTAATTGCATGTTTGGGGCTGGTGCTTGCCATGTGTAATTGCTCATTCTTTCTCCAGCCACTTCCTCTCTTCCTACTTCCCAGGTTTGTTTCCCAGGATAGGAGCCTTCCAGGCAAGTGGCTGGAGGAGATAACGAGGCCCTCTGAGCCTCACGATTCAACCAGACTTTGCTGCCCAGGGAGCCACCCTGCACCGTCTACCTGCCCTAAGCAACGGGATAGAAAAGGGAGAATGGACTCATTCCTTTCTGAAAGATTCTCTGGGCATCATGGACTGGTACAAAGACATCTCCCCAGATCTAGGGCACATGGACTCTCTTGCCCTGGCACTTGGGCAGCACAGGCCAGCCCTCTAATGATGTCAGTCTTCTTGTCTGCTATACTTCTGATAGCCCCCTTCTTCCCTAAATCCCTCGGATCTCTAATACTCAGGATTAATTTACTGAACATCTACTATATGCCAGTCTGTCCTGAGAGCTTGTTTTGGTATATTTCCCCTCAAAGTTAGGCACAGCACAGAGGCACACAGTGACATAGCCCCACACCCTATACCTTACACCGCTGCCTCCATTGGCCTGGTCCTGCACAGAGATAGCTGAGCAGAAGTGAAGCAAGTCCTGCGGGTACCCAGCCACTTCCCATATGCACTGGGTCACACTCTAGCCATTGGCGCCCTCAAACAATGACTGAGAGGAGTTGATAAACAAATATCCATCCTCTCTTACCTCTCAGACAAGATAATCTTGAAGTGCTTATTCAACACTGGCTTCTAGATTGCTGTATTAGTCCATTCTCACATTGCTATAAAGAAATAGCTGAGACTGGACAATTTATAAAGAAAAGAGGTAAAATTGGCTCACAGTTCTGCAGGCTGTACAGGAAGCATAGCAGCTTGTTTCTGGGGAGGCCTCAGCAAACTTCCAATCATAGTGGAAGGCAAAAGGGGAGCAGGCATGTCTTACAAGGCCAGAGCAGGAGCAACAGGGTGGGAAGGAGAAGGGAGGTCCCATACACTTTTATATAACTCATTCACTGTCACAAGAATAGCACCAAGGGAGAAATGTGCCCCCATGATCGAATCACCTCCTGCCAGGCCCCACCTCCAATGCTGGGGATTACAATTTGACATGAGATTTGGGCAGGGAAACAGATCGCCCAGAAAAATTATGTTCCAGATGCTTACAGTGCAAACTTGCTTGAAAACACAGTCTTTATTGACCTTTTCCCATTCACTGTCTACTTACCGGCATAGCTGACATCTCCTTCAAATAAAATATTGGTACTTATATCCTTGTCTCAGGGTCTTCTTGGAAAATCTTAAGTCAGTCGGTACCAGAAGTAGTATTAAGAAGGAGACTCTCAGAATGGAATTCTAAAATTAGATCACTTGCTGGCCATGTGACAAGGGTTCCATTACTGATAATAAATAGAGTAAAATAAGACACAACACGGTTGTATAAAATTTATCATTTTATGAAAGTGTTTAAAGAAGGCCTTATCTCCTGCAGATGAAGAGAGGACTGCCAAAAATCAGGCCCACAGTCTGATTTCCAAACGTCACAGAATTTTCAATATGGCTGATTTCACAGCTCTGGTAATTTTCCTATGCTAGAGTCAGAAAAGGGATGCCTGGAATAGGGTCATCTGGGTGGCTGTACTGAAACCACATTAATTGGACTCGATGAGTGAAAAATAGCAAGATCTCTGGATACCTTGTAAAGACACATGTGCACCAGTTATTGGGAAGTAAACCTGCAAAGATCAAGGAGCCGACTCCATCCCTGAAGATTTTAGAGGCCCAGTGGGATGCAGTCTGTCAAGCCATTCTCTCCAAGGTAAAGGATAAATTATTGTATATTGCATCTCTTACCACCTGGAAAAAGATTCAGCACTTGTGGGCTTCTTTGGATTTTTGATGGCAGCACATGTCCCTCTTAGGAATACTGCTATGACTCCTGATGACTTAGAATTGTCAGTTTTGAGTGGTGAGCAGGGCCAAACAGCATTTTGCAATAGGTTATGGTACAAGTGGCCCTAATGATTTGCCCATATAATTCATCAGCTTCCATGATTTTTAGACATATTTGTGGCAGATAAGAGTGCTTAATGGCATTTCTAGAAAGCCTGAATTGTAGAGTTGAGGTGCAGAATCCTAGGGCTTTGGAGCAAGACATCTACAGGAGAACATTACTCACTATTGAAAAGGCAGCTCCTGGCATGCTACTAAGTCATCTGGCTATGCAATATCCATGACTATATTACTGTAGGTGCCAAAGATGAGCTGGATATTTTCAGACACATTAAGTTATAAGGTTGAAGGGGCACAGCAGCAATCCATTCTACAATGAAGGGTGGTCTGGACCCCCATGCCAGCTACCTCTGTGCACTGAACCTCTTTTTTGGCTCATATTTCCGGCCTCCTCAGCTGACTAGAGTGTACAACACCTAGGCTTGGTTCATGATAGGGTCAGCTTGCTATTTTTCCAAGAGTGTAAAAGAGACTGCTGTAATAACACAGCCCCCTCAGGAATAGTTCTGAAAGATGGTGGTACATGGAAAACCCTCCAGGGGGCAGAACTTTGAGCAGTAAATATCTGAATGGAGAGTGAAGCAGCCTGAGGAAAAGATATCTGTCTCCCCTTAGGCAGTGGCGAATGGATTGAATCATTGCTTGGGGGCCTTGGAGGAGTCACTTTGAACAATCCGAAACAAAGAGGCCTGGGAATAAAGCAGGGTGGACTCATGGGAGTGGGCACAGAGTGTGTGGAGAAGAGAGCATTCACCTGAGAAGATGCTCTCAACCAGCAAGTGGACATGAGGACACATCCCATGGAAGTGCTTCAGCCCCCATCCTCAGCCATTTCTTGCACAATGGGCCTGTGCATGGAGCAGTCACAGAGCAGAGGTAGAGGATATGCATGCATGGGCTGAGCAGCATGGGTTCCGTGTCAGCAAGCCTGATCGTTGCCACTCTTCTGAAAGTCTGACCTGCCAACAATAGGAATTATTGATACTGTGCCCCCGACATGGTGCCGTCTCTCAAGCAGATCACATGGTCCCTTAGTGATAAGATGTTCACACTGGATCCCTATTTCCTGGAGAAGACAGTGATTCCAGATGGATGTATTTCAGATGTATTTGGGGTGTTTCATTGCCTTTCCCACCCACAGTGCATTTGTCAGCTCCACAATCTGAGGCCTTACAGAGCATCCCGTGTTTCATAACAAACCTCTAAACATCCCCTCCGATGAAGGAGTCCACTTTGTGACAAAATTAAGTATGACAATGTGCACAAAACCTCTAAGCCTGCAGAGGCAGATGTGACATTTAAAATCTATCTACAGATAGTCTTATAAGGTAACACGCTCCCATGCTGAACCCCAGACTCCACAGCTGGCATTGCCCATGCTGCAGCCATTGGACAGTGGTCACCCACAGCTGCACCCAGAATCCAGAGGTCTCCACAACCATCACTGCTGCCAGGGAACTCCTCACCATTGCTGCTTCTTTACCACGCGAGCAGCTGATTCCAATCTGGGGCAGGTGTGTTTGACCACAGCTGCACTGGATGCGGTGTCCTACCTGTGAAAGAGGCTAGAAAATGCCCAAATGCCCTTTCTGTGAAGGATGCTGGGAAGTACATTTTCAGATTCTGTAGCAGACAGAGGGCTCTAACTCTCACCAAGACTCAATGAGATGTAAAATTCCTGAACATAGAAGGCGGGATTTGATGCTGGGGAGCCAAAATAAACGGCAATGTCCAACATGTACCTTCTTTTAAACTCAAAACAGTTGCATGTATTAGCTGTGATAAACCCATCTCAGCCTCAGTTTCCTCCTCTGTAAAGCTGGGGTGTATGACTGGCTCGCGGCCCCCCAGGAAAGTGGTAGAGAAGGATTCACACTCAGTGTTCCAATTGCTACTCCTATGTTCATCCCATGACATCGTTTGCCTTTCTCTTGAGGTTCTTTCCCCTCTATCCCTCTTGAAAGCATTGTGTCTGGCCCTGAGGGTACGTTCCCTGTCTACGATCCCCTCTATTTTTCCAGAATGTGTGACTCAAAAGAACTCCACAGTGAAAACCAATCATAGATTCCCCTCTCTCCCTAGTGGTTGCAGGAGAGCTTCTCGGGGTCTCTGAGGAGCTGAACCCACAGACAGCTCCTGAGGCTTCTTTATGGGCTGCTCTGCTTTCCTGCTGCTTTGGGAGGCTGTTTCCTCACCACTCATTATGGTCTCTGCAGTATGTAAGTTCTGTAGCCAAGGTTCATACAACTGGGAGTGTATTTATGGCAGTCCATACACTTTCTTAGGAAAATATTGATTTTCTAACAACAGAGTGACTGCAGAGCCATTAAATCAGACTAGTCTATCATAAACTCCAGGATTAACCAAAGAATACTTTCACCTTTTCCTTCATCTTGTCATGAGCCACGGGGCCGGGCGGGGGGGGCGGGTAGATACCTCCACTTCAGCAGGTAGGATTACAGCATTTATTACATGATTTGAACAAACCACCACAATTCCCCATCCTGATTGCCAGATAAGTAATTAACCATTCTGCTCTTACTTTAAAGGTTGACTGACAGGAATAAGGAAGGCTGAGTTGTCTATAAAAACATCCAAAAGCTCGCAATGGGAGTTGCATCCCATTACTGCAGGATGCAAGAGGAGAGGGGGAGTGGACTATGATGGCATTGGGGGTCTGCTCTTCAGCCCTGCCCCAACCGGAGGATCTATGAGCTCATTATCCGCCTGTTAAAGTCTTAGTTAGAGGAGTCATCAGTGAGGTGAGGATTTCTTTTTTTCCTTTTTTGGGGAAGATCTCTATCTTTCTTCCTTATTGATTGCTTGCTTTTCATTTTATATCCTTTCTCCCTTGCCTGAAATGAGAAAAATGAGCCCTTGCCACGGGCTTTAAACTTTACACCCAGACAATATCTCCCCCTTATCTAATGCCAGGCAAGAAGCTTTAGCCCAGAGGACCCTGGGTAATGCTACAACAGATTATGTCATAAAAAGGAGGGATAAGCAAAAGAACCAATCTAAAAGACGAAGCAAAATTTACCTTTCCACCTCCCTCTGCTCCCCTTTAGAAGAAGGCTTTAAATCAATCTGCCTTTGCAATAAATTCTCTTTCTAAAATTTGATAACAAGTGCAATATTTTCCTTGGAGATTGGGTTCTAACTGGATGGGGGTTGTGGGGTGGGGAGCTAGCAGGGTTTAGCAAAGTAATAAAATGCCATGATTGATCCTGGTCGGTGGGGTTGCTTGGAATTACAGCTATTCTTGGCTGGTAAGCATAATCCAGTCAAGTCATAAATTTTGTTTCTTCCAGTCAACAGTCAAGTCTGTATCGATCCCGATTTGTTGTTCTGTTTCCGTGTAATTGCTCTGTGTGATTAAGACTCCAGTTTGGGAAGGAATCCTGACCGGGCCAGGAGCTAAAGGGAATAAACACAGGATCAGAGTTTCTTCTGCCACCCCCCACCCCAAGTGGACACTGAGATGGAGGTAGAGAAGCTGAGCGGCTCTAGAAAGCCAGGTGCCCATGGGCCAGGCTGTAGGCTCTTTCTCTTTCTTTCTTTCTTTCTTTCTTTTTCTTTCTTTCTTTCTTTCTTTTCTTTCTTTCTTTCCTTCCTTCCTTCCTTCTCTCTTTCTTTCTTTCCTTCCTTCCTTCTTTCTTTCTTCTTTCTTTTTCTTTCCTTCCTCCCTTCCTTCTAAAAGATACTGTGTCACTCTGTCACCCAGGCTGCAGTGCAGTAGTACAATTGTGGTTCACTGAAGGCTTATACTCCTGGCCTCAAACAATCATCCCGCCTTGGCCTCCCAAACTGTGTGAGGATTGTGGACATGAGCCACCTCATCCAGCCTGAAATTCCTTAAACCCATTTATCATGTGGTCCTGCTAGATGTGCCCGAACTTAGTGGGTGAGGCTTGTCACCCTTACTATACATGGGAAAACTGAGACATGGGGTGGATATGAACTACTTCAAGGCCACACACTAAGCAGCTATCTCCCACCCAAATCACCAACAAAGCCTTCCACCCCAAATTGGGTCCTGGCAAAGAAACCCTGAGCAGAGGGCTAGGTGCCCTTAATTCCAGAGTTCAGAGCTTGGGTAGCCTGTGTTACTTAACGTTGAAGTAGAAGTTTATAGTTCCATCAGTTACAGATTGGGCAGAATGCAAACATACTCATTTATCTCCCTCACTACCTGTATGACTTTGAGCAAGTGACCTAACCTCTCTGAGCCTCAGTCTTCTCATTTGCAAATTTAAGATAATAATACTACTTGCCCCATAAGGGATGGGTGATATTTCAATGAGATAATACAGGAAAGTACTTGGCAGAAATAATAGTAACTATTACGCTACATGATGGCCCATGCCTGTAATCCCAGTGTTTTGGGAGGCCAAGGTGGGAGGATCACTTAAGGCCAGAAGTTCAAGACCAGCCTGCACAACATAATGAGACTTCATCTCTACAAGAAAAAATTTAAAAATTAGCCAGGTATAGTGGCGCATGCATGTAGTCCCAGCTACGTGGGAGGCCAAGGTAGGATGATTACTTGAGTCTAGGAGCTCAAGGCTGCAGTGAACTAAAATCATGCCACTACAGTCCAAACTGGGTGACACAGTGAGACCCTGTCTCTATATTTAAAAATATATATAAGGAAAGAATAGTAATTATTATTACTATTATTTTGAGCCTTACAGTTCCCAATGGATAGAGAAGCATGTGGTACAGAAATATTTTGAAGCTTTCTAAGCAAAGGAAGCTTTTTACAGTGCAAGAAAATTTATATTTTGATGCCCTGGAGAGTCTTATCCAAACCCTGGGAAACTAATTTAAAATAAGGCTATGCACCTTTAAATAGGAACTCAAATAGATTCCCGAGCACTGCACTGTCAGGTGTCAGTTCAACTTTATTTAGTTCCAGTCCTCTTGGAGATGGGAATGGGAATTCCTCACTCCATGAACTCAGCGACATGGCAGCTAAATCATCTGTATGTGATCTGCTTGTCTGGTGGTGAGGCCATTTGACTACATGCTTTAAAAGAAATACTCCTCAAACCTAGAGTGATTTTCTCCTTCTTCTCTCACTTGGAGATTTGACTGAGGTGATGGTGAAGACTGGAACTGTCAAGCCGGTGCTAGCTTGTCAGGAAAATCTCTCTGTCTCTGTTACTCTCTTTTTCAATCCCCCAGCCTGAGATAAGAAAATTGCAGTTGCAATGCCAGCCCAGCCTAGCTAAATTGCAAAGGGAAGCTGCTTTGATTCTAGATCCCGGCCTCTTTCTGCACTTCTGCTCCTTCCCTGAAGCCCCCAGCCCCTCTCCCTCCTCATCAATCCCTACTCAGGAAAGAATGAGCGCTCAGCTCTAGACTAGAGAAGTAGGGAATGAAGTCAGGCTGTTGGGACTTCACACGTGGCTCCTGCAAACATACTTAGGGAAAATGACTGATCCTTTCTGTGCCTCAGTCTTTCTTCTATCAAATGGGGACAATAATACCCACAATTCCCATTCCATAGAGCCAGTACGAGGTCTAAATATATATTTTAAGTGCCGGGAACATAGTAGGCTTCAATAAATGCCAGTTTGGGCTGGGCGCAGGGGCTCACACCTGTAATCCTAGCACTTTGGGAAGCCAACATGGGTGGATCAAAGTCTGGCCAACATGGTGAAACCCTGTCTCTACTAAAAATACAAAAAATAGCCGGGCATGGTGGCTCATGCCTGTAATCCCAGCAACTCGGGTGGCTGAGGCAGGAGAATCGCTTGAATCCGGGAGGCAGAAAGTGCAGTGAGCTGAGATCGCACCATTGCACTCCAGCCTGGGCAACAAGAGTGAAACTCTGTCTCAAAAATAAATAAATAAATAAATAAATAAATAAATAAATAAATGCTAGTTCATATGGCTTTCGTGATTACTATTATTCTTATCTCTTCGTGGAAGCTTAAGGCATCATTTGTTCTATAAACATTTATTAAATTTCCATGTTCCAATTACTGTGGCATTAGGAATAGAAAAATGAACTAAACACACTCCCTGCTTCTCACTGGCAGTACTGAAGGAGGCAGATGGTGGAATCATAATAAAATATGCTAAGCGCTCTATTAGCACCATGAACAAAATGATGTGGAAGCCTAGTGGAGGCAGAGGTCAATTCTGTCCAGAGGATCCAAAAATGCTTCACAAAGAATGTGATAACTGGACTGTCTTAGTCAGCTTGGGCTCTATAACAAAATACCACAGACTTTGTGCTTAAATGATAGAAATGTATTTTGTTACATTTCTGGAGCCTGGAAGTCTGAGATGAGGTTGCTAGCAAGATCAGATTGTGGGGAGGGCTCACTCCCTGGCTTGCAGATGGCCACCTTCCTGCTGTATTTTCACATGACAGAGAAAGAAAGACAGAGCAAGTTCTCTGGTGTCTCTTCCCGTAAGGGCACTAACCCCATCAGATCAGGGCTCACCCTGGTGACCTCATCTAAACCCAATAAGCTCCCAAAGGTCCCATCTCCAAATAACACCACATGGGGTATTAGGACTTCAACATGTGAATTTTGGGGAAACAAAACATTCTGTCTATAAAACAGGTTTTGAGAGATGGGTAGGGTTTTATCAAGCAGAGAAGACATTCTAAGACAGGGCATTCCTAGCACAGAACCTGGCCTCATCCAGGAAACACAGGGCATGTTTAGGGATCTCTGGAAGTCCAGTGTGGCTGGAGCACAGAAGGCTTGCAACAAGGGCTGGTAGATGGAGCAGGACGGCAGAAGAAACTGGAGAGGCCAGACAGAGCAAGACAGCAAAGAGCCTTAAGGAGCTGGTGCTATAGATGGTAATAGATGATGGAATTTGGCATATGTTTTAAACTGGGCAAAAACATGGCAAAATATGTGCTACATAAAGATCACTTTCTAAACTGCACAGCGAGAGGTAACATGAAAGCCATTTAGGAGGCTTTGCTATAGTCCAGGAAAGAGAGGATAAGAGAGGAGTAAGCATGGGATAAAGAAGGAACAGACTTCCAGAGACAACGACATCTGGATTTCCAGCTCAGCCAACTGCATGTAATGCCATTCACGAAACTAACAAAGCGGGCAGAGTGTGTTTGGGGAGGAAGATCCCCATAGTTTGGGATGTGTAGAATTTAAAGTGGAGATTGAGGAAAAAAGATCTGGGCTTGAGATTAAGAAGTCACCAGGTGTAAGTGATACTGGAAGCCCGGGGGGTGAATCAGATCACACAGGATGGGTGTATACAATGTGTGACTTTCCAGAAAAAGAGACTGAGGAGAGGAATCTGGGAAAGGCCAGAAAAAGATACGCCGAGAAAAAGAGACCACCAGGAATGTCCAGAGATTACAAAAAAAAATCCATGGGAAAATGGCTTCATGGAGACAGCAGAAGGGAGCGATCCTTCTGTAAAATACTGGAGAGTCGTGTGGGGTGAGTCACGTACGCAGCATGAAAACTATGGAAAAGCCTTTGAATCTGACAAAGAGCAGGTCACTGGGGATGTGAGCCAGATCTGTTTCAGGGCAGCGGTGGGAGAGGAAGTCAGACTACCACAGATCAAGCTGCCAGCTGGTATCATTTTAGTGGGAGATTAGTAGAGAGTGAGCAGAGAAGGTTCTTTCAAAAATGTAGCTCTGAAGCAATGAGAATCTCCATTGTTTGCTTCTTTCAGGAAACCCAAATTTGTGGTGAACTGTTCTTTCCAGCTGACCTTTTTGTCAGGTGAATAATTTCTGAATATTTCTGAGAAGAAAGAAATTTAGAAGAAATGTTCCTCTTGGGCTTCACCTTCTCTCCAAAGCATCACAAATTGTGTAGCATTTTTCTTACTGCCATGCCTGAAAGGGGAAGATTAAGGGAACGAGAGCATGCAGAAAGCTTTAGAATTTCATGATACAAGGATACTGAGTATAAAAATAATGGCCCGCTTCCATCTTTGTGTTTGCACGTCCTCTACTCCCTTAGAGGTCATCTTATACAGCCACCCTCAAAACTGGTTGTTCATCAAAATCATTTGGAAAGTCAATAAAACATACAGATTCCTGTCTCCCCCATGGAAATTCTTCAGGACCTCTAGGATGAGCCTGAGAATGTGACGTTTTTTTCAGAATCTCTCAATGTCTTGGTGACCAGGCAGGCTTGGGGACCACACTGATGTAATCCCTCATTTTTTTTAAGTACATGAGCATTTATTTATTTATAAAATTGTATAATTTTATTGACCTAAAGATTAGAAAATCAGAAATATAATTTATTTAAAGCAAAGCTTATAATAATATGGAGGGAAGTTCCATTGTTTTTATGCACCACAGTGGATTACCTTCGGCACCTCCTGCGGTGAGCACATCTTATTCTGGAGACCTGTATACAGATAAAATGTTAATTCTGGAAGCCCCTCATTTTAAGTGAAATCTAAGCATGGCACGTAAGTCTCACAGTGTCCACAGCTAACCCATGGAGAAGAGGTCAGGTACAGGGTAAGCAGAGGTTTCACCCTCTGCTCACAATGTCCACAGCCAACCCATGGAGAAGAGGTCAGGTACAGGGTAAGCAGAGGTTTCACCCTCTGCTCACAATGTCCACAGCTAACCCATGGAGAAGAGGTCAGGTACAGGGTAAGCAGAGGTTTCACCCTCTGCTCACAGTGTCCACAGCTAACCCATGGAGAAGAGGTCAGGTACAGGGTAAGCAGAGGTTTCACCCTGAAAATGGACTCTGCACCTTGGGAAGAGATGAGTGGCAGTGGCCCCTTAGCACAGTCTTTCACAGAGCCTCATACCGTAAGACCAGAGCCTCAGTCTTCCCCAGACCACAAACCCACCAAGGTCAGTGATGGTGAGCAGGTCCATTCCAACACATGGATGCAAGGAAGGATCCAAGACTAGTCCTTTAACTCATGTATTGGCCCCCTGCTTCTCTTGCTCTTTATTCAACCCCCTGTCATCCCCTGGCAGCTGCTAGTCCATGTCCCAAACCCTCCGCTCCAGCTCAAGGAAGAATGAGGAGCTCTGGCTTGTCCTCTCCCCATGTCTCACAAACTCCAGTGCCACAGGCCAGGAGACTTGCCCTGTGCAGGCCCAGCTTCCAGGAGGAGGATTTTGATCTCAAGAACGAGGGGAAGGTTGGATGGCCCAGTTCTGCTCAGACTCCCCGCCAACAAGAATAGTGCCTAATTTTCTCACCAATTACCCAAAAAGTCCAGACACTTCATCAAAGAAAGCATTATTTTACAGTGATAACACAGCGCAGTCTCACAAAAGGGATGCATGTTGTTCCAACTAATGGGGCTTTTGACCCACTCCCTGTGAAACTATAATCCTAATATTATTGCACTATGGAGCAGTGGACTTCTCATTGCAAGGGTCACCATAACAGCTGTGAATGGATATATTTTAGCCTCTTAGCGGTGATGGTCCCTGTTAGAGTATGCCTGACACTTAAATCTCTACTCCAAAAGAAGGGGAGTGAGAGTGTCTCAGTTCACTGTGCCACATATAAATGAGAAGCTACTGAACATTTAGACCATGCGAGTTACCCCAGCTCACACAGCTCACCCCAAATGGCCTGACTCCTGTTCCTACTGCTTCCCCGAGCCTTGCCAGATGGTACATTCCTCATGGTGTTGCCACAAGCAAGCCAAGGAGCAGAGGGAACCCAGGGGGAACCTTCGATAGAAGCCCTGAGTTCACTCCTTGCAGAACCACGGCTTCTGCTTCCCTTGCTTGTCAGCCCAGACCATCGCAGCCCACCAAAAAGGAAAGAACTGAGCCCCTCATGACAATTGAAAGGCAACTGCCTGCCTCTCTTGTTTTGCTCAGTAGCCTCAGGGAGGGGCACCAGCCCAAGATCAAACTGGGCATCAAGAAGGAGAAAGCAAAACCACAAATGCCCTGGACTCTGTTCAAAATCAGTCTTCCATAGGCATTTATCCCAGAGAAATCCAAATGTTGTTCACACCAAAACCTGCACGTGAATGTTCATTGCAGCTTTATTTGTAATAGCCAAAAACTGGAAGCGACCCAAATATCCTTCACTGGGCGAGTGGTTAAACAAACGGTGGCACCTCCATTCCATGGAATAGGACTCAGCCATAACCAGGAATGAGCTACAGATACAGGAAACAACGTGGATGGATCTCGAGGGAGTGATGGCAAGTGAAAAGAAAACGAATACCAAAAGACTACCAACTATGTGATTCTATGTCTATAACATTCTTGAGACAACAATATTAGGGAAAAGGAAAACGGATGAGTGATGGCCAGGCATTGTGGGCAGGCAGAGGGAGGTTGATGTGGCTATTAAAGGGCAACACCAGGGATTCCCGACACGATGGAACTGTTCTGGGTCTTGACTGCAGTGCTGGTCACACAAATCTACTCAGGGATAAAACTGCATGGGACTAAATTCCTCCCCTCACCACACACACACACACACACACACACACACACACACACACGCATGCATATAAAATGGGGAAATATGAATAAGGTTGGTGGATTCTATCAATGGCAATTTCCTGGTTATAAAATCATACTATGATGATGCAAGACGTCACTACTGTGGAAAAACGGATAAGGGGCACACTGGATCTCTCTGAATTATTTCTCACAATTGAATGCACATCCACAATAATCTCAAAATACAAAGTTAAAAACACTCTGTCAGCCCCGATTTAATTCCTTTCCCCTTAGCTGTGGGGTGGACCTAGTGGTTTTCTTCCAAAGAATGGAGTAGAGAAAAGAAAAAATAGTAACTCTATAGGGAATAAATCTGGCAGACACCACCTTCAGTAGATGATCAAGGTCAGCATCATCAATGAGAGCTGTGCGGATCATGTACCCCCTGCTAAGAAGGGACGAGAAGAATGCATCACCTCTGTGATATTTTTTTCTGAAGTTCATAAACCCAGTGTAATCATGAGAAAACATTGGACAAACCAAACAGAAATGCATCCTTCAAAGTGTCGATACTCTTTCACGACCTGGATACTTTAGGAAACAAAGAACGAGAAACAGTCACAGATCTGGAGAGAAACAAGGAGACATGGTGACTAAATACAATGTGATATCCTGAACTGGATCCTCAAACAGAAAAAGGACATCAGTGGAAAAACTAGTGAAATCTGATTACAGTGAGTAGTTTAGTTAATAATATTGTGCCAGCGTTAATTGCTTAGTTTTGACAAGCGTACAATAGTTAAGTAAGGTATTCACACTAAGGGATGTTTGGTGAAGGATATACAGAAATTCCCTGTATTATCTTGCAACTTCTCTGTAAATCTAAAATGGTTCCAAAATAAATCTTATATTCACTCTCCCAGATTCCTCCTTCCCCCTATCCTCCCCTTTAATGGGGGAGACCCTTTGGGGCAAGCACTTGCTGATGGCCAGGCATGGAGACTGCAGTGTGACAAGGGAGAATCTTCTTTACATTAGACCTGGTTTCCTTCCCTGTCAATGATCAGTGAGGATGTTTCCTCCCTTAAGAGCCTCCCAAGATCCTTGGAGCACCCTCTGTTCTACACTAGCCCTAGATCCTTATCATCTTCCCAGTCCCAGCTCAAAATCTCCCTCGTCCAGGAAGGCTTTCCTGGTGAAAGACAGAAGATGATGAGTTACTTTTATCCTCTCTTTAAAGTACCCAAGCATCTGTTGCCACTTTAGTTGGGTTTTCCTAGATTTTTAATCTGCTAGATTCAAACTCAACTAAGTATGTGAAGAAGCCTGATCTAGCCTGCTGGGTGATGAAAGAAATATCAGAAATATCAGTCAACAGCCTGCTGACCACCAGACATGCAAGCACGGCCATTCTAGATTCTAGATTGTCCAACTGTAAGCCAACCTGCTGGCTGACCACAAACACACATAGAGATCTAGCAGAGTTCAGGTAAGATCAGCAGAAGAGCTGCCCATCTGAGCCCAGCCCAAATTTGTCCAACCAACAAAACTGTGAGCTAAATAAGTGGTTGTTTTTTTAAACCATTAAAAAAAAATAAAGCAGTGTGTTCAGCCCCCGATATATAATTATTTGTCTAAATTTTTATCTGCATTTAGATGTCAGATATGAAGTTGAATACTTTTAAATTAATCGTATCTTTTATTTATATCTCAGTATAACCTCAGGTTGTAACTATTTTCTTTGTGGTTCAGAAAAGTGAGGTTCAGAGAGGTTAAGTGATTCGCTTAAGACTGCACAGCTAGGTGAAGCGCTGAGTTGAATCCAGGTCTTCAAGAACACGTCTAGTATTTGACTTCTTCATGTTTCAATCCCTACTTATATGGACTCTCGGCAAATGCTATCTGCTATTTTAATAGAGTTTTCATCAGCATAGCCTACTTCTCCTACTAGACAATAAGACCCTTCAATCTCACTTCTATCTTAATCTTCTCATCACCTTTCATGATATCCAGCACACATAGACCTTAGCAAAATCCAATTACATTGAATTAAATTAACTTCTCAAGAGTGTCTGACATTCCCCTCTCTCCCCAGGCCTATCACAGTGTCCTGGCCGTGGTTGGGAACTGTTTGCTGAGGATATTGATGATGTCTGAAGTGTATTCTGACCTTGGGGCTGCTGAGTGCAGAGGAACCACAGTGCAGCCATTATTCAAAAAGAGGAAGCTCTTGTTGGATCTCTCTCTCACTCTTCGTAAAACAGGAATGTGGCTAATTAGTTTGCATTCTTTTTTCATTAACCAGAGCTGCAGGGTTGGGGTCAGACAAGATGCCACTACAGTGGAAAGCAGGGGCAAGGACCAGGGAGGCCAGCCCTATGCAAACAGATGGCGCTTTCAGAAAGCCACAAACATGGCTCTGGGTGGGTGGGCCAGCAGGCACCCTTCTCCCCACAGAGGGGCCTCACTCCAGAGATGATGATGATGATTATTATTATTATTATTATTAAAGCCAAAATTTTAATAACAAGTAATGTGCATACAAATCTGGAATCTGCCACTGACTACTGGGGTGGCTTTCCCCAGCCACTTAACTTCTCTCGCCCTCAAATTTCTCAACTGTAAAAAGTTGCAGGAATGTGGATGAGTTAACCTGTCACCTGCTGCATGGTCACTCACGGTCATGAGCAAATCTGTCACCTGGCGCAGGAGCTAACCTCCTTCACTCCTGGATGTTTGCAAATGGACCCAACGTCTTCATTTTTCTATAATTAACAACTTTCTCCCCATTCCATCGTTTGAGTAAATTCATATTTCTATTTGCAATAGCCAGGTTTCTTTGAGTGAGGCTAACAACTTTAGTTTTCTGATTGGACCCCCAGAATCAAAGGTTTGGATATGCCAGGGATCACACCCCAAAAAGGTTGTGAGTGCACCTCCTGAGAGTGAAACCCACGGTTCTTTCTTTCACCCATCCCAGTGGTCTGGGAGGGGCAGCTAGAGAAAATGAGAAGGCTCTGGCAGGGGACCACTGGGTTGCCCAAGGAGGGGTGAACTGGCCCTGGCAGAAAACAGAAGCCTGTAATTACTGTGCCTGCTCATAGGGGGATTGCCATGGCTAGGTTTATAGATAGTTGGGCAGCTGGTGTAAATGAGTGGGGTAAGAGTCCAAGGAGATTAGCTGTGGCAATAAAAATAATTAGGGAGATTAGTATAAGGGACCAGGTTCGTCCCTTAATGTTATGTATCATTATTATTTGTTTTAAAATTAGTTGGATTAGTCATTAACAGAGCAGTTTAAATTCCTGTGCTGATCAGTAGTGGGATCTCACCTGTGAACAGCCCCTGCATTCCAGCCTGGGCAACATAGCAAGACCCCATTTCTAAAAATACAATTAAAAAAAGACTAACAGGTGCCCATCCATGGGATAGGATGTGATAAGGCGAGGGAGGATAATCTCCTTGTTTCTCCTCTCAAGTATCTGTTCCTGTAACTGAGAGAAATTCCACCACCAGGGAAATCATTTGTTTGGTTCTCAGAGCTATTTTGTCCTTGAAAGTCTGGACGGAAATGACAGTTTTGGAAATGCTACAGCAGCAGGAGCTTTGTGATGGTGCCACAGATGGTGCAGGGTCGGTGAATCTTGTTTGTTTGGGGGAGGAGGGTGATATGGGAGAGGAAAGAAAGAAAGGAGATCTTTGGAGAGGGGAGGCATGGCGCCACTTAGCTATGTTACAGTTTTGCCAAAAGTAAGCTACAAGGTACCGTGGGTCCCACTGAGACCATGAGTGACCAAGACCGTGAGCAAGGGGGACTATGTGCATAGTAAGTAAATATGGGAAGAATAGAACTTTTCAGACAAATGATGTCTCAATGACTTTATTGTGTTAGGAAACAGTCATCAGAGAGACAGCTTTTTCTAAATAGTTCTGATTTGATATTTTCTGTTATAACGAGCAGATATCGTTGCTTTGTTTGGAAAATATCAAGAGAGGAAAAGCAATGAGTTTTCTGAATCTGGGGACCCTGTTGACTTCCTTATCTCTATTCCCCCAGACGTAACTGTCTAGAACATCCCAGGCACCCACTCAGGGTTTCTTTTTGAATTTCACTGGACTGTTACGCTCAACTGCTCTAAAAAAGAGCAAGATCAGTTTACCTACTAGAGGCCAATCCCCAGGACACATCTCACCCTCTGAATGTTGTGCTCTGTTCTACAGAATCCAAGCTGCATCCCTAAGAGGGTGTGGGAAGGAAAGCCCTCAGGTCTTGGTCATAGATGAAGCACAAGTTTCCACTGAGATCTGATCTCTATCCGAGACCCACGTTGTGGGCTGCAGCCTTTGGGAGAGAAGCCGCAGCCCACGATGCAGCTGGAACGACAACGGGATGACTGGATGGCTGCCCGGGGCTGCCCTCTAAATCATCTCAGCCAATCAAGCACTTAATGTTCTCTGTTCCTCAAGAATGTTGCACCTCAGCGCTCCCCATGTATCTCTCAAATTTTATCTTGAATATCTTATAAATCATCCATTAAATATCTCCCAACTAATGTATATGGCTGTTGTTCTCAGCCAGGGCTGGAAAGTGCACAAATCAGTTTTACTGCATATTAGTCCTGCCCAGTGGGCTCTAAAAAAAAATAAGAGAGAAGCCAGAGAAGGAAAAGGCAGCTCTTGGCAACCCTGGCATGACACAGCTCCTGGTGTAGCCTGGAGACAAGTGTGAAGAGTGATAAAGCAAGTTGTGTGCACCAAGACCTGGTCTCCAGGATCCTTTCTTAATGCAGATGCTGGGAAAGGTGTGATCTGTGAACAGAAGGCAGCCACACACACACACATGCTGGGCACTGTTTTGACCAAGCCCAGGAAGAAGCTGTTGAGCTAGGAAGAAAGGGGGTTGATTTAGCAAGGTGATTGGTTCATACTTTCACTGAACCTTCAACTAGTCATCCTGTTTTTCTATGCCTCATTTTCTAAAGTAGGAATGATCCATATCTCATAAGGAATTTATGATTTTAAATAGAATGATGCCCATGGGAATATAGTACCCATAGCAAAGTGGTGCTCAATGAATGCAATGAAAGAAACAGCAACAACATCTAAGCTATAGGCCAGCTAGATCCCATCCCAGTCTGACAGAGGCACTGAGTTGGCTCTCTTGCTGGACTTTGTGATGGCTTCAACCTCGCCTCCAACTAGGCCATCCAGCATTAGGCAAGCCATAAATGTGTTAGCTCCCTGTGGGTGGGTAATAATAACATTTCTGCCTCAATTCAGGATCGAGACCAGATAATCTATTCTAATCGGTGATTGATGTGAACAAATCTTGGAAGAAAATAGGATGAGCCTGAGGGCTGAGCATCAAAGACACTAAAATGGAGCCCCAGACCTGGGTTTGAGCCCGACTCCATCATGGACTGTCTGATCCTAGGGAAGTCACCTCTCCTTTCTGAGCCTGCATTGAAACAACTTATAAAGTGAGAACTCTAGACTAGATAACTGGTTTAAAAAGGTATTTAGTCCCAAAATTCTTTTTACCAAACACAATTTTGTGGAAGCTCAGTAAAGAAAACTATAAAAATAAAGTTGCTTTGACTAATGGCACTTGGGGGTCTGAGGCCCCACGGGCTGTTTCTTTTCTTGTCTGCCTTTTGGGGTCCCCTGAGGCCCCTCTGATGGCTCCTGAAGACCCCTCAGAGCTCAATCTGTAGACCACTGGTCTGGAAAAAACATAAATCCCCTCATTATGGGAGGTGCTAAATGGCTTCTGGCATTCATACCATGAAAGGCTACGCAGCAGTGAGCAAAACTAAGGCAGATCCAGATGGATCTGCATAGAAAGGCATGTCACTGGGTGAGAAAAAGAAGAGATAGCAGTAGGATCCCATCCAGGACACACACACACACATGCACATTCAAAGAAGAAGCTCCAAAGCAATACACACTCACATTGTTTTTGTTTGTTTGTTTGTTTGTTTGTTTGTTTGTTTGTTTTTGAGACAGAGTCTCACTCTGTCGCCCAGGCTGGAGAGCAGTAGCGCAATTTCGGCTCACTGCAACCTCTGCCTCCCGGGTTCAACCTCCACCTCCTGGGTTCGAGCGATTCTCGTGTCTCAGCCTTCCGAGTAGCTGGGACTACAGCCATGCACCACCACGCCAGGCTAATTTTTTGTATTTTTAGTACAGACGGGGTTTCACCGTGTTTGCCAGGCTGGTCTCGAACTTCTGACTTCACGTGATCCGCCCACCTTGGCCCCCCAAAATGCTGGGATTACAGGTGTGAGCCACCGCGCCTGGCCTACACACTCACATTCTAACCACAGTTTCCTCTGGATGGGGTGTGGTGAGTGCTAAGGAAATCGTGTTTTCATTGAGTCTACTTAGAGTCTGAGGTTTTCTTTCTTATGTCTTTTTTTGGCTCATATCATACACACATATATATATTTACGTTATTATATATTACATATATTTGCTTTATTAAGATACAAATGATATATATAATTGTACATATTTAATGTATATATTTTAATGAGTTTGGACATATGTATACACCTGTGATATCACCACAATCAAGGTACAAAACCTATCCATCAGCTCCAAAAGTTTACTGATGTTCTTATGTGCATGTATGTGTGTGTGCATGTATGTATAAGAACACTTAGCATGCAATCTATCCTCTTAACATTTTAAAGTGTACATTACGGTATGGCTAACTATAGGCACTCTATAGTTGTGCACGCATCTCTAGAACTTATTCATCTTGCAAAACTACAACTTTATCCACATAGAGTCACAACTCCCCTTTCCATGCCCTCCCCAGTCCCTGGCAAACACCATTCTATTCTCTGCTTCTGAGTTTAACTATTCCAGATACCTCGTATACTTGGAATCATGCAATATTTGCCCTTCTGTGACTACTTATTTCGATTACCATAATGTCTTCTAGGTTCATCCAGATTGTTGTAAATGGCAAGACTTCCTTCTTTTTTAAGGCTGAATTATCTTTCACTATGTGCGCATACAACACTTTATGAATTTATCTGATGTTTCTTTTTATAAAACCAGTGCTTTCATATAGCATTGGGTTTTTAAAATGCACATTTAAAAAAAATAGAAGACTAATGATCTTTTTACTTCTGATTCCATCTGGATGGAGTGAATCCTTGTACTCACTTACCTTTTGAAAAGACTTCTGAAACCAGATACTGTTATTGAAAGTCAACGCTACCATAGAAAGTGCCCTCTTGCTTCTATTTGGAATGGTCGGGGAACTAGTCCTGCATTAAGGGTGCCTCTCCCTGGGCTGTGTGGTATAGAAGGTGCCCAATAGCTCACAGCCTTCAAATGGCTCCTCCACCAGCCTGCTCTGTGTCCATGGTGCCCCCTATTGCATTAACCACTGTGACCATCAGTGCTCTGTAAAAATGCACATGGCACCCAGGAGGCAAAGTAGAGGTAGACTCCCATCCATAAACCATCATGGATTACATGTCACACTACTGGAAAAAGAGATAGCAGAGTTTTGGCAGCAACAACCTCTCATAAAATCACATAGGCTCAAGAATCAATCTGGCAGAAGACAGAGTAATTGCAGGAATTTTTGAACTACTGTTATGTACGGTCCATGTTTTGTATTGAGAAACCAGAGGAGCTGTGTACTTGGAGGACTTGCCTAGGATGCTGGGGCTTTGCAGGACCCATTTTCCCAGAAATAAAGCTATAGAGATGAAACTGTAAAAAATAAATAAATGAAATAAAAGTGGAATTTCCCGAAGTCATTGATTCAAAAGAAAGAGGGGTGGGGATTGACAATGGAAGTGATGAGACATATCAGCACACACCCATGACGGGTTGGAAGTGGGCAGAATTCTTCAAACTAGGCTCTGGTAATGTTTATTCCTTCAGCAGCTATTACACAACTAACCCTGTGCTAATCATTGTCACATATGCTTTGTGCCTGTTTCTTCATCTCTAAACCCAACCAAAAGCCTTTAAGAGTAGAAATACCATAGGTATTTCACAGGCTGTGTGCCCAGGGGAGGTAAAGAATAATTGTGGACCTAGGACAGCTGTCAAGCCTTGGTTCAGAGATGTTCACCTTGGGATCAGAGGGTGAATTTTGGACCCAAAGAAAGAAAAGAACCTTGTATCCCAATGTGTCCATTAGGATTAGGTTTCACAGTGCCTGGATGGTGGCACTAGAAGTGAGATAGAAATTTATGTCTTTCTCCAGGAAAAGAGCCCGAGAGATAGGAAGTTTGGTCTTATATGGATGCACTGTGGTTATGAGAGACCCAGGATCTTTCCAGCATCCCTGGCTCTGATTATGGAGGGCTGCCCAGGGGCCATGTTAAAAGCATCAGAATGGAGAAAGAAAGAAAAAGCTATTCCAGAATCTCACACAACACCTGTTTCCATCTCTTTGACCAGAACTTAGCTGTGTAACCACACCTAGCTGCCAGAAATGCTTAGAATGGCAGTCTTTGAGCACCCTAGCTATTCCTCCTGGAAATGTGCCCACCTAAAAACCAGGATCCTGCTATTTGGGAATGAAAAGGAAATTGAATATTTGGTAAAGGGAGATGGAGAGAGCTTTAATTGCAGATTAAGAAACAGAGGCCCTTGGGGAAGAGGCTGTCCAGCTTGCTTAATAGCAGACTCTGATCTAGTCTCCCCAGACCCCTGGCTCCCCAGCTCCTCCTCCATTTCTGCTACACTCAGCTCAGCTTCCTGTAGTGACCAGCTATGTTCGTGGACAAGAATTTGGCCCCTTGCCTTTGTGGATGTCCCTGAGATCTTACAACCTGACAAGCAATTTCGGGCTCTATGAACCTCCTTAAAGAGTACAAGCCTCCATGGTCTGTCTTTGCCTGCAGTCCCAAGGCCAGAGAACCATCTTGTCCTTGTCTCATATGCACACAATGCACACACATGGTTTGCTTTCTTTTCCTGGATGGTGGCCTTTTATTTCTGCCACTCATATAGCACACTCTGCCATATCCAGTGTCTAAGAGCTGAGATAAATGACTCTAACCTGTACAAAGGAGATGCTCAAAAACTGTGCATTGACACAAACTGAAATAAATCGTTAGGAGGAATAGAGAGATAAAACCAATGCTCCCTAAAAGGATGACTTCGAGAGGTAATGTCCATGTCTAATATATTGGGGCATCAAGAGATAACCTACACAGAACTAGATGCAACTGCAAACCATTCCTTTGAGATCTGGCTTGCCCCGGAATCTGTTGCAGGCTTTTCATGGAGATCTCAGGCTTCACAAAAAAAAAAAAAAAAAAAAAAAAAAAAAAAAAAAAAAAAAAAAAAAGATGGGGTCTGCTCTGATATCAGGTATGGTGCCTTTAACAATCATGGTTGAGATTTACATCTTCTTGGAAAATGCCCCATTACAAGATGCCCACCACCCTTCTCTTGGGGGTTAATCTTTTTCAAGAGACAGAGTCTCACTCTGTCACCCAGGCTGGAGTGCAGTGGCACGATCATAGCTCACTGTAACAGTCAACTCCTGGGCTCGAGTGATTCTTCTGCCTCAGCCTCTCAAATAGCTGGGACCACGGGTGCACACCACCGTGTCCAGCTCATTTATTTATTGCTTTTTTCTTTTTAGAGATGGAATCTTGCTATGCTGCCCAGGCTGGTCTCGAACTCCTAGCCTAAAGCACTCCTCCCACCTTGGCCTCCCAAAGTGCTAGGAATATAGGTGTAAGCCACCGCATCTGGCCTTGGTGATCAATCCTGAGTATGAATGGAACCTCGTGCATGGATCCTATAGACCCTAGAAGCCTCCCTCCCTATTCTCCAGCAGCTCCACGTCCTCAGTTCATCACTAGATTCTAGGTGCCATGAATCAGGAACCTCATCCAGTTTCACTGACCATTATACACCTAGCATCTTCCACAGTGTCAGGCACTCAATATTTAACTTTGAATAAATAAATAAATCTATTCTTTTACCTACCATGTAGTAGATCACACAAAGCACTGTTTGTCATATCACTCCATTAAAAACTATCCAAGTGACTCCTCATTTCATGAAACAAATCCAAATTCCTCACACCCATCTTCTGTGTGCCCACTGACAAACCTTTCTTTCCTATCCCACCTGGAACTCCTCCTGCTCCCAGGCTGGTTCCTCTCCAACCCTTCCACATACTGTGTTGAGTACAGAGTTTCATCTTTATTCTTGAATCTTTACCTCTTCTTCCCCGCAAGCCCCCATCCTCTGAGGCCCCAACGTAAGTCAAATTCACATACTCTTCCATCCCTAAATCCAGCCAACAACAACTTCCCCTGACTTTATATTAGAATCAGAATGTTTCACATTTGCATTGCACTTTATGGGTTATGCAAAGCCCCTTCACATTGAATATGCCACTTGGTTGCTTCCAAATTCTAGCTCCATCCTACAAAAGTGGCTCAGATAAGTTAGGTGACTGATTCTAGGCTCTGAGTCCAGAATGGCAGAGCAGAGACTCCAGCCTTGGCCATTCTATTGCAGGAGCAGTGCCCTTCAATGGGGCCCCACGGCTCCTCGTGCCACTGGACCTCGATGGCCTGCCTGTCTTTGCCTGCAGCCTAATGGCCAGAGAACCATTCAATGAGCACTCTTCACCATGAGTGACGATGAACACGCAGAAAGAAAGGACCGCCGTCAAGGAGAGGAATGCAAAGCATTTGCGTCATGTGTCCACCGTGTGCATATGAGAAAAGGACAGGATGGTTCTCTGGCCATGGCACTGCAGACAAAGGCCATGGAGCCTTGTACCCTTCCAGGAGGTCCATATAGCCTCAAATTGTTTGTCAGGTTGTGAGATCTCAGGGACACCCACAGAAGCAAGGGACCAAATTCTTGTTTATAAACATAGCTGGTCACTACAGGAAGCTGAGCTGAGTGTAGCAGGAATGGAGAAGGACCCAGGGACCCAGGTGTTTGTGGAGTCTAGATCAGGGCCATCTACCAACCAAGCTGGGCAGCCTCTTCCCCCAGGGCCTCCGATTCTTTATCTGCAAAAATGCTGTTTGGATTAAAGATCTCTCCATCTCCCTTTCAATGAAAATGTGTCCTCTGTTTTTGAATTATGTTTCCAGGGGTACAGCGTCCCATCCAAGGGGTCACTGCCAAATCATACTTAACTGTCCTGGTCTGTGCCTTCTCTACTCTGTCCTTGCATCTGCAAGATTCTGGAAGTTCCCTCATTTCCTGACTCCACCCACCTGCTTCATAAAACACTTCTCTGACCAGCCCCTGTGAAATCCCAGAACACCCCACCACCGCCGCCCACAACCCCTTCACCCAGAGCTGGCGCCCCTCCAGGACCCTGCAGGTGTCAGTGCAGGCTGTATCGTTTGTGAGCGCTGCCACCTGCTGGATGTTCTGCCTCTGGGCGCCCCAGCTGGGGAGCATGCCCAGATGCCAGCTCCAGCTCCTCCTGCTCCCTGGGACCAGCCATGCATCACGGCAAGTGCACTCGTTTGTTATTTACACGATCGTCCCCAGGACCCCATCTGTTACCCTGGACCCTTTTTCTGATGTAATTGAGATTTTTTAAAGTTAGATGTATGAGAGCCCCATGTCTAATCACTCAACCCCGCACGTCCAGGCTCCAGGCTCCCGGCTCCCGGCCAAGGTTCTGCGAAGATAATAAATACCAGGCACTAAAACTAGCCCGTCAGGCCATTGGACAAGTGTTCTAGGAACGAGAGGAGCTTGTGGCTTGGACCTAGCAGGTTGTCTCGTGGCTCTTCCTGGAGCCCAGGCTGGGGGCGTGTCAGATATTTAATTCTGCTGGTAACCCGTGGGAAAGGCACAGAGATAAAGCAATAGGTGGTGGCTTCACGCTGTCCAGAGCTGCCTCAGGATTTGCCCTGATTAAACCTGTAATCACCCCTTCACCTGGGGAGGCCCTGACCTAGATACTTAAAAAATGTGGGGAGTGAACATGACAGCCATGGAAATATTAAAATCTCAGAATGTTAGAGCTGGAAGAAATGGTATGGATCATCTGAGTTCACAGAATGCAGATGAAAAATCCCCCAAGAGGTGAGTCACTTCCCAAGTTCAATCAGTCCATGATTTGTAGTGCTGGCACAAGATCCGGTGTCACCTGATAGCCCAGTGCTCCTGTCCACTGCTCAGTGATAGCTGACAATAGAGGCAGTGGGAGCAGGTGGAGCAGAAGAGCACAATTAGAGGACAGAAACCTGGTATCTAATTTTATCAAGTGGCTTGGTGCAGGTTGAGTTGAGTTTCCACAAATATAGAATGTTTCTAAGACCACGCACACAAGGCTTTTGAGTGTTCCAAAGAAAATAATAGAAAGCACTTAGCATAACATGCTTTACTTGGTAAATGCTGAGTGTATATATATTAGCTTAGATTACCTATTCATAATACTAATAAGCCTGTCTGTGCACTTGGCCACAAAACAATAGGCCCATGCCTCTAGGCCTTCATCATTTAGAGAAGAGGAAGGGCTTCTATCATTCCATGAATAAATAGTGTAGAAGCCTTGTAAGAAGGAAGGCTACTACACTATTTATTACCTATCTACACTATTTATAGACTGTTTATGCTATCTGTAGAACAGAGATCCACATGCAGCAGTTACCCAACAAGATCACAGTTCTTCACAGGTAACACCAAGCAATAAGCCAAACTCAGGTGTTGGTTGTAGCTCCAGGCTATAAACTCAAGCATCAAAGGTGAAAATCTATATCCAATCATCATTCTATGATCGGATTCTGGGAAACCAGAAAAAGCACCTAATTAACAAAGAATTACATCATACTTACTGTAGGCTAGGCACTGTTCTAAATGTTTTACAACAATAAACTAACCTAACTTAATTCAATGAGAAAATGAAAGCAATAAGAAGAGAATGTTCACAAGTTCCTGCCACCCATCTATACATCCATCTGCATATACCTACCCTCCCTTCTCTCCAGTCCCTGTGGATGAGCCATCTGTGCCTTTCCTGTCACCTAGATCCCAACCCCCTTACCTATTCCAAATCTTTGTCCAGCAACTCTCCTCTCACTCTCCCCTATCAGCCTGGGTCATTTGACATCATCCAAACTAACATAAAAATCTGCTGTGTTTTTCTCTTACTGAAAACTAAAACAAACAACGCACACACACAAACAAACCCTCTCTTGACTCCACTTACCTCCAACTTTCATTTCATTTCTCTCCTTTGAGTAAAATCCCTGGAAGAGTTCTTTGTACCCATTGTCTCCAATTTCTCTTCTCAACTTACTCCAAGCAGTCTCTTACTTCCAGCACTCCACCAAAGCTGCTTGTCAAGGTCACGAATGACATCTACTATTCCAAGGGTCTAGCTCAGCCTTCATCTTCCTTGATCTATAAGCAATATTTGATATAGTAGACCAATCTACTTATTTTTATTTTTATTTATTTATTGAGATGGGAGTCTCACTCTGTTGCCCAGGCTGGAGTGCAGTGGCATGATCTTGGGTCACTGCAACCTCCACCTCCCAGGTTCAAGCGAATCTCCTGCCTCAGCCTCCCAAGTAGCTGGGATTACAGGCATGCACCACCATGCCTGGCTATTTATTTATTTATTTATTTATTTATTTATTTATTTATTTTTTGTACTTTTAGCAGAGACAGGGTTTCACCATGTTGGCCAGGCTGGTCTCGGACTCCTGACTTCAAGTGATCTGCCCATCTCGGCCTCCCAAAGCAATTTACTTAAAACATTTTCTTCTCTTGGTTTTCAAGGTATCACACTCACCTGGTTTTCCCCATACCTCTCTGACTGTTGCTTTTTCAAACTGGTTTGCTGATTCCTCATCATTAACTCCTAAATACTGATGATCTGAATAAGTTTTATGGCTTAACTATCATTGCTAAGCTAGTGATTTCAAATGCACATATTCACCCATGACCCCTCTCTGACTTCCAGATACATTTAACTAGCAGTCTTTCATGTTTACCTTTATTTAACATGTTCAAAAACTAAGATCCAAAAATGTTTGCTCTCATACCCCCATATGATTCATCAGCATAAAAGCCAAAATACTTCTTATGTTGTATAAGGCCCAATTCAAATAAAGCTAATTGTACTAATAAGTGAATTGAGCAAGAGTGCAGTATACAGAAGCAATATTCAAAAATCAAATTTTTTCTATATGACAGCAATGAACAATTAGAAAATAAAATTTTTAAAAATACTATTTATAGTAGCTCCAAAAATATGGCACACATAGGTACAAATTTAACAAAATGTATACAAGATTTATACACCAAAAACTACAAAATACTGCTGGGAGAAATTTAGAAGGCTTAAATAAATAGAGAGTATAGTACTCACAGTTGGAAAGATCCATATTGTTAAAACGTTAATTTTCCCCCAAGATGATCTATGTATTCAATGCAACTTCTGTTAAAAGCTGAGAAGACTTCTTGGTAGAAATTAACAACCTCCAGGCCGGGGACGGTGGCTCACACCTGTAATCCCAGCACTTTGGGAGGCCGAGGTGGGCGGATCCTGAGGTCCGGAGATCGAAACCATCCTGGCTAATGCGGTGAAAGTCTGTCTCTACTAAAAATACAAAAAATTAGCCGGGCGTGGTGGTGAGCACCTGTAGTCCCAACCACTCAGGAGGCTGAGGCAGGAAAATGGTGTGAACCCGGGAGGCAGAGCTTGCAGTGAGCCGAGATAGCGCCACTGCACTCCAGCCTCAGCGACAGAGCAAGCCTCCATCTCAAAAAAAAAAAAAAAAAAAAAGAAAAAAAAAGAAATTAACAACCTCCAAAGAACCAAATAGTAAATCAATTTTCAAAAAAGGGGATAGACTTGAAAAGCTTAAACTATTTGATTTCAGGACTCACAATAAAGCAAGAGTAATCAAGACAATGTGGTATAGGTGAAAAAATGCTTTATAGATGAGTAGAACAGAATAGAGAGTCCAGAAATAGAGTTACAAATTTACCATATTTACCGTAAGGTAAATTGATTTTCAAGAAGGCTGCCACGGTAATTCAAAAAGGTAATTCAATAGTTCTTTTGATACACTGTGCTAAAACAACTAGATAACTGCATTGTAAAAAATAAATAAATAAATATATGTTAACCCTCAATTCACACTATATGCTAAAATTAAGTTGAAATAGATAACAAACCTAAAGGTTAAATCTAGAACTAAAAAAAATAAATAAAAATTAAATTCTAGAAGAAAACAAAAGGAAGTCTTTAGAACTTGAGAATCTTTAACATCTAAGCAAAGATTCTTTAGAACACAAAAAGCATTAACTATGCAAAAAATAAAATACATTTTACTTCATCAAAACTAAGACCATATACTCTTTGAAAGGTACTATTAGGAAAGAGAAAAGGCAAGCCACAGGCTAGGAGAAAATAATTCATGGACTGCATAGATCTGACAAAGGACTTACATCAAGAAAATATTTTTAACATTATTTCAACTCAATAGGACAAAAAAATTATTTTAACAAGCAAAAGATTTGAACACTTAACAAAAGAAGTTGTATAAATGATCAAAAGCATGTGAAATGGTGTTCAACATTCACGGTCATTAGATTAATGCAAACTAAGACTACAATAATATATTACTCTACACCCACTAGTACGGTTTAAATTTAAAAGACTGCCAACAACAAGGGTTGGTGAGGATATGGAACAACTGGAACTCACATTCATTGCTGGTGGACGTGTGAAAAGCCATGACCACTGTGGAAAACAGTGACAGTTTCTTTAAACTTAAACCAATACTTACCTTATGGTTTCCAGCAATTCCACTCCTGGATGTAAGAAAACTGAAAATATATGTCCACAAAAAAGAACTGCACATTATGTTCATAGCAGATTTATTCATAGCAGCCCCAAATTATCAACAACTCAAATGCCTCTCAGTAGGTGAAAGATTAAATAAATTATGGTATATCCACATAATAGAATTCATATAATGGCAGTAAATAGAAATAAAGTAGTGATACTGACAACAATATGAATGAATCTCAAAAGCATTATGTTGAGTGACAGAATACAGACACAGAAGAGTACATACTGTTCCTTTCCATTTGTATGAAATCCTAGAAAAAACAAACTAATCTGTGATGGCATATCAGTGATTGCTTGGGGCCAGGTATGAACTATAAATAGGGATACTTTTAGGGGATGATAAAAATGTTCTATATTTTTATTGTAGTGGTGATTATATGAATGTCTTCATGTCTACATTTTTTAAAACCTACCGAATGGGTATATTTTATGAAAATCATAGTTCAATAAAGTTAGTTACAAAAACAAAAAAAAAAACAAAAAAAAAAGCCCAGATTTTTACTATGACCTAAATGGCCCGACACAGTCTGGCCTGACGATTGCCTCTCCGATCTCACCTTCTATTATTCTCACCCTTATTATCTTCACCAGCTTCAGAGTCCTTTTACCTGCTATTCTCTCCATCTGGAATGTTTTTGCTTTAGATATTCACCTAGTTGGACACCTTATGCTCTCTGATTCTTTACTTAAAATATCATTTCTTTCAAGACGCTTTCTATGAGCACACTAACTCATCTCAAACCTTTCTCTCATGCTTTCTACCCCTTTTCCTGCTTTAGCTTTTCTCTCATGCTGATAGAAAGTGTGGCTTTCTATGACCACACTATCTCATCTCAAATCCTTCTCTCTCATGCTTTGTACCCCTTTTTCTGCTTAGTTTTAGCAGCTCTCACTGCTTTGCAACATACTGATTTAGCCTGGTTATTGTCTGTCTCATCCCATGAAGAATTTAAGAATTTTAATTCAAGAATTTATGCTCCATGAGGTCAGATATTTTTGTCTGTTTCTCTTCACTGCTATTTCCCTAGAGCCTGAAATGATGTCTAGCCATGGCAGACATGGCCAGCTGTGGCAGAGATAGCCAGCTATCCTGCAAAGAGTCTCATAAAATACATAAAATACATATGTCCCTGTGCACAGCCAGGGACAGCATTTCCCAGCTGCCTTCCTCCAAGTGTGTTGCAGGACAATTCTTGCTAATGAAACGTCAATAAAAGTGATATGTGCCACTTCTAGGTGAAAGTGGGTAAGATGTAAGTGGGGTACACCTTCATCACCCTCTCTTTCAACAACCACCAGTTGGAAATGAAAGAGTCTGAGAACCTAGTGGATGGGGCAGCCACAAGATGGAAGGAGCCTGGGTCCCTGAATCATGACATGGAAGGCATGCGGCAGAACATTCTAGACCTTTATGTGGAGAAAAAATAATTAACTTTTATTTTTCTTAGGTGAGGAAATTCATTTGCCACAGCAGCTATTATTACTCTAACTAATAACTGGCACAGAGTCCGTGCTCAATAAATATTTTTGGAATGAACAAATAGATGTCATTAAAGAACAATACATACGTTCATAGTAAATATATAATCTAGTATCACACCATGTAACAGCCCATGCCATATTGCATACTAACAATGCACTACTGGCTACTGACTGCACCTGGAAGTACAGTTAGCAATTTCATCAATTAGGCTCTGTTTGCTGGAAAATAATCATGTGTGAGCTTAATTAAAACTTTTTGCCTCAGTGACAGTTGTTAGTACATTGAAAGTATGGGCTGATACTGAGATACAGTGTGAAAATAAAACATAGCAATGATAATGCTTTCCTACATTCACTATTCATGAACACTGTTGGCAAAAACAAAGGAGAGGATATTACTTAAAAGCCAGAAAAGTAGATATGTGATGAAAATGTATGCAGAATCCCCAATGAACATACATTCTAACCATGAGGCAGGAGGGTGGGGAGTTATGTGGGTCAACTACCCCTCATTTAAACACATACCCTGTAGATGCAATGTACTGGGATCTACAGAATTTGAAAGGACCCTTCACCCACCCACCCCAACACAACGCAGCCTCGCAAAGGACTTACTTTGATTCTTTATGACCATCAGGTGAAGTTTCAGGACTCTGGGACAGAGGCTCTGTATAAGATTCATCAAAGTGACTTTACTGCTCATTCATTTCCATTTAAGGAAAAGTTAACCAACGTTCAAATAATATTTGCACACTCTCAGTCCTTGCTTAATTGAGATGACTTTCAATCCGGTCTTCCGAAGTTGAAATATTTAGGAGAATCCTGTTCACACTCCGTAACCAAGGTCCATGGGCATGAGAAACCATCTGTTCTGAAGGGGTTGGGTAACTGGACCCCCATTCCCGTCTTCTCTGGACAAAAGCCGTAGGCCAGTGGCAACAACCAACCACCAACTTTCTTACCCTGTTTGGGGCACAAAATTGTCGTTATTCTCCAATATAAATACGAAGTAGGAAGTAAAAATAATGTGGACCGAGAGAGATTTCTCCCAGGAATTTTGCAAACTTTACGTATTCTTTCTCCTTGTTTCATTATATATAATATATTCTGGAAAGGACTCTATGAATCTTAATGAGACCAACTTGGAAAAAAGAAACAACAGTTTGGGTTTGTTGATACCATATCACTCTCATGAAACAAAAAGAAATATTACTTACATAATAGGTGTCAGGGAATCTACAGGACCATAAATGGGTTATTTTTTAGACTCTTCTTTACAAAATGAAGTTACATTAGCAAATTTTGAGGTCAAGGACAATACTTCATATTTTGTTTGCTCTTCTGTAGAGCCTAGCACAGTACTGCATACAGTAAATATTTAGTAAATATATATGGATGGATGGAGTCACATCTGTGACTACTTGTGTTAAACTTCCAACAGTAGCTGCCTAATGTCCACAACTTTGGAGAATTCACCAATTCATTGGCAATGCCTTGGTGTACATTTTCTTCTACTTATCTTTTTGCTTAATTAAGATCTTTGGCCTCAATCAGAGATGTCAGGGCGTGAACATATTTGTCAAGGCTGCTGCTGGGTTGACGTGTGAGATGTGGATGCCTGAATACCTGCCTGGAATATGAGCAGCATTCATTGGCTAACAGCCCATAACAAAGGTACAGAATAGTCCTTAGTCAAAAGACTATCTTTGGGAGAAAAAAAAAAAAAAAGAGCAATCAAAAGTCACAACTCATGAATTTCTAATAGTTTGTTAGTGAATGAGTAGTTCAAATGTCACCAAGGTCTCACTGACTTGCAGATAGAAATAAAGTAACAATAAATCAGTAATTTGTAGTTCCTGTTCTTCTTCCTCCATGGAAATTCTAAACCTATCCTCAAAAATTTCCGGGAGCCCCAGATGCAGATTTATCTTTATTCACAAACCTGTGTGTCAGGCACACTCCCCAAAGAGCACCTCCCATATCCTTCCCTGTCTTGGAGAGAGGCCACTCACAGAAAAACCACCTAAAAGCCTCATCGCTGCCACAGCGGAGTCCCAAGTTAAGGGAGAAAACGGACAAAGTTCACCTCCTTCTGGCTTCCTGTTTCATTTTGTCCTACATTCCCCAGAAAGCCCTCAAAATGTCTCCTACAGATAACCTTTTTTTTTGCTTCTTACCCTAGCCCTTCTCTTCCTAGGAGCCTTTGGCTATTTCCAACAAGAGGGGAAGGAAACAGAACTTGGGACTCTCAGCTGTGGCAGACAAGATGTTATCTCTTCTTTTTCTTCTTTTCTCTTACAAAATCATGTCTTTTGCAGGAACGTGGTTGGAGCTGGAGGCTATTATCCTTAGCAAACTAAGGTAGGAACAGAAAACCAAATACCGCATGTTCTTATTTATAAGTGGGAGCTAAATAATGAGAACTCAGGAACAAAAAGAAGGAAACGACAGACACTGGGGTCTACTTGAGGGTGAAAGGTGGGAGGAGGGAGAGGAGCAGAAAAGATAACTACTGGGTACTGGGCTTAATACCTGGATGATGAAATAATTTGTACAACAAACCTGCATGATGTGGGTTTGCCTATGTAACAAACCTTCACATGTACCCTTGAACCTAAAAGTTTTAAAAAATATTTCTTCCACTTTCTTCTGATAAAACAAAAGTTCCACAGTTAGTAGAAGGCACTAGAGCTTGAAGCTGAGGAGGTGCAGTGAGTCATTTCTCTCCCAATTCTTGGCCCTTCCAGGACATGCCGATATCGGTGCAAATGAATCCATTGCTATGAAATGCACACACCTACAGATGGTGACACGTAGGTACAGCTGGGGGAGCAGACCTCACCCCAGCATAACTGCCTGGAGAAAGCCACAGGGATGATCGGCAAGTTTTTACACCCCCCACAACCACATCTCATCTCGCTGGTATTATTGATAAGATGAAGGAAAAAACCTGTCCTCTTGGATTGGTGGACTCTTTCTTGTGTCCACTTCAGCCACCGGTGACTCAGAAGGCTGGCAAGACCTCTTCCTCCACTCATTCGTGAGTCTTCCATCTCAGTTCCTCTGGCCTGTGTAATGTTGTTTCCCTTCAACTGTGGTCCTGTCCAGTCCCTGCCCCTCTTCCTCCCCCATCCTTCAATTCCTTCTTCACCTCGTCTTCCTCCCACCTCCTTCCCTTTAGGTCCCTTTTCTTGAGAAGCCACTCCTTCCAGCCTTCCCACCATCCTCTGCCATCCCATGGCTCTTCTTCACTCCCTCTGCCCAGAAAGCTTCATTTCTCTCCATCACGCTGGTTTCACTAGTGCAACTGAGCCTTTTCTTCTTATTTTCTAGAAACACTCAATAAATCCACAATGCTTCAAATAAATACCAGGTGCTCAAACCCTTTACAGCAAGAATCCCCTCATGAGGCTGGACCTCTGGGTAGAATGAAGTGTGTGTTCCTCCCCATCACTCTCCCAGCCCCTGTCACCTCTGTTTCATCACTTCAGCTTCTGTTAGTTTTCGGAACCTTAAGAGTCTCCTTGCTGCTGCTTCTGCAAATTAAGAGGATGATTTTGAAGGAGAGCCTTCAACCCAGAATCCTAACATCCTGCTAAGGAAGCTGTGGTATAATGAAGTGCTGCTGTGATGGGGGAAGAAGGGTTTCTAAGCACATGTGTGCATGCACATATACACACACACCTGCTGTGCAAAGCCAAGTGCCAGCAGGAAGCTAATGGCACCCTAAGCTGGGCTGAACTCCGAAGTCAGAGGGGACCATCCCTCATCCCTGACACTCACAGTCCATTAATATCTGCTTATGCTCTGTGGCAGAAAGAAGAGAATATAAAGAAGAGATTCCCTCTGAGTTTGGATGTGTCAGCATCTCTTATTTCCCCCAACCCATACAAGCAAGGAAACACATAGCATTCCGAGTTAGTAAAATGATATACAAAATAGTTTCTGTATGATACACACTCTAACCCCAAGCTTTTTATTCAGAAAACAGAACAGTAGCTAGTGATTTTTTCAAGGCCACACTGCTAATTCATGGCAGTTACAAGAAGAGACTTAGAAGAGGTGCCTGAAATCTCTGTCCAGGGCTCTGTCTTAGGTAGCACACACCTGGAGTGAGGTCAGCTACTGACTAATTTGTCACTACTCTACCTTAGCCATTTAGGAACAAGTTGAAGCTGGCCATTAGCATTTATAGGAGGGGCTCGATTCCAGAAAATATGGTTTGTGGAAAACCACATGGAAGAACAAAAAGATAAATTGAGAATGGCTATTAGTGTTTAAAAAAAAAGGACTCTCTATTTCATAAAATGATTCACCATAGAATTCCCATGAGCAACAAACACTCCCATTACATTAAAATATGATCCTATTTGCCAAAATTCTCGTTTTATACAACTTTTTAGGAACATGTTATTACATCAAGAAGTACAGAGCTGCCTAAATAATGTGCAAACAGCATCCCTGGGGGAAGTTCAATTGTAGAACCGAAGTAAATTTTCATCTGTGTTGGTGAGACATGCCCCAAAACATATTCAAAGGGTATTAATCCAACCTGGATTGACAGGCTGTTATAAAAAATAGAAATCTCAAGTGTAAATAAGAGATGAACTTCAGTATTAGTCCCTCCATTTGGGGGTGGAAGGAAGGGGCTCTGAGAAGCTGGAACCAGGTCAGCTTGAATCTCAAGAATGGAGAAGGACTAATGAAGCTGCGTAATAATGAAGTCTTGCCATGTTGAAGAAGTGTTTCTAGGCACATGTGTGCACACACATGCCCATACATCCATGCCATGCAAACCCAGGTGCCAAGAGGAATTTTTCTATTTCCTATTACTGTTTAAGCAACATGGGAGACTTCACTATTGGCCAACAATATGAAAATAGCATTACTTGAGCAACTGCTAATGCCAGGCATTGGGCATACACAGGAACTTCAAATGCGCTGTCACCCATTTCGGCCCCACCACCCAAAGTGAAATGTTCATTCCAAGCTGAATTTGTATGCCCATGTTCTCTCCCTCTCCGTGCAGCACACACTTTGTCAAAACAAGGGACAGTTCACGACCTCAGAGCTACGCCATTCAGGAGCAAGATGAGATGAGGACTGTTCAAAGCTCCCATGAAGAGCCTGCCTCCGCTTTCTATCCCTGATGTGAGTGTGGACAGAGGCTGAGGGGACAGCACAAAGCCCTCCCCTCCATGTCTGAACTGTGCTGCTCAAGGCTGAAAATCTACATGGCTTCTCTTCTCCTGAGGTCCCAAGGCCATGGATAGAGCTTCCTGCAAACATCTGAATGCACAACTTTTTCCTATAAAAAATAGAAGTCTCCGCTGGGTGCGGTGGCTCATGCCTGTAATCCCAGCACTTTGGGAAGCCTAGACGGGTGGATGACCTGAGGTCAGGCATTTGAGACCAGCCTGGCCAACATGGTGAAACCCTGTCTCTACTGAAAATACAAAAAATTAGCCGGGCGTGCTTGCAGACACCTGTAATCCCAGCTAGTCGGGAGGCTGAGGCAGGAGAATCACTTGAACCCAAGAGGTGGAAGTTGCAGTGAGCCGAGATCCTGCCACTGGATTCCAGCTTCGGTGACAGAGTGAGACTCCATCTCAGAAAAAAAAGAAAAACAAATCTCAAGTGTAAATAACCGAGATGAACTTCAGTATTATTTCCTCCATTTGAGAGTGGAAGGCAGGGACTCTGAGAAAGAAGAACTAGCAGGAAAAAGCTGGCAGTACTTTCTACTGCCTCTCCTTGTGTCAAGGCAGCCCCTCTTGTCCCTGGCATCTCTGCAGTCCCAGCAGACATAAGACAGCACTGACCTGAGCCTATGTGTCTCCTGGACCACCTGCAAGATCTCTCTGTTTGGAGTGGTGGCACGCACGACAGCCAGGCCTCCCCAGTCCGCTGCTCTACCTTCACCCGGCCGTGGGTCGGCCATTGGATTTCATTGTATTTTTTCCTAGCTTTCTTCTGCTGGCACAGCGGCTTCTCCACAGTGTCAGTCGAGAAGAAATCTTTTCATTATGGCTCACAGCTGTGATCCTCGGGTTAAAAGAAATTACTCATGAAAGGGCAGCCTGGGGTAGAAAGCAGCGGCATCAGAAGAAACCCCAGCTTCCAAGGGAGAAGGAACTTCAAGGATTTATTGACATGAGGGAGATCACAGCTCTGGCTTCAGGCCTGGCTGCTGACATTTGCTATAGATTTAGGCACTGCAGTTTGGCTAGGAATTATTTTTTAAATCAAGCTAAGAGGTCATAGTGAGGTGTTCTGATCTGCTGATGATGGTTTTGCTGATGCCTGGGCAAAATTAAGAGAGAGTAATGGGAATCATTTTACCTTTCCTCTTCCTTAGCTCCTGTTAGTCTCCTCCTCCCCACTTCTACTCTTTCCGCCTTTGTTCTAATCCCATCTTGAAACTTTTTCTTTTTTCTTGTCCTTCTTCTTGTTCCTCCTGCCTGTCACTACTTCTTTGGAGTGGCCCCAAGAGAAGAGCAGAGCAGAGCCATTCGCGGCCAGAACACCCAGGTGACAGGGTCTGTGTGCAGCCCTCACACCAGGCTTGCCTTCCTAGCCTCCAGTACCCCGCCCAGTACTCAGCTCTGGGAAGAAAGAACCCAGGCACAAGAGACAAAAGCAACCATCCTGCATCACTTACATAGTGCTTCTTAATTTTTAGAGTCTTCCCTAAAGCTGCTGCACCTTTAAAGCTTCACCACAACCCCAAGCAAATCAGCAAGGATGTCGATGCCTCCGTTTCACAGAGGAGCCCACTGATCTCCCTGGAAAATATTTGCAGAGCCAGCAGGGCCAGAGACTTCCAGGAGGAGAACCAGGTCTGGGCTATCAGCTAGGTCTGGGCTATCAGTGTTGAAATCCTAAAGTCTGAAGTTAGAATGAAGAACTTTCAAGATTACCTACTGCAGTTCCTTCACTTTCTGGAAGAAGAGACTGAGGCTCAGAGAGGGAGAGCAGCATCACCGAGGTCACACCTTCATGGTTCTAAGACAAGGCTAAGTCAAAAACCAGTTCTACTGCTTCCTACACCAGGGAGAGGAATACACATCATTTTTCTACTTCCTACTACTCTTTAAGCAACATGAGAGACTCTACTATTGGCCAACAATATGAAAATAGTATTACTTGAGCAACTGCTATTGCCAGGTATTGGGCATGTGCGAGAACTTCAAATGTCCTGTCACTATGCTGTGAGTCTATTTTTTTTAATGATTTGTTTCAAGCAGCTGAAGCTCAGAGATATTAAGTGATTTGTCCAAGATCTCAAGGCTAATGAGTAGAGGCCTGGATTCAACTCCAGTCCCATCTGGCTCTCCAGCAATTCTTTCCACCTTCACAGGGCTGTGGCAGCACTAACTGCTGTCAATAAAAGCCATGTTTCAACAGAATGTTTGCCTCTCAGATCAAACCATCTACCCCTGGGGAAAGCCAGGTGTGGCTGTATTTAGAATCCAGGGCAAAAAGCTCAAAAATGGAGAATGACAGCTTTCTCCAAGAAAGCTTATCCCTCTGTTCCTGGAACTTTGTTTTTGGTTATCAGGAGAGAAAAACTGAGTGGGGCAGGATGTATGTCTTCTAGCTGAGCTGCTAGTGAAAATGTCTTTTCAGGATGCATTTTTGATGGCTTTCAGTGGAATGATTTATGGAATGATGGGAAAGGACTATTCTTTTTTTCTAGTGGATCCCGAGAATTTGGCAAGAGCGGCTGTGCTTGTTTTTCAAATAGCTTTTTCATGCACTGTCCCGAGATTCCACACTGTGCCTGCTGCTATGGATTGTTCAAGCACCCTGCTGTACCCGCTCTGTCTTGGGAAAGAAAGCCCAAGATAGGGGTGTGAGCAGCACTCATGGATGCTTCCACCCTGTCCTGGGCCCCTGAAGTAGCTTCCTCCCTGGGGTAGAGCTGGTCAGAGAGCCAGTGTCTTCAGGGGCCCAACTGGGAGAACAAGTCAGGCTACTGCATAAATATTTGAGAAGGCTTTAAAAAGCTGTGAACAGATGGGGAAGAATAAAAGAAAATCTTTTTGTGCCCTCTGCTCATTTCTCATACCAGTTTTCTCCCCATTTTAGCATGCACCAGGATCTCCAGGAAAATTCATTTTCTAGATCCTGTCCTCTGAATCATTTAATTCAATAGATTTCCAGGGAGGCCAAAAGCCAGCAGCCAGCACTTTTGCAAATATCCCAGTTAATTCTCATCAGGTGTTCAAGGAGCCACAGTTTGTAGACCCACAACCGAGTGCTTCCAGCAGGGCTATGAGTTTTACTGTGTCCAGAAACAGGCAGATAGTGAGAGCACTTGTCTAGGTGTCAAGAGACATAGCTTCCACTCAACTATCCACTAGAAGAAGGGTCTAGGAAGGGTGGAACCTCAGAAAAAAAAGAAGGATATGATCATTTCTGGAGCTAGAAATGTTACTGACAAGCTAGGTTAGGAAGAGGAAGGAAAGACAGGGCCAATTACAGAATGATTTTTATGTGACAAGTGCTTTACATTTGTTATCTTATCTAAGCTCACAGCAACCCTGTACAATAGATCATTGTAATCAGTGTTTTACTTATAAGAAAAGTATCATAAAAAGAAACTTCCCCAAGTTCACAGAGTTAGTAAATGACAACATCATAATCCAAAACTGATTTACAGTAAAATATTTTTTCTTAGTTATTTTTTCATTCGTGCATTCAAATATATTCACTGCTCATCGACTACATGCCAGATGCTGTACAAACATTTAATACTGTATTGAAAATACAGTATTAAATAAGATAAAGTTCTTGCTCCAATAGAACTTACTTCCTCACATGGAGAGATATCATTAAAAAGTAAACAAAATAATGAAGACAATTGCAGATAGTGACAAAGGCTATAAGGAAAACAAAAGAGGGTAATAAGTGTGAATCCATGTTGATGACACTTAAGCTGAAATCTAAATGCAAGAATAAGCCAGCCATGCCAATGTCCAAGGGAAGAGTAGCCAGAGAGGGGGACAGATTGGACAAGAGCCCCAAATCGGGACTGATCCTCATATGTTCACAGAGATAGAAAGGGCCAGAATGGCTAAAGCAAAGCCAGCAAGGGAGAGAGAACTGAGAAACAAGGTAAGAGGCTGAGGCAAGGACCAGGGCACACAGGCCTATAAGATGGGACCTCAGTCTAAGTGTGATGGGAACCATCCGGAGCTTGTGGGCCAAGGAGTGATAAAATTCAACTTATCTCTGAAAAGCTCACTCTGGATTTTGTGTGGAGGATGCTTATAAAGGGATACAAATAGGACCTGGGCACAACAGCTCATGCCTATAATCCCAGTACTTTGGGAGGCTCAGATGGGAGTATCCCTTGAGGCCAGGAGTTCGAGACCAGCCTGGGCAACATAGCAAGATCCTGTCTCTAAAACAATTTTTAAAAATTAGCCAAGCACAATGGTGCACACATGTAGTCCCAGCCACTCAGGAGGCTGAGGCAGGAGGATTGCTTGAGCCAAAGAGATTGAGGCTGTAATGAGCTATGATTGTGCCACTACACTCCAGCCTGAGAAACAATGTGAGAACCTGTCTCCAAAAGGAAAAAAATTTTAAGGAAGAAAAATAGAGTTCAGAAGACAATCTAGGAGGCTAGAGCAATAGCCCAGGCAAAAGAAGCACATGTGATCTGAGAAGTGGCTGCTTCTCTGCTGTATAGACCACCTAAATGCAATACCACCCCACCACATCATCTCCCGACAAGGTATACACTAGATCAGTGGTTCTCAAAGTGTGGCTGGGGACCCTTGGGCATCCGCAAGACCTGTTCAGGAGGGCCTGAGAGGTCTTCCCTTTCTCAGATATATACCTGTATGAGGCTGGATCATCTTCATATACTTCAACCAAAACAACATATCGTGACAGATGACTTAGGAAGGAAATAACAAAATCTAGCTGTCTTCTACTAAGCCAGACATTACAAAGATTTGCAAAAGTGTAAAACAAAGCCACTCTTCTTGACACATGTGTTGTTTGCTTTGGAAAATATAGTTCTTTTACGGAAGAAAAAAGTGTTCTATTTATACTAACTCACAAGGCATATATTTGTCTTATTTTGAAATGAATTAATAAATTTTTTTGGTTTCTCAGTTATAATGTCTACTTTAACAAATGCCAATTAATATGACCAGCATATCGACCAGGCATGGATAGTTCATGTAATCCCAATAGTTTCAAATGCCAAGATGGGAGGATCACTTTGAGCCCAGGAGCTTAAGACCAGCCCGAGCAACATAGTGAGACCCCATCTCCACAAAAAATTAAAAATTAGCAGCTCATAGTGTCATATGACTGTGGTCCCAGCTACTCAGGAGGCTGAGGTTGGATGACTGCTTGAGCCCAGGGAATGGAGGCTGCAGTGAGCCATGATTGTATCAGTGCAGTCCAGCCTGGGCAACAGAGCAAGACCCTGTCTCAAAAAATAAAATAATGATAATAATAATAATCAGCACATAGCAGAGTATTTTGGATTCTCAATAATTTCTAAGAATGTAAAAGCATCCTGAGACATTAGACCCACTATTTTAATGACCTAAAAGATCCTGGACTGGGAAGGGACAGCCAGGGTATCAGCAAACCTCTGTGAGGACTCCTGGGGGCATGCATTTTCTGAGGCTTCTAGGAGCTTTGCCCTGTTTGATTACGGATTGTCAGTGAAGTCTCCTCTTTGGCTAGGTAGAGACTGCTCTACCAGCTATGGCGGTGGTGGGGAGTCCCCACTGATGCTGAGTTGTCTGGAGGGTGTGCAGTAGTCGCTTTGTGCAAAGGCAGCCATACTAGCAGCCACAGCAATGTTGTGCCAAGGAGAGTGGGCTCTGCAGCCCCTCTCATTGCAATTTCAGCATATGTGCAGTCACATGGCTCAGCCAGCGAGGAGAGAAATCACTGCCTTCTGTAAGGTGCCCCATGTCCCCACGCAAGTACTGTCTGCACTGCTGGATGATAATGAACCCTCAGGGCATTTGTTACCACTTACATATTTCTGAGGTGGATGCTGAGCATGTAATTGCTGCGCTGGGGAAGGCCAGGAGCTGAATGCTAAGTGCAGCTGGATGCAGCAGGGAGGGAGCAGGCTCCAGAGATCACTCCATTCCTATTCTTGTCTGGCAGATTTCCAAAGGGCAGGGCTTCTGAGGATGCCAGGCAATGTTTCGCATCTCCTCGAATCTGGCCAGAAGTTGGGGGCAGAAGTAGGAGAGTCTGGTGGGCAGAGAGGCCTGTATTGCCAAGTCATCCTTTGGAAGCTGGCTCCAGTTTCTGGACTAGGAAACAAAATCCTAAAATGCTAGAGCCAGATGACCCTAGAAATCATCCTTCCTACCCTTTATCAAAACGTATTTCTCATATCACCAATCCACCAGATGATCCAGTAACAAAAAATGTTCTGTGGTCAAAGAAGCTTTAGAAAAACTATACCCATTTCCCAACTGGAGGTTCTCTTGCACATTAACGTAGAAATTTCTCTTTAAAAATGACACAGTGAGTGAGCTGAGATCGTGCCACTGCACTCCAGCCTGGGCAACAGAGCAAGACTCCGTCTCAAAAAAAAAAAAAATGCTGCAGTGAAGAAACCTGCTTAGCTTCATTCTGATACAAATGCTTTAAGGAAGAAAAGGGCTTATCCAAGGTCACATAACAAAATTCAGAATTAGCCTGGCATAGTGGTCCACACCTATTATCCCAGCCACTTGGGAAAGCCAAGGTAGGAAGACTGCTTGAGGCCAGGAGTTCGAGACTAGCCTGGGCAACATAGCCAAGATCCAGTCCCTAAAAAAAAATTAGCTGGGCATGGTGGTGCATGCCTGTAGCGAGATTCAGCCTCAAAAAAAAAAAAAAAAAAAAGAAGAAGAAAAGTCAAAACCTCCCAGATTGTTTGACTCCTAGCCTTGTGATCTTGTCCTGCACCTTAGGGAAAGGAGATCTACTGCTTGGTAAGTTTTCCAAGAACTTCTATCACTGGGAGGTTAAAGACAGAGGTAAAGTTTAAACCATCAACTTAGATCATCCAAAATCATTCCAGCTAGAGGCACCCTCCAGGTGCCTGTAGTACATGAAGGATTTAGGAGTGAAGGGAAGAAAACAGGGAAGAGGTGAATAGAAAAAAGAGACTCTTGTCTGCTAATCCAGGTTACAACTGCTTATCCATACAAAAAATATTTGTCTCTAAGGACAACAACTGAGATTCTTTCATCAACACAAAACTATCAGAAACTGGCTGGGAAGACATGATTTGATGATGTTGTGAATTAGAGTTCTGCAAATATGCATTTAATTTAGAATTAACGGGATGCATTTTTGTCAGTTAATTGAAAAAAATGACTATTAAACACAAATTCACTGATGTTTGACAAGTAGGTAGTAAATACCCGTTTTGCACATGGCAGTTAATTCTCAATAAATATGTTTCTTTCAATAACCGGCTGGTTTTAATTTAACAAATAGATGGCTGTCTGGTGAAATCGGAATTGAGAATCAGGGAACCTTCATGGATAGCAGGGTTCATCACCCCTCACCACCTGCCCTGGAGACTATGTGCATCAGAGATGTGCCAGGATAACCCCTGGAAGTTTGTCCTGTCCGTCAGTAGCACAATTTCCAACAAGCCAAATTCCAAGCAGCCAAGCACCAGGCTCATGAAACAACAAGACTCTATGTATGGCGTGCCTTTTGCTAGGAATTCCATGCCCTTTGTGTAATCCTAGCAAATCACTTAAACATCATGCTCACCTTGAACATCACTTCTGTGAAGCTTTCCCTGATGCCTCAGATCAAGTTCATCCTTCCCCACCAAGCGCTCCACATCCCTTACTATGCACCTCTCTCACAATATTTATAACATTGCATTAAAAATAGAAAATTCCTAAAGGATAGGTTCCTGGCATATGAGAATAACAACTATAAAAACAATAACAACAATCTAGCAGAGGCTGGTATTTGCCTTCCTGATGTCCATTTACCCTTTATATTTAGTCATGGAGCCTGAATTTGACTACCGGCAGCCATAAGACTCTATTTCCCAGCCTCCTTTGCAGACAGATGTGACCACATGATGAGGTCCCAGCCAATGAGATTGAAGCAAAGAGCTGACTTGAGGGATGGACCCTTAAATGGAGCTGACGGGTGTCACCTGTACCTCAATAAAGATGCAGAAAAAGAAAGAGAGCCAGCTCAACTGAGAGTGTTTCCCGCATCCCCACACACACCTCCTCCTCCCTTGGGCTGTTCAGATAATGGACAGGACAGCTGCATCTCCAGCAGCAGCACTGGGTCACGCTATAGCCTTGAGCATAGAAGCCACATACTGAGGATGTCAGAGCAGAAACACAGGTAGAGCCTGGGTCCCTGGTGACTTTGTGACTCAGTCTTATTATTCTTGGACTGCCTGTCTCCGTACTCTTTTGACAGAGAAAAATGAATCTGGGGGCTTTTAAAGCCACTATTATTTAGTTACATACAGCTGAAGTTAATCCTAACAAATACAAATAGCCACAAACATTCATGAACGCTTACAATGTGTGGTTAAGTATTAACATTTATCCTAATGTCACCCCTTTCACAACCCAATGAGGTTGATATCTCTACTGCATAGGTGAAAAAACTGAGGCCCACAAAGTTTAACTAACAAGCTCAAGGTCACATAGCTTGTAATTAATAAGTTTTGAGATGGCATTTAGGGCTGTCTGATTTCAGGTTGGGACTTTTAATGGCATGAAGTACAGCCTCTTGATGAATACTTCTCAAATGAGCAATCCAGTGCTATTCAGAGACTCCATCAGCCTGAGAATGATATCACGACCAGCGCAGCCTCTAACACCTCTCTGGGACTCGGTTTCCTTACTAGTAAAATGATAATAACAGCGACTCTTTATCAAGCACCTTCTATTTTCCAGGAATTCATGTAAGCATCTTACAGGTATGACAGTCCATACTCACAGCCCTGATATGGGACCAATGCCATCCAAATTCCTATTTTATTGATGAGGAAATTGAGACCTAGGAAGGTAAGCAATTTGCTCAAGGTCACACTGTTTGCAAGTGGTCAGTAGAAAGGGAGATGAGAGGACCTAGGTCCATCTGTCTGTCTCTGGAATCTGCCTCTCAATTTCCTGTCAACATCCAAGTATTCCCTTTGTACACATGAGGAAATGGAAGTTTTAACTGCTAAGTGATGGAGTGAGGATTTAAAACTGGGGCCTATTCAACACCAAAGCCAAATACTTTCCCACACTCCTAGAGAAGTCATTGTCTGGAGGGGACGGGACCACCTTCCACTGGCTCTCAGCCCCATGCTGGATGGGTGGAGGATGCCCAGTCCACAGTAGAGCTGCATGAAAGGGAAGTGGAGCTGATGTGGATGCTGCTGGGAGGGAATGAGGGCAAACCTCCATCAGGGCTGAGCGCTCCAGAGCCCTCTGAAGAGAGCGTGGGGAGCTCCCTGAGGCCAGGGCTGTGCAAGCTTCATCCCCTGCTAGGTCTTGCCTCTGGAAGAGCACCAGCCTGGCACTCAGTGAGCATTTAGGGATCACATTCGTTTCCCGCACCTGCTTTAACAAATGGCCACAAACCTAGTGACTTAAAACAACACAAATCTATTTTCTCACTGTTCTGGAAGACACAGTCTGGAATCAAGATGTCATCAGGGCCATCTTGCGCTAAAGGCTCTGGGGGAGAATTCTGCTTGCCTCTTCCTGCCTCTGGTGGCTGCCTTGGCATCCCTTGACAGCACTGCCATCTCAGCCTTCATCATGCAGCATACTTCACTGTGTGTGTGTGTGCATGTGTCCCTCCTCTCCCCTTCTTATAAGGACACCAGTCACTGGGTTAGGGTCCACATGCTATAAAGACACGCCTGAGAATAGGTAATTTATAAAGGAAAGAGGTTTCATTAACTCACAGTTCCACATGACTGGGGAAGCCTCAGGAAACTTACAATCATGGCAGAAGGAGAATCAGGCACCTTCTTCACAAGGCAGCAGGTGAGAGAGAAAAGCCCATGGGAAACTGCCATTTATAAAACCATCAGCTCTTGTGAGAACTCCCTCACTGTCACGAGAACAGCATGGGGGAAACCACTCCCATGATCCAATCACCTCCCACCAGGTCCCTCCCTCAACACTTGTGGATTAAGCAGATTACAATTTGAGATGAGATATGGGTGGGGACACAGTCAAACCATATCACCCCCTAATCCAGTATGACCTCATCTTTGCCTTATTATATCTGCAAAGAACCTATTTTCAAATAAGGTAACAACATTCACTGGTACCAAGGTTAGGACTTGAATATGGCTTTTTGGAATACATGGTTCAACCCATTACAGGGGCCATTTGCTGTATTGGACTGAATATGTTGACTCTCCACAAAGAAATTATTTTCTTTCAAGGAATCATGAAACCAGCGTTCTTAGTGCTGAGTTGTAAAAGTCTCCCACAAAAAACTGTGTCTGTCTCCCTGTGTGTGTCAGTGTGTGGGTATTTGGGTGTGTCTGTGTGTGTCTGTGTATGTCTCTATGTGTGTCTGTGTATGTCTGTATAAGTGGTGTGTATGTGTATGCCTCTATGTTTGTGTATGTCTGTATCTGTGTGCAGGTGTTGGTGTATGTGTGTGTCTGTGTGTGTCTCTATGTGTGTCTCTGTATGTCTGTATCTGTGTGCAGGTGTTGGGGTACGTGTCTGTGTATGTCTCTGTGTGTGTTCTGTATATGCCTGGATCTGTGTGTATGTGTTGGTGTGTGTGTCTGTGTATGTCCCTATGTGTGCCTGTGTATGTCTGTATCTGTGTGCAGGTGTGTGTGTCGGTGTATGTCTCTATGTGTGTCTATGTATGTCTGTGTCTGTGTGTAGGTGTGTATGTGTGTGTGCCTGTGTGTGTCTCTATGTGTGTCTATGTATGTCTATATCTGTGTGCAATTGTTGGTGTGTGTCTGTGTATGTCTCTATGTGTGTCTATGTACGTCTGTGTCTGTGTGTAGGTGTGTATGTGTGTGTGCCTGTGTGTGTCTCTATGTGTGTCTATGTATGTCTATATCTGTGTGCAATTGTTGGTGTGTGTCTGTGTATGTCTCTATGTGTGTCTATGTATGTCTGTGTCTGTGTGTAGGTGTGTATGTGTGTGTGCCTGTGTGTGTCTCTATGTGTGTCTAGGTATGTCTATATCTGTGTGCAATTATTGGTGTGTGTCTGTGTGTGTCCCTATGTGTGTCTCTGTATGTCTGTATCTGTGTGCAGGTGTTGGTGTGTGTGTCTGTGTATCTCTATATCTGTGTGCAGGTGGTATGTGTGTGTCTGTGTATGTTTCTGCATATGTATGTGTGTGCATCTGTATCTTTCTCCAGTGTATATATCTATGTATGTCTTTGTATATGTGTGTGCATATGTGTGTGTCACTCTGTGTGTCTGTGTGTGTGTGTTCCTTTTGGCCTGTCGTAATGATAATGTAGGATTCTACCCTTAGAGATTAATTTCTTGGGAAGTCCCCTAAGAGCATTTGCAGAGTGAAGGGATCTGTGAGGATGGCCGTGTTGATGGGGAAGCACAGGCTGATGCTGGCACATGGAGGCCTGGTGATGCTGCCTGAGTGGGTCCACAGTGGGTACCTGGAAGGCAATACCAGGAAGGAGGAGTGAGGCCTAAAAAGGAAAGAAAGAGAACCATTTCCCTGGGTGAGCAGTTGGGCTCAGTGACTTTTAAGATTCTATGCTGTTTTTGAAACATGAGGCCCTCTAAACCCAGGCCTTCCTGAGAGATGGTTGCCAGGCTCTTAAGTCAATGCTGTCAGAGGTAGGAAGTCCTCCAGAGAGAGGGGAAGGAGAGTGGAGCTGGGTTCCAGTAGCAGCCCTTCTGCTGTTCAGCGGGGAGACCTTACCACAGTCACTGCCTGCTGGATCTGCCTATTCTGTGTCCCATGGGAGCTTTGGGGATGGCCGCCAGGTCTCCCGTGGTCTGGGCAGATTTCCACACTGTCTCGTCACCTCTCCACCTGGCTGACACATGCCCTACAGCTAAAATAGATTTACTCCCCTGGCTGTCACTAAGAAGAGTGGCTCTGAAGTAGCAGCTTCGCTGAGATGGCGGTGGAGAGGGAAGAGGGAGGGAAAAAATGAGAGAGAAGGAACACAGGAGTGAGGCCTCAGAGATTTGCTTCAAGTTGCTGGGAGAGTGGCGCAGTAAAGGGGCCTCCATCAGAAGAATGGCTCTCAGTAGGCAGAGAGGAAGTGGTCCAAATTAACCCCGATAGGAAACTTCACTCTCTACACCGCACGCTACACATCCAGAGTGAAAGCCATCTGAAAATTCTCTGCCACCAAATCAAACCGTTCATTTCCCATTAACGGCCCATCACATGCAGGAGGTATTCTTGGCCCAGGCTATTATGCCTCTGGGTTATTGTTTTAAATTTGAGTCATTACAACAAATTACTGTACTTAGACCTTCTCAAGGAGCTCTGAGGACGTATTGTCACCAGACGTCCTGTTCGCCTGCCTCTCCCGAAACTGCGCCTGCTGGAAGTGGAGGAGAGTGATCCCTTTCTAGATGTTGCCGGGCACTCCAGGTCTCAGGGTGAACTCTAGGGGGTACCCCTGGGCACACTCACCACCCTCCTTGGTTCTCAGTTTCTAAGCCAGCCCTTTGGGACAGAAGACTCCACAACCCAAAATTATCAAAAAGCTGCCATGAACAGGCCTATCCGTGTGCCAAGCACTGAGTTATGCTCAGACCACACACCATGCAGAAGCTCACTGAGTTATGCTCAGACCACACACCATGCGGAAGCTCATACGGGAATTTTGCAGTGAAGAAGAGTGGTTGACACCTGCTCGGGGGGTGCTCTGACTCCATCTTTGGGCTTTGGGAGGCCTGAGCCACAGTGTGTGGAATGGAGGAAGGCAGGGAATAGCAGAGGAAGCTGTTGTCTGGTTGTGAACTCCAGCCACCATACTAAGGTTTGACCTGGAGGCTGTGTCTGCAGGGGTGCAGGTGAGAGAGGTCTCACTGGGCCCATGCAGACATTAGTAATATTCTAGAGACAGTTGGCATTGTGCAGTGTGGGCAGGCAGATGAAGCCCCTCGGTAGGTCCTGGCAGCGGGGCCCACACACGTCCACATTTTACACAGAGACCAAAAAATCAGAACGTTTTCCAGGTCTCGAAATACCACGAAGGCACTTTCAGTCCTCCAGTTGACATGTCTATGGTTAAATTGCCTCCTGTGTTGGATTTTGCACACGTATTCATTTCCATTACCAACTCCAAAGCACCTCCCCTGAATGGATTAAACACCAAATCTTTTGCCTCGACAAATGTTATTTTAAAAATACATAGTATCTATAATACCATAGAGAAATTTACTTTCTAATAAGGGTGTTCCCACTTTTTCCCCAAGTGGTTTCCTAGCTCTGTCAGACACCTATAAGCAGAAGAAAGATAAGTCATCATAAAACCCCTAGAAATTGGTACTGTGATTACCCCCACTTTGCACCTAAGGAAACCAAGGTACAGAGAGGTTAAGTAATGTGCCCAAGGTCACACGGCTATTAAGTGATAGAGCAGGGATTTGAACCCAGAGAGTTGCCTGTAGACTCTTCACGCCTAACTGCTGTGCTGTGCACACTGCCCCTCCATTTATTTTCATAAATGGATGAATCCAAGTGATCATTCTTTCCCTCCCTCCTATCCTGCCTCCTTCTTTTCACAGGGAGCTTTCTCACCAGTTCTTCTCCCAGCTGTCATTATGTAAGAACCTGGATGTGCTGCCAGAAGAATGTGAGACCACACAGGTGGAAGTGCTTTATAAACTGTAAAGTGCCATAAAAGGAAAGGGATCCGTCATTACTGTCGACTTACGCATTTCAGCATCGCTTCTGTTCCGGAGAGTCTTTATCTCCAAAGAATGATTCCTCATTCTTCCTCTTCCGTCTGTTCATAATCTAAATCCCCATATGTCTTTTCTTCATAACTGGAGCGTGTCCACTTATTCTTTTCCCTAATCTCTGCCAAATGGCTCCAAAAGTCATTCTCGGCGGAGTGTTCCGAGCTCTCCGCAAGTGCCGCTCCTCCTCTTGCCACACCCTTTTCCTAGGCAGACACAATTCCTTCTACGCTGATACTTTTTTTTAACTCTCGTCTGAAGCTTGTTCAACATCCTTTGTGCACTTCTAGGCTTTGCCAGCCCTCCGCCACCCCCGGTAATCTAGTCTAAGAATCCGCATCCAAAATTCTTCCTTTGTCTCTTCCCTATCTTTCCTTCTGCATGTTTCATCTCCCTCCTTTTCTCCGCTCCACGTTTCTTGGCCTTTGCGGTTAAGGTGGTAGCTTGCAGCCCCACGCGCATGGGTAGCAATACCCAGGTTCCAGTCACTGTCACGCTGCTACGGCTTAATCCGTGAGCTTGAGCAGAGCTTCTTGCCCTCCCTGAGCAAGGTCAAGGTGGGAAGGTTGAGCTGACTGAGCCTCGAGTCCTTTCCAGCTTGATGTTCTATTCTCTCAGGCTCTATGATCTCGAAGACCAGAGATGGCAGGGCCCCTCCCTTCAGCTCCAAAATGGATAAATCGAGTATCCATGCTCCTTTCAGGGGATCTGTCTATTCCTTATCAGCACTTCACAACTAATGTCCTGCAGAACAGCTTTCCCCGGCACGCTACCACATGTGCAACAAGAAACGAGCTCCTTGTTGAAATAACTTTAGGAAATGCTGGTTATAAAAAGGCAATAACTGGACTTTTTATTTTACTTTATTTTATTTTAAGTTCCAGGATACATGTACAGGAAATGTAGGTTTGTTACATAGGTAAACCTGTGCCATGGAGGTTTGCTGCACTTATCAACCCATCACCTAGGTATTAAGCCCCGCATGCATTAGCTATTTATTATTATGCCCTCCCTCCCCCTGCTCCCATGACAGGCCCCAGTATGTGTTGTTCCCCTCTCTGTGTCTTGGACTTCTAATCGCAAGACTTCGAGCTCCCTAATCTATAAGTAGGTATCCTGACACCCTGAGAATGCTGGAGCAGTGGTATGGCCCAAGCTTTTGTGAGCGTAACTTTGGAGAAATCCCTATTAAGTTCTCCCAGGAGAGTCCCCTAGATACAAGAGTTTCAGAAGCTCTCTTAGGACCACACTTCCACACCAGTGATCATCGCTCTTTCCTCCCCCTCTGCAGTAGACTCTCTAGGCACAGCAATTGTGCACTGTCCTGTAAGCTTTGAGATCAAAAGCTCATGTCCAGGGTGTGTGGAATGAGATCAGAAGGTTCCTCCGGATCAGGCAGATCCTGCAATTCTCTATAAGAAGGGAGCAAATAAGTCCAACAGAAGAGGTAGATGAATTGTTACCTAGTCAGGCCTTCTTTTTGGAGATATGTTCATAGATGTTACAGCTATTTTTTTTTCCACTTAATGTGGGAGAGGAAGTCCACCTTAAGCTGTGGACAAACTTTTCTGATTGTACAGCACACATACACACACACACACACACACACACACACACACACACACACACTACAAGGCTTTCAGAGTGCAGTAAGCTCCTCAGAGAAAGGTAAAAGAATCTTTAAACAAGGCAGGTGACCACCCCAGAGCTGCCTGAAAACTAGAGCAATTTGACGTCTGGAAGAAAAAATGGCTTTTAGTCACAGAAATATGCATGTAGATATTGAGTTATTCACTTAAAAACACCTGCTTTAAAAACCTCTCTGGGGGAGAACTCCCATCTATATTAGAATTCATAAAACAAAAACACTCTGAGTGTGTTATTAAAATGTTAACATCAGAAACATTGCGAGAAGCCAGAGAGGCTTTGGTTACCCAAAGAGACTGCAAGAAGGGAAATCCCCAAGCAATTACAACCCTCAATAAGCTTTTACTTTTATATGTAAAAACACAGAAATGATTGGAGGATTGTAGATACACAGTTTCAGATTGTTAGGAAAATTTATCAGATCAACTAGCATAAGAGACAGAAAGGGGTGCAAAGGAAATGAACACTGGCTGAGGTCTCCCCGACTACGTGCCAGGAAGTTCGAATGGGGAACTATCAGGCCACGATGACCGCAACCCTGCAAGTGGACCGGGATCTAGTTCCTATATGCAGAAACCAAGCCTCAAGGAAGGTAAATTATCTATTTCCATGATGAACATCTGACTGTAACAGAAGCACACTCTCTTCCTCTCCCACGCTGGCAGCGGAAAGGGCCGATTGAAGTGAGTGGCTCAGTTTCTGCCCAGCTGGGACTTCTGTCGGGGCTCAGCCTAATTCCGCATTGGAGGCATTGAAATTTCAGCATGACAGCCCCCTTCCTGAATGAGAGTCTATGTCTGGGGAATGAACCGTGAGTCCCAGATTTCTCTAATATGTTTTCATGGTGATGCTATGAAAGTCAAAACGGAATAGGAAAATAATTCTTCCAGAATCTCATCGACTCTAAAGGTATAGCGGGAAGAAAATCAATATGAGCTTGATGCCAGATAAACTTGGGTTTGAAACTCAACTCTGTCACTAACTGGCTAGGTGAGTCAGGTAGGCTACGTGACCTCTCTGAACCTGTTTCCATATTCGTAAAAAGGTGTGTGTGTGATTAAGACTGAATAGTAGTAATAATAGCTAACATGTATTTAGCACTTGTTACATGTTCATTTCTTTTCTGTGTTTTTTGCATGTACATATTTAATTTCTGACAATAACTCCGTGGCGGGGTGTTCTTACCCCATTTTACAGATCGATCGGGAGACTGAGGTATGAAATTCTCACATAATTTTCCCAAAACCATATGGATACTTAGTATTACAGGCAGGATTTGAACCCAGGCAATCAGAACACAGAGCTTTTGCTCCTAAGCACTGTGTGCTACCAAATGAGGCAATATTGGTGACAATGCCTAGCACAGGGGCAGACCCTTGATATTTGACATATTTTAGGGACCCTTCACTCTTTTTCTTTGTTGTCCCATTTCAGATTCACCTGCTTTTATCTTGAGGGCCTGAGTCAGGAGTTAACTTCAATCCCTGAAAACCTGGGTCCAATGACTGCAAGAGAAAACATGGTCTAAAAATCCTTATGCCAACTCTGCTAGAGTCCAATCCCAGCTGTCTACTTCGGTCTAGGAAGCATGACAGGCCATAACTTTTCCTACAAGAAAACTAGAGATTCTCTCTAGCCCTGTTCTCACAGTCATGAGAAAAACCAAGACCCCTAGAGAACAAGAAGCTCACCCACCTCCACACAGTTTGTGTAGCAGTGAAGAGAAAACCACAGCAACACAGGGGTGTTCTTTTATTTTATTTTATTCTTTTGTGACAGCATCTCATTCTGTCACCCAGGCTGGAGTGTACTCGTGCGATCTCAGCTAACTGGCACCTCCGCCTCCTGGATTCAAACGATTCTGGTGCCTCAGCCTCCCAAGTAACTGGGATTACAAATGCGTACCACCACGCCTGGCTAATTTTTGTATTTCTAGTAGATACGGGATTTCACCGTATTGGCCAGGCTGGTCTCGATCTCCTGGCCTCATGTGATCCTCCCGCCTCAGCCTCCCAAAGTGCTGGGATTAGAGGCATGAGGCTGTATTGCCTGGATTACCGCACCCTGCCGGGAGTACTCTTAACATGGTTCCTGTGGGGAGGACACAGGAGACAAGGGGCAGTTAGAGGATGGACCATCTCTGAGATTTTAGGAGACACATTACCGAACATGTGGCCAAACTGCTGAAAGTGCCCGAGAGTAGTGGGAGACAGTAGCCTTTTTAAGATGAAATGAGCCTACATTTCCTCAGCCCAATCCTCCGTTTTGAAGGACAGCTTCCCCCAGCAGGTTAACCAAGATAGCAGATAGATGTTTGGATTCTAGATGCCCTGCCAACCACAGTATTCCTGTCCTCTGCCACAGCTCCAAAGCAGAACCTCATCTGCAAGCTACCAACCAGGGCCTCTGGGGGATCCAAGTCAGGACCACCAGCATCTTTTGAAGCCCAAATAAATGAGTAAGGCATAAGAAACATTCCAGGAACATCAGCTTTCTCCAGTAGCCCTAAGGTATGTAAGTGAAATCAAAGTATCAGATGTCTATGGAGGCGCTGAGACCCATAATACTCACTGTACCCACACACCCTTCACTTGAAATGAACGCGAAAGACTGGAAGATACAACTGTGTCTAGGGGTGGCAGTACAGTAGGGGGGCCAGAGGCCAGTCCCAAAACATCCTTTGACTTTTATAACAAGAAAAGCGCTATCATTAATAGCCCAGCCAAGGGCTTCAGCAGGTAAAAGTACTGCATATGAGTTTAATAAAATCATGACTGCGTAGGGGAAAAAAGTGTTAATGAGATACTAGTGTCCATATAAATTGAAAAATAAAAGACTGATCAGAATAACTAAGCCTACTGCTCAGCGTTTCCTGGCTTCATTTCCATCAGTCTTGTCTTTCCCTCTTGAATCTGTGATGTCCTCTACTCTTACGGCTCTGAGTTATTCATGTTGGGCCTGTTCTTTTTATTTATTTTTTATTTTTTATTTTTTTTAGATGGAGTTTTGCTCTTGTCTCCCATGCTGGAATGCAATGGCGCAATCTCAGCTCACTGCAGCCTCCACCTCCCGGGTTCAAGCAATTCTCCTGCCTCAGCCTCCCGAGTAGCTGAGATTACAGACATGCACCACCATGGCCTGCTTTTGTACTTTTAGTAGAGACAGGGTTTCACCATGTTGGCCAGGCTGGTCTCGAACTCCTGGCCTCAAGCAATACACCTGCCTTGGCTTTCCAAAGTGCTGGGATTACAGGCATGAGCCACTGTGCCTGGCCGTTCTTTCTATCTTTTACAAATAGAATAGCAGCCAGGAATTTTAGAACCAAGCGTCTTATGAGTAATCTTTACTTTCTTATATATCACCAAAGAGGATGCTAAGAATCTGAAAGGTAAGTGACTGGTCCAAGGTCACACAGTTGATGGCACATCTAAACTAGAGCCCATGATTGTCAGGGTGGGGTCTGTCTCCTCCACCTCCACGCCTTATGTGTCTACCCAAGTTATTGTTGCACTGTCCTGAATGTGTATACTTGCATCTCTCTCTCTCTCTCTCTCTCTCTCTCTCTCTCTCTCTCTCTCTCTAACATTCAAATAGATATAATTCTCTGGACAGGTTCCCAGTGGACAGCTTGAGCTGGTCAGCCCCAGTAATTCATGTATCTACAACATTGCAAATGCACAAACCAGATACGTGGTGAAGGGCCTCAGATTTTAATTATATCTTACTTCACAGCTGCAGCCAATTCCTGCTATGGCTTAATAACCAGGTTGCACTAGCCGTGAACACTTTCTCTTGCTAATTTTGCTCAGGCAAATTGAGTTTTTACTACCATTTTGGCAGAAATGCTTATCATAACAATTATGATAAAGTGATGAGGATTGGAAACATCTGCAGGAACGAACTTGGAGACAGAAGGATGTCAGTTAGTCTGGTTGCGCAGGAAAACATGCTGTAGGAAGTCTGGGTGATGGCTCTATTACCTGCTAAGGACAATGGGATGAGCAGAGGACCTGGGCCTCCCCCGACTCTCTTGTTGGCATGCCCAAGGGAGCCCAGGAGCCCTTGGTGGCATGGACTGACTTCACTGTAGTACCCACTCTCTGCTATGACTTTGGGGGAGATTTGAAATGAGGCAAAAGATGCTCTGGGGCTAGTCAGAGAATATAACAATAATCTTAGAGAACACCTCATTGTACAGATGAGAAAACTGAGGCTGGGGGAGGAAGGAGTGATACCACCAAGGTCATACAGCTGATGGGTGATATCTGAGCCTTCTGCTCCTGTGCCAGAGCTCTCTCCTCTGTCTAAAATAAATCCAATTGAGGCTTAAGTCAAGCAATGAATGGAATCTCCTGGGATCCCTGGGAGGAGATCCCAGATGGTCTCTCTGCTAAAGCAGAGACATGATAAATAGGAAAATCACAAGAAATGTGTCACCATCTGTGGCATTGTTTGGGAATCGGGAAATAGTCTGTACCAGGAATGCTGGTCATTGGTGCCAAAGAGAAAGAGGGGTGACAGAAGAATCTGGAGTGCCAACAACCTGGAGCAATAAGAAAGAAGAAAATAACTGCAAAGATGTTGAGTTCCAGTATATTGTTGGCTGATGTCGCCTACACCAGCTTCTTCCGAGGGAAACTCCTGGTCATCAGTGTCTTTTACTGTTGATGCCGTTCAAGAAGGTCTTGAGAAGGGGACCCTCTTTTCTCCTCTGGTAAGGCATCTGAAGGAAGGCTCTCACTAGATTTTATTTAGTGCTAGAATAGATGTGTTTAAGACTAAGCTACCAGATTTCCTCTATTTTTTAGACACCATCAATTAGTAAAATGCATCATCAATTTAATAAGAGTTTTTGGGGGAAGAAAACAAGCACTATACTAAATGTGCACATCCATCATGAGACACAGCCCTATTTTAGAAATGTGAAAATTAAAAAAAAAAAATTCACCAATAGAATCAAGGATATATATAATATAGAGAAGTCACATGTCTCAGTATGAAATAGATTACCAGAGAGGAGGGGAGAGAAGAAAATACTGGTTCCAGGAAGACTATGGCAATAGTCTAGGTAAAATAAGTTACTTTTTGGAATGTGTTTGATAGTAGCAAAAGTGAAATAAAAGGAAGAAATGGGTGTATTACTTTTCTATTGCTGCATAATAAATGACCACAATATTAGCAGCTTCATGCAACATCTATTTAATGTCCCACAGGTCTGTAAGTCAGAAGTCTGGACAGAACTTAGCTGGGTTCTCTGCTCAGCATATCACAAGGCTGAAATCAAGGTGTCAGTTAGGCTTGGGGTCTCATCTGAGGCACAAATTCTTCTTCTGTGCTCACTTGGTTGTTGGCAGAATTCATTTCCTTGCAGTAGGACTCATGGTGGCCAATAGGAGAGATCCCCTTCCAGGCTGTTATGGCGGAGTGGTAAATAAGCTAACATAATAACAGTAATGACTATCTCATTTCATTAGTCTATCCTCACACTGCTAATAAAGACATACCTGAGACTGGGTAATTTATAAAGGAAAGAGGTTTAATGTACTCACAGCTCCACATAGCTGGGGAGGCCTCACAATCATGGCAGAAGACGAAGAGAGAGCAAAGGGACATCTTAGGTGGCAGCAGGCAAGACAAATTTGTGTAGGGGAACTCCCCTTTATAAAACCATCAGATATCATGAGACTTATTCACTGTCATGAGAACAGCATGGGAAAGACCCGCCCGCATGATTCAATTACTTCCCACTGGGTGTCTCCCACAATATGTGGGAATTATGGGAGCTACAATTCAAGGTGAGATTTGGGTGGGGACACAGCCAAACGACATCACTCATCATAGGCACATTTCCCACCCACTCTCAAGGGGAGAAGATCACACAGAGCTTGTGCACCAAGGGGAAAGAATCTTAGCGGCCACCTCATAAATCTACCTCCTACAATGGGAGAATTGTAAGGAATGTAGAATCAACAGGACTTTGCTGGTTGAATGGGGGATATGCAACACTGCCCCTCACAATACCTTGTAGTCATATAGGGCCATAAAACCTTAAAGCAGTTTTACATATGTGAGCTCTTTTGACCCTTGATGCAATCTTATGAAATAGATAGATCAGATACCATTATTTCCACTTCACAGATGAGAAAGTGGAGGTCCAGACAAGTGAAATGATTAACATAAGGTCACTTGATAAATTACTGGCCCAGCCACAGCCAGGATTATAAAGTGGTTTCCCACTTATGAGCCATTTCTCACACACAATCATCACTACTGATTTTACTAAAACTTACCCCTATCTGTGGAGCCTTTCATTGCCTCTGGGCAATTTCAGTCCAAGCTGGACCACACAGACCTTATCCTCTGGACCACATAAAAGGGATCTGGACTCCACCAAAGCAGTTTGGTTCTGTTTTCCTTGCTTCTATCATGCTAGACATGCCGGAAAACACAACTCCCTTCCTCCATAAGAAGTCCCTGGCTTGATGACACATCACAAAAGCTTATCTCCAAATGCCAGCTTCAGACAGCAAGTGCAAAGAGCGTGACTTGACTCAGAAGATGTTATGACAATAATGATGAGGCCAGAACCCCAGTCTACTCTTGACGGAGTTACTGTTACCATTTCCAACAGAGAGTCTCATTCGGGGGCTTAGTGGATGATTTATAGACCACTAACTTCCTTAAGCTCCCTAGGACGTACAGAGTGGTCTAGCTGCCAGGAATCAACTGAGAGACAAAAAAAAATCACTCCTGCTTGATCTCTGAACATACACACATGCATGTGCATCCACACACACACACACACACACACACACACACACAAACATACACACAGAGGCAGGCACACGTGGGTCCCTGTCAAGGCTCCTGCGTATTGGCTGGCATGTTGAGTAATGAGTTACTAGAGGGAGTCTGCCCTCCCTCCTTTATGTGAGCATCTGAGCTCCAACCTGCAACAACTCTATCAACTCATTAAATGCGCATCACTTAAATGAACCTGCCATGAAGGGGATTCAAACTATGTTAACAACAAAATCTCTGTGGTGATCAAAACACATCATTAAAAACATGAAGGATGAGAGGATGAAGATGAAAGGGTTCTCCTCTCCTCCTCTTACGCTTCCTGCTGCTCTGGATTGAGAAATGAGTTAAGGCATTTCATCTTCCTGCGTCTAAGTCTGCTCACCTTCAAAGCAGGAGAATGTAATGGGTGGGAAAGGTGGAGACAGCTTAGTGAGATGAGTCTTGGAGACAGACTGACTTATTGTACTTTTATTTGTATCAAGACTTTGAGAAGATTATTCCATCTTTTCGAACCTCAGTTTCCTAAACCGTGATTATGTTAAAAATGCTTAAGCCATAAGCCTGTGGGAATTAGTTGTGTGTGTGTGTGTGTGTGTATATATATGCACATACATATATATACACACACATACGTATACACACACACACACACACGTATATATATATATATAGTTGGCTTCTGAACAACATGGGTTTGAACTGCATGGATCCACTTACAAGCAGATTTATTTCAACCAAACAGAAATCAAAAATACAGTATTCCTGGGATGTGAAACCCATATATAGGGAGGGATGACTTTTAGTATCTCCAGATTCCTCAGGGCAACTGCAGGGCTTGAGTATGCTCAGATTTTGGTATATTAGAGGCTCCTAGAACGAATCCCCCATGGATACCAAGAGGCATCTATGTCAGGCAACTCGCATGGGGTGTGGCCTATGACAGGCATTCAATAGATGATCATTTCTCCTGCCCACCCTCAGGGCCCTCTCCAGCTCCCTACTTCTCTGGCTTTATTTTAAGATTCTATAATCATCTGTCTCTCTTCCAATGGTTAAATCATTTGAAGTATTCAGGCATTATGAAAAACTTTGCCTTAGCATTTCTGACAGCCTGTGTGTGGCACCCTGACATTCTCCCACTTCCACACCCTCTCGGAATCACCTTTAAAAAATGATATAAAAGCATATCTACTTATTTGTCAGCATCCAGATCAGAAGCTCCTTCCGGGAAGTCTCTTTACTTTGTAGTGAAGACCTCAGACATCCCCCCACCGGTGTCAGGCTTCAGACAGGAGGAAACAGCATACTGTCATGCAAAATCAAGGCAACAGCTTCCATGACAATGCACATTTAGCAGCTTAAATACACAAGTCTAACCTGGCTATTGAGGATGATTTGCTTTGAAGAATGTCAGCAAGCCAGAGTCAAACCTTACTTCCCAGCCAGAGGGGCAGGAATGGAGAAAAATAAGTGCTTATGTGGCCAAGGGGGCCGAAAAGGAATTAGATTAGATAAAACAGCACGAGGAAGCCTTGTGAGCTATTTACTATGTGCCCTGCAGAAGAATTAAGGTATCACAGGCTCCCGGATGCTATCAGAGCATCAGAGAGATCTTTTCAGAAGTTTGATAGCCCTGACTCCTGGCATGCTCCCCACCCCCAAACTCCTCCTGACACTAACATTATAAAGGAACATTATTATAACAGGACTTCTTTTTTCACTTTATCTTCAGTTTAAAGCATCATGTGCTGCTGGAAAGGGGTCTCGATCCAGACCCCAAGAAAGGGTTCTTGGGTCTCACGCAAGAAAGAATTCAAGGCAAATCCATAAAGTGAAAGCAAGTTTATTAAGTAAATGAACAGAAGAATGGCTACTCCACAGGCAAAGCAGTCCGAGGGCTGCTGGTAACTTATTTTTAAGGTTATTTCTTGTTTACATGCTAAACAAGGGGTGGATTATTCATGAGTTTTCTGGAAAAGGGGTGGGCAATTCCCGGAACTGAGGGTTCCTCCCCTTTTTAGACCATATAGGGTAACTTCCTGTTGTTGGCATCGCATTTGTAAACTGTCATGGCACTGGTGGGAGTGTCTTTTAGCATCCTAATGTATTATAATTAGTGTATAATGAGCAGTGAGGACGACTAGAGTTAACTTTTGTCAACATCTTGGTTTTGGTGGCTTTTGGCCGGCTTCTTTACCGCAACCTGTTTTATCAGCAAGGATGTATCTCATCCTGTGACTTAGAATGCCTAACCTCCTGGGAATGCAACTCAGTAGGTATCGGCCTTATTTTCCCAGCCCCTATTCAAGATGGAGTTGCTCTGGTTCAAAAGCCTGTGACACATGCACAATTTGTTTATCTACAACAACTAACAAACTTAAGAATGCAGTTTACAGCCTGCACCTGCAGTCCCAGCTACTTTGGAAGCTGAGGCAGGAGGATGGGTTGAGCCCAGGAATTCAAGCTATGGCAACACAGCCAGACTCTGTCTCTAAAAAATGTTTTTAAAAGAATGCTAATTACTAGAACCAAATACTGCGGGAACTTGCGAACCAAATTCCTAAGGCTTAAAATGTATCCATATTCAGCTTTCTCATTATATAAAACCTTCCTATATGAGAATTAATCTTTGGGTTTAAAGAGTAACATATGTAAGTTAGTACCAGTCATTCCCATTTTACCATGATTTCGTTATCTGGCCATGCCCCACAGTGTTAAGTGGCCAAGAGTAGCATCCATCTTTCCAGGATAGGACAAAGTATGTTCTATTATAAAACGGTCAGTCCTAAAAATTGGTCTGGAGCAAGAGGACAGCTATCTGCAAAAAACAGGCCAGCAATAACAATTGCCGAGTAGGTGGGAGTGGTGCTGATGATAGGGTAGTGGCTGAAAATCTAGTGCCCAGTTCTAGAGAGAAAAATGGCACTATGCCCCTAGACATGGGGACAGATGAGAAATGCTGAAAGGGAAAGTCCTCGTGCCCCCCAAACTAAAGGGTTTGTTTAGGTGGCACTAGGACTTCTTATGTATGCCTTAGAATAGCTCTGGCCTGGTTCTGTCCAAGGTTCTGAATTTTTGTTGGTTTTGTCTTGAATATTTACCCCTTTTTTTCCCTTCCTTTATTCTACCTGTTGCACAGTAACTATTAACATTTAATGGCCACTCACAAAGTGAATGATGTTGTATACTGCATTGTTAACTCACTGACCAATGAATAAACATGTTGAATCCAAAAACACCTAGTCTCTGTGCTTTGTGGACTCACATATCATCATTGTCAGGGCCTGTATTCAGCAACTCAGCATTTCCTTCATGCTTTTATCCACTCTCCCATTCATGCATTTAATATTTATTAACCACCTAGTATTAAGCAAAATGTATGGAAAGAAGTGGATGGGGCTGACCTCTGCCTCTGTAACAAGAGTCATGGAAGAGCAGAAAAATCATTTCACTGCTTGCTTTTATTCCATTCACAGTTAAGAGGGATGTGGAAAGGAGCCAAGGGCCCAAACTGCACTGGAATAAAAATTCTACATAAATTTAGGGAATTAAAAAATCACGTTAGGCAGATTTAAAATTTAACTACATAAAAATCAAAAACATCTGCATGGGAAAAAGCACAATATACAAAGTTAAAAGACAAATGACAAGCTGGAAAATCGAAGTACTTTACATAATTTTAAGAGATATATAAACATTACAACAGAAAAGAGGATACTGTTCACAGGAGACATCTCCCAGCAAAGAAAATGTAATCGCTCTTAAACATGAGAATAATGGCTCAACCTCCTTCATCATATGAGAACTATTTATTTAAGTTACACTGGGAAACAATTTTCACCTATAAGATTGGTAAAAATCCAGAAGTTTCATTAAAAATTGGGATAGAAAAGCTATAGGGAAACAACTACTCTCAGACAATGCTAGGAAGAGAGAAAATCACAACCTCTACAGAAGGCGATTTGGCGATATCTATCAACTTTACAAATGCACAAAATCTTTGACCCAGAAAACCAGTTCTAGTCTCACACACATGCAAAATGATATATGTGTATGATTATTCACTGCAGCATTTTTTACTGGTGGAAAAAGATTGGGAATAAAATAAATATCCATCAATGGGGATTTAATAAATTATAATACATAAACTAGAATGTCATGCTGGCATAAAAATAAAAGGAAGCTCTTGGTATAATGAGAAGCCAATAATCTCAAAAGTATATTTTAGGTGAAATTACAGTGTAAATGATAGTCCAGAAAGAATATATGAGGGGCAAAAAAATTATATATATATTATATATATTATATTATATATATTATATGTTATATATATTATATATTATATATTATATTATATATATTATATATTATATATAGTATATATTATACATTATATTATATATAGTATATATTATACATTATATTATATATGTTATATATATTATATATTATATATTGTATATTATATATTATATAGTATATATTATATAGTATATATTATATATATATTGTATATTATATATATATTGTATATTATATATTATATAGTATATATAGTATATTATATAGTATATATTATATATATTATATATTATATATTTATTATATATTATATATAGTATAGTATATATTATATAGTATATATTATATATATTATATATTATATAGTATATATTGTATATTATATAGTATATAGTATATAGTATATATTATATATTATATATTATATGTTATATAATATATTATATAGTATATTATATATATATTATATATATTATATACTATATATTATATATATATAGTATATATATATTATATACTATATATATATTATATAATATATTATATATACTATATAATATATTATATTATATATTATATATTGTGTAATATATAATATATATTATATCTTACATATATTATATATAATATCTTACATATATTATATATTATATATTACATATATTATATATAATATATTACATATATTATATATTACATATATTATATATTATATATGTATGCTAACAAACACACATTATAAGAAATTTGGCCAGGTACACTGGCTCATGCCTCTAATCCCAATACTTTGAGAGGCTGAGGCAGGATGATTGCTTGAGTCCAGGAGTTCAAGACCAGCCTGGGCAACACAGCAAGACCCCATCTCTACAAAAAAGTAAAAATAAATTACCTGGGCATGGTGGCAGGCACCTGTAGTCCTCAGGAGGCTGAGGGAGAAGGATCACTTAAACCCAGGAGTTAAAGGCTGAGGTGATCTATGGTCACACCACTGTATTCCAGCCTGGTCAACAAAGCAAGACCCTGTCTCTTTAAAAAAAGAAAAAAAAAAGAAAGAAAAAGAAAAGAAAGTCTGCAAGAATAATGAACTGATAACACTAATTGTCTCTGGGGAGGAGAAATGGGGGAATAGAATTTGGGAATGTATTGAAAAAAAAACTTCCCCTGCAAACCTTTAAGATTTTTTATATTTGAGTCATGTGACTGTATTGGCTACTTAAAATTGTTTTTTGTTTTGGCCGGGCACGGTGGCTCACACGTGTAATCTCAGCACTTTGGGAGGCTGAAGCAGGTGGATCACTCGAGGTCAGGAGTTCGAGACCAGCGTGGCCAACCTGGTGAAACCCTGTCCCTACTAAAAATACAAAAATTAGCTGGGCATGGTGGCGGGTGCCTGTAATCCTACCTACTCAGGAGGCTGAGGCAAGAGAATCACTTGAACCCAGGAGACAGAGGTTGCAGTGAGCCAAGATCGCACCACTGCACTCCAGCCTGGGCGACAGAGAAAGACTCTGTCCCAAAAAAAAAAAAAAAAAAAAAAAACAAAAATAAATAAATAAATAAAAAAAATTGTTTTTCAATCAAAGTCCTCTTAGGGAGAAAGGTGATTGTCATTCTGTATGACTTCAGTATTGATCCCTCCCTCACCTAACTCCTTGCTTTTAACTTTTACACTACCCAGGCATTGCTTTAATGATAAGCTTTTCTACTAAGTGCTATACCATCCTACTTAAACTTATGTAATATCAATAAATAGTGCTGTGAAATTTAGTGCTTTTATGCTCCGGGGTTTTTTTTTTTTTTTTTTTTTTTTTTTTTTTTTTTTTACGTGAGTACATCTTCTCTTCCCTTAGTTTTTTCAGCTTTTTTCCTGAGTAGGATATGTAGAAAGGAAAGAAATGTTATAACAGTCCTTGAGTACTTTCCTTGTGCTCAAGGCTGTTATGATGTCTAACATAATCTCATGACAATCCTAGACCTGAACAGTGTTTCTCTCCTTATTATACAGATGATAAATTTGGGGCACATAGAGGATGAATGACTTGCCAATGATAACTCAGCTAGCAAATGGTGCAGCTCAGATCCCAGTGCTTTTCTCTGGGTCTGCTCAAGATTGCCTCCTTGTGCAAAAGAAAGGTAATGGTCTTTGTGGTTTTCATCAATCTTGGATGATTTTCTTTCTTTTTTTTTTCTTTTGAGACGGAGTTTCGCTCTTGTTGCCCAGGCTGGGGTACAATGGCACGATCTCGGCTCACTGCAACCTTCACCTCCCAGGTTCAAGCAATTCTCCTGCCTCAGCCTCCCAAGTAGCTGGGATTCCAGGTGTGTGCCACCACACCTGGCTAAGTTTGTATTGTTACTAGAGACGGGGTTTCTCCATGTTGGTCAGTCTGTCTTGAACTCCCAACCTCAGGTGATCCACCCACCTCAGCGTCCCAAAGTGCTGGGATTACAGGCTTGAGCCACCACACCCGGCCAGATGATTTTCTTAAACTATCATTTTTTCCATTCTCACATTAATAAAGTTAGGCTTAATATCTGTTTTGCAAGGCTGGGTTGAAAATTAACATACATGTACATATCACCACATCTGGCTGGTAATAGATGTTCCATAGTGTTCATTTCCCCTACGTTTGTATTCCAGTTCCTAGAAAATTATGATACATTTACTCGTGTTCAAAAGTACAAACTTTTTTTTCCAAATCAATGAAGTTGGAATAATGGTTTTATGGTAAGAGAAGCATCCCAGAGGAGGCATGCCAAAAGTCTCCTGGGATAGAAGGGGCAAGTTTGTTGTTATGTTCTGAGATGTCCTATTCCCTTCCTGGTTTATGAGCTGAAAGGAACCCTTAAAGGGATCTGTCAAGACTGACTTTATAGTTTCATCCAGTCTGGGCATGAGCCAGTTTATTAAGCCAAAGGCAGGGGCTCATTGTGCCAGCTAAAATTGTACCACTTCCATCCAGAAATGGGCAGAAGTCAAGTAATGTTTAAAATATGAATCCACTCCAGCCCACCGCTTCAGCAAAGACGGTAAACAGGTGACAGAGGACATCTACAGAGCACCTATAATTTCACATAATTGGCCAAAGGACTTCATTGTTCTGTGATGCAAATGAAAGATCATTAATGGGCAGTAAAAGGGGGCGGAGGGTGTGGAGAACGCATAACAGAGACAGCTTAATGCTTTCAAGGGAGATTGGCACATCAGAGCTCTGTTGTAATATGCAGTTGGCTAATTTCACTGAGGTATTGAACACATGATGGATGGGGATAGTTAACAGGCACCATGACAGCAATAATGAAGATACTCCCTTCCAGCAGAAGACCTCTGCTCCCACTTCCCATTTAAATGACTTCTCATACCACTGAATACCTGCTTGTCAGGAGTACCTGTTACCTATTCCCTGATGGTTCAGGATGAGATGCTCTCTCTCCAGAGGACCATCCGGCTATCCACTATCAACCTCCCTGTAGCCCCTGCCTTTCTCCTCTATTAACGTGATTTACCTAGGAAAGTGCAAAGCCAGGAAATTGAGCTACAAGGAAAATTGAACTTAAGAGCAGCACCGCAATTTCTATCCAGTTTGATGTTTTTCATTGCTTCTAAGTGGCTGGCGGTCTTCAGTATTTTCAGGGCACCACAATGTCAGGACAGACAGCCTTTTTATTTAATGGACTATTGTTATGGTGCTGCGTTTATGCCTTAGGAAGCTCAGATGAGGTGTATGAGGACTGTGTAAGGTTGCCCAGAGACAATGACTATGGCAAATAAGAGAATGGGGCAATGCCATGTTCCTGAGTTGGAGGGAATGGCTGACAGTTGTGCTGGGATTTGCAGCATTCAGAGACTGATTAGTGGGGAGGTGAATGGCTTTTCTAATGACTAGGAATGCAAGGAAATGCAAGCCAACAAGACTTATGAAATTTACACATATCATGACCTTGGAATCAGTTTAAGCATCATTCAATTTGAGACCAGCTCTATTAGGCTGAGATAATAGTACCTAACTTCACTATCATTTTAATTTTGTCATCTCTCTCAAATATACAAGAATAGTCCCATGATCTGACCCAGATAGTAACTATGCAAAAACATAATAATGATACTTGCATATTGCCAAAGCACAAAATTATACTGAATAAAGTATCCATATATTATAAAAAGAAAGATGTAAATGGCAGTTTGCTATATGACAAGGAGATTAAAGGTACATGTTAGACCTTTTCAAGCAAAAGTAACTAAAAAGGGCTTGAAAATGAAAGGAAAGAAATGACCAAATGGATTAATAATGACACAGCCTTCCATTTGGGAAACACGAAGTTCAATGTTGACTTAAATATCAACGAAAATAGGTTGGGAGGTCAACATTCACATTTCAAAAGACGCGATACAGCAAAAATCACTAAAAATCGGGGGGTGTGGGGGAAGGAAAGGAATTCTAACTTCTGTTCTCTGCTTCTCTGCCTGATCAAAGTTAAGCACATCCACAAAACCTCCACTGTTTATGGAATGCCTGTGATGAGCCAGGGTTTTAGTCATTATTTGGAAACTCCAAGAGAACCTTGAGAGGCAGATATTAGCAGCGCCACTTGACAGTAGAAAGTCCCACTTTCAAAATGCAAAGGGACTAACCTAAGGTCACTCAACTAGTGGATGTTTGAGCCTAAATTTAAGTCCAGCTCTGTCTGTCTCCAAACCGCATCACATTGCTGTTACCAGAAAGGTGTCCCAATCCAGACCCCAAGAGAGGGTTCTTGGATCTCATGTAAGAAAGAATTTCGGGCAAGTCCAAAGAGTACCATGAAAGCAAGTTTATTAAGAAAGTCAAGGAATTAAAGAATGGCTACTGCATACACAGAGCAGCAGCAGGGGCTGCTTGACTGGGTCTATGTGTAGTTATTTCTTGATTATGTGCCAAAACAAGGGGTAGATTATTCATGAGTTTTCCGGGAAAAGGGCAGGGAATTTCTGGAACTGAGGGTTCCTCTCCCTTTTAGGGAGGGTAACTTCCAGATGTTGCCATGGCATTTATGGCACTGGCAGGAGTATCTTTAGAACGCTAATGCATTATAATTAGCGTATAACGAGCAGTGAGGATGACCAGCAGTTACTTTCCTCACCATCTTGATTTTGGTGGGTTTTGACCAGCTTCTTTATCGCATCCTGTTTTATCACTGGTGTCTTTGTGACCTGTATCTTGTGCCAACCTCCTATCTCATCCTGTAACTAAGAATGTCTAACCTTCTGGCAATGCAGCCCAGCAGGTCTCAGCCTCATTTTACCCAGCCCTTATTTAAGATGGAGTCACTCTGGTTCAAACGCTTCTGGCACTGCTATACACAAAGAAGCACCAACATGCCCAGAGGACTCTCTCCAAGGTGGCTGATAACTCCAGCTACCTAACCTTCAAGGACTCTTGATAGAACAGCTCACAATCCAGGTAAAAACATCACTGCAAGTTTGCCTTCTCACTTGGGTAAGTTTCTGCTGCTATCACTCATGTGATCTAGGGTTTCTCTTCTAAAACCATCTTCTTTACTAAACCTCTCTCTCTCAGTCCTCTCTACGATTCCCCTTACAGTTCATTACAGATAAAAGTTTACATTTTCTCATAGTATGAGAATATGGCGGTAGATTCAGTTTAAAAAATAATAATAATAACTGGGATAAAGATGGGGAGGGGATGGCAGTTTTCACTGTCACTTCATCAGTAGAATCAACTGGCCTCATACTCACGCAGTACCCCATTTGTGCATTTACTCCCTCACTTTAAGCATTCTTGTAGGGCACCATAGGCAGACCACTGCGCAAGAGCTAGGGACAAACCCAAAGCCAGCTAAAATTGCACCACTTCCATCCAGAAATGGGCAGAAGTAATGTTTAAAATATAAATCCTTTTACATTTATATTTATAAATGTATAAAATATAAAGAGTCCTTTCTTGGGAAATGCTTGCTATCTGGAATCAGACTTCCTTTATTTCCTCAGGAACCAGGTCCTTATCAAAACCACCCTCTTTGGAGCTGCTTCAGAATCAGCAGCCTCCTTGGCTCTTTCTCTAGAATGTCTTCTCTCCTGGTCCTCTCTGCTCTTGGTTTCCTGCTTCGGATAAATGAGATATGCTGTAGATAAATAGTTAAGAGTACAGTTGATCCTTGAACAATGCAGGGGAACCCTGTCTAGTCAAAAATCCAACTATAACTTTTGACTCCCTAAAAAGGTAACTACTAATAGCCTACTGTTGACCAGAAGCCTTATCGATAACACAAATAGTTGATGAACACATATTATATACTTTATTCTTACAATAAAGTAAGCTAGAGAAAAGAAAATATTATTAAGAAAACCATAAGGAAGAGAAAATGTATTTACTATTTATTAAGTGGAAGTGGGTTATCATAAAGGTGCTCCATTCTTATCATCTTCATGTTGAGTAGGCTGAGGAGGAAGATGAGGGGCTGATCTTGCTGTCTCAGGGGTAGAAGAGGTGAAGGAGGTGGAAGGGGAGGCTGGAGAGACAGCAATGCTCATGTAACTTTTATTGAAAAAAAATCTGCATATAAGTGGAGCCATGCAATTCAAATTTACATTGTTCAAGGGCCAACTGCGTTATTTGGCATTTGTATATGCCAAACAACCTGAGGCAAATTATTTAAATCCCTTTAAATCTAAGGCTTCTCTTCTTTAAAATAAAATAAGGCCAGGCTCAGTGGCTCAAACCTGTAAACCCAGCACTTTGGGAGGGTGAGGCAGGCAAATCACTTGAGGTCAGAAGTTTGAGACCAGCCTTCTCTACTAAAAAATACAAAACCTATCTCTACTAAAAAATACAAAAATTAGCTGGGCATGGTGGCACACACCTGTAATCCCAGCTACCCAGGAGGCTGAGGCAGAAGAATCACTTGAACCCAGGAAGCAGAGGTTGCGGCGAGCTGAGATCACGCCACTGCACTCCAGCCTGGGCGAAAGAGCAAGACTCTGTCTCAAAAATAAAATAAAATAAAATAAAATAAAATAAAATAAAATAAAATAAAATAAAATAAAATACGGAGGACAACTCACCTCATGAGCTTCTTGTGAAAATAAAATAACATCACAAATTTAAAATACATAGTGCCTGGCACATAGAAACACTCAATAAAGGGCATCTGGCACTATTAATATTATGATCATTATCATACAAAGGTTCTTCTGCCTCTTCCTCCCCAGGTTGCTTCTCTCTCTTGCGTCTCTAAAACCTCAGCGTCTTCACAACTCCACTTGCCTTATCCCTCCCCGACCAGACCCCTGCTCCAGGACTGCTAATCTGTCCTGCTGGGATGCACGTTCTCCCACCCCACCTCTCCTAGGTACTTATCTCTTAGATTATTGTCTCCTCTCAATACACACATTAGTATAAACGTTATTATCTCTAAAATTCAATTAATTTCAATTACTGTGGCCCCAGACTGATTGCAAGTGCTCTCAATTCATGCAAGATTCTGAGGAAGCAAGGTTGCCTCTGACTTCTGCAATTGTACGTGGCCATGAGGACTGGGGAAAACAGACAGATGGCAGGACGCAGACCACCTCAAACCCCTTCACCTACTCACCCCAAAACTCTCACTCTTTTCTAGAGTGAAGATGTTATCAACTTGCCTGGCTTTCACTGGTCTTCTCCACTTAGACATGATTATAGGTTGCAAACAAATCGTAAAACGGGCCAAAAATGGGCAGCAAGAGACACTAAGTGATGATCTAAAAGCATGTACAAACTAAAGAAGAACTAATCAAGAGCTGACTATGCATGCACATGTCTTTAAGACGCTGAAATTGCTATTTTAGCCAACATATGCGCTATCGAAATGATCAAGTCTATTTGATTATTTGATATTGCACATGTTGGCTAAAATAGCAATTTTGATAATTTGATACTGCGTTTGTTGGCTAAAATAGCAATTTCAGCCACGGTCTATTATTTTAATCTGTTCATCATTCGTCCATTGAACAAATGTTCACTGGGCACCTGTTTTGTGACAGACACTCTGGTTCTGGGGCTACAGCAGAGACTAGGACAGAAAAGATCTCTATCAAATTTATATTTAGGGGAGGAGATGGACAGTAGACAAGATATTTTGGTCATGTGATTTTGAATCAGCAATACCTCTGCTTTCTTTTATCAATATTAATAATGATGGTAGAATAAGAACTTTTGGCTCCTATTAATGATTTGATATCTCAAGGCTGTGTCCAGCCCTTGAAGCCATGGAGAGCTTTGGCTAACCCACTTTTTGTATAGATAATATGCATTGGAACTCAATGACTGGCTCTGTCCCCCTGGATATTATTGTCATGAGTCATTGCTTGGAAACCCCAACATAATCTTAAGAGGTGGTAAGCCTCTACAGATGACACCTCTGCTGCCTTCAAGCAGCTGTCTCCCACAGAGCCCAGCATCATACTGGGGCCATATTTCCTGATTTCTTCGTGCTCCCTTCCTTAGTCTGGGCTGCCATAACAAATTACTCCAGACTGGATGGCTTAACACAAACATATTTCTCATGGCTGTAGAGGCTGGGAAATCCAGGATCAAGGTGCCAGCAAGTTGATGTCTGGTGAGGACCTGCTTGCTAGCTTGCAGATGTCTGTCTTCTTGGAGAAGAAGAGAAGAAGAGAGAAAGAGAGAGGAAGCAAACTGATAGAGTTTGAATATATGTCCCCGCCAAACCTCATGTTGAACTGTAATTCTCCATCTTGGAGGTGGGGCCTGGGTGGGAGGTGTCTGGGTCACAAGGGCGGATCCCTCGTGGTTTAGTGCTATCCTGGCAATAGTGAGTGCATTCTCTTGAGATCTGGTTATTTAAGAATGTGGCACTACCCACCCTCATTATCTCTTGCTCCTGCCCTCCCGTGTGACGTGCCTGACTCCCTATTTGCCTCCCACCATGAGTAAAAGCTCCCTGAGGCCTCCCCAGAAGCTGAGCAGATGCCAGTGCCATGCCTGCAGAACCGTGAGCCAATTAAATGCCTTTTCTTCATAAATTACTCAGTCTCAGGTATTTCTCTGTAGCAACGCAAGAACAGCCTAACACAAAAACAAGCTCTCTCCTGTCTCTTCTTACAAGGGTACTGATTCCATTACGAGGGTTCCACCCTTATGACCTAATCACTTTCCAAAGGCCCCACCTCCTAACACCATCACACCGGGGGTTCTGAGTTCAGCTTATGAATTTGGGGAAACAAAATCATGCAGTCCATAACTCCCAATTTTCCTTCAGGATCCATTTTTCCTGTAATTTTTCAGGAAGCATGTCAATGACAGTTCAATTAAGTACTTTACATGCCAGTTCTAGTGCTAGGAACACTAAATACATTTAAGCTTCAAATTAGACATGATTATCCTCATTTTACAGAAAAAGAAAGGAAGACCAGAGGGATTGCAGTATTTCCCTCAATCACTCAGTTTTGGGGCAACAAAGCTTGTACTAAGGCCCCCTCCAGAGTCTTCTCTATGTACAACATGGAGACATCCCAGGCAGGTGGTACACAGAAGGCACACAGGCCAGGAATAAGGCCCAGGCCAGTGTCCTGGGCACCTGCTGCCACCGACCAGCCACAGGGTCTCACGGACCACCTCGGAGTTTGAGTTTCTAATATGTAAAATCAGTGTTGGGCCTTCGCTCTCCATGTGTTATAAGTTTCTTAAGGAGGTTAAGGCCTATCTGAAAGAGCCAAAGGGGTTAAAACCTGCAAAATGTGGGGTGGGAGCACGTGCATCCCAGCAGGAGAGATTAGCAGTCCTGGAGGGGGGGGATCTGGTGGGGGAGGGATAAGGCAAGTGGAGTTGTGAAGATGCTGAGGTTTTAGACTTAAGACCTTAAACAAGTCAGATGGAGATGGGGTCTCCATTTGTGTCAAGTAGGGCAACCAGGGCTGGTGACATAGGACACAGTGCAGGCAGCTTCACTCTGGGGACTTTGGCTTCATGGCAGTGGCTCAGGAAAGACTCTGGACCCCAGGAGGTCACAGCCCCAGGAGCTGGCTGGGATCGTGGAGACTGTCTGATGTGAGCACACAATGGAGGAATGTGCCCCCCGGAGCCCACATGCACTCATTTCTCTTCTCTACAAGTCTTTGGCTGCTGGAAGAACCCAGGTGCAGAGAGTTGGCCAACCCTTAACCTCTTGGGCTCAAGCAATCCTCCCACCTCAGCCTTGTGAATAGCTGGGAATACAGGCACGTGTCACCACACCAAGCTATTTTTTTAACATTTTTTTATAGAGATGAGGGGTCTCACTATGTTGTCCAGGCTTGTCTCGAACTCCTGGGCTCAAGTGCTCTTTATACCTTAGCCTCCCAAAGTGCTGATTAGAGGCATAAGCCACCATGCTGGCCAACTCAGCTTTTCAAGTAGTTCCTCTTATCTTTTGTTATGTAACTGTTCACACCCTGTTCCTTTAGGGTTTTGTTAAAGGCCAACCATCTAACCCCAAGTCAGTGGTTCTCTCTGAACATTTAATCCCTAAAAACAACAACATCACATTCAACTCACAAAAGGCCCAACTGCATTATGGTAACCAGGGTTGAAATTCACCTCAGCAGACTTCCAAAACTCACATGGCTGGGATCTAAGTAGGCAAATGCCTGTATTATATGTCTCTGTGATGGTAAATGGGGCTAAGTCACCAGAGTCCAGGAGCCTCACACTTCTGCCAGGAGCCATGGAGCGACATGGCTGCTCTCCTCTCACCCTTCCCTTCAGGGGCCCCAACAGGCTTCCCAGGCCTCAGCGGATAGACGTGAACTTTCCAGCCCCTGGGCTGAGGTGTCTCAAGGGACTTCTTGAATTACAGACCCAGACACCAAGAAGCCTCCCCTTCTCCATTTGGGTGTGCTGTGGCAAAAAGAGAACAATTCCCTCCTTTCCACCTCCAAGCTTGTTTTTAGCTCTCTCTCTCTCCTAGCACCTAACTCATCAGCATACAGAGTAGTTTTGATAGAACCCCTATAAGGCTTTCTCTCCAAAGAGGGATTTTAATACCCTTCTCAGTGACATTTTATATGATAACAGTATGTAAGTTTGACAGGAAGCTGTTTTCCAAGAGTTAAAGTCCAAACAGTCCCACAGATCAGACTGATAATGGCTTTCCTGATCATTATTAAATTCCCTGTGATTAGAAAATGGGCCGGTGCTATTGATTTAAGCTCTTTGAGTTAAGCTAAGCTTTAGAGGGCTTTCACAAGGCACAAAAAGGGCATTTGAGACTGTATTTTACCTTCCCAATTAAAGTAGTTTTCAGAGTACAAACAGCAGACAGCCAGACATTAGGCAGGCGTTCCAGAAAGAAAGGTGGAAGCATTTGTCCAGAACATGGAACCAGAAGACAAGCCCCATCACAGCCAAGACAAGCCCCATCACAGCCAATGCTGCAAAGTGCAGACAGAGGTTGAGGCTCAAATTCCCTAAGAAAAAAGGCTTCCTACTCCCAACAGTGCCTGGGTCAATGACACTTTGAATTCAACCTCAAAGCATCTATAGGTGATAAGAATTTCCAGTCCTAGAATTTTGAGTTTCAAGGATTTCAATTTCAATTTCAAGGATTTTTTCATGTGGTCTTTCAATCATGGTCAAGCTGTCTATACAAATTTTGCATCAAGAAATTATCGCCAAATCTCCAAAGGCTAAAGATTCCAGATTACTTTTTCAGCTTAATAAGTGAGAAAAGAATGAAGGCAACGGTGTTTCTATTACAATCTAAAGCTCTAGAGAAAACAAGGATCCCTAGAGGAAAATCTTGAGCAATTGCAGGGTCTTAAGTGCTTTGTGTCTTTCTGAAGGAAAGACACTTGAGGTTTTTAGGTGCGCCTGCAGTGCCTATTTGTTGCCCAGACAATAAGCAGTTTGAGCGACTGTGCTCAGGCCCCTGAGCATTTCTTCTCTTGACTGCCTGTCTTCTAATCCGCCCCAACCCCAGGAGAGCTTTTCTGAAACCAGTTGCTTCCTCTCCAGCTGGGAGGTCTTGGTGCCCAATGTCTTTGATTCTGCCCACAAGGGGCTCAGCATCCAAGCTAGGAGCCTTGTCATACGCATCCTGTCACTGTTTTTTTTCTTTTTTCAAACCATGATCAAAAGTAAGAAACTTATTTTTAAACCACAACCCAGCCTGTGACAGGCATTTAAGACAAAAACGAAAGTTTCAGCAAATAATACTCATGCGTACTAGGGGCATTTTGATGTCACAGCCCGCAAAATTGATGTTATGGTTCCAACAGGTGTCAGCCTGCAAAATGAAAACTGCTCGGTGTTATCAAGGATCACAAACATTCCTTTAAAATGTATTTATTTAGCAATTACTTAGAGAGCACAGGGCATGTGCCTGTGTTAACTGTTGTATGGGGACAGGGAAGAATATGGAAGTCTCTCCCCTCAAGCAGCTCACAATTGACATGGAGAGGCATAACTGATATGTAGGAAGATGTAAATAGCAATGCCTAAGAGATTGGTGTTCAGATGGAGCATGGGTCTGTGCAGTAGAGATACCAGGAGGGAGAGGTGGGGAGGGGCCTGCACACTGAGGAGGTTGGGAAAGCTGCAAGGCAACTGTTATCATCCTTGGGGGAGCTGTAACTCCTGCACCTTACTATCCCTTGCAGGTACATGTGCATCACAGGCTTTCAATAATTGTGCATTGAATGGCTCTCTGGTTAGATCATATTAAGGTTGTGAAGGAATCCAATCGCCAATGCTTGTTGAGCAAACTAAAGTATGCCTGGGTCTGTGCTGGGAGTTTAACCTAGTTATCATATTTACTCCTCGTGACAAGCTAGTGTAGTAGTTGCTATTGTCCCATATTTAATGGTGAGGAAATTGACCCTGAGACATGTTCAATGGCTTACCCAAGGTCGCGCAACTTAAGTAAGGTGAGGATCTAAGACTTAAACCTAGACTTTTAAATCCAAAGCACTTGCTCCTTCCACTCCCTTGAGGACCACATAGATTTAGATAGCCTTAGGGGAGACCAATGAGGACAGAGTCTAGGAAGGGAAATGGTGCAAGCATCGTGCATGGCATCTTTTGGGAACAAGTGAGGAAACCAGCAAGATAGAAGTAGAAGTTTCATTTTAGGAGAAAGGCGGGCAAGGGCCAGGTTAGATGATCATGAGGAGGGAGATAGAGCTAGAAAATAACTTTGTGTTGCTGAAAAATACCGATATCAATAACAACAACAATGATTTTTTTTATTTACAATATGCTATGCACCATTTCAAGGTTCATATCTAGTTAGTAATTTTATTCTACAGTTAAAGAAACTTGGCACAAAAATTGCTGAATAGCTTGTCTAAGATCAAACAGAATAATATTTGATAATCCTAGGCTAGTGTGAAATTGGTGTTGCCATTACCAATGTACTATTTTTGCTCCTCTACTTTTTTTTTTTTTGGAAACAGGGTCTCACGCCCAGCTGGAGTACAGCGGCATCACCACAGCTCACTGCATCCTCGATCTCCCAGGCTCAAGCAATCCTCCTGCCTCAGCCTCCCAAGTCGCTAGGACTACAGGTGCAAGACACCATGCCTGGCTAATTTTTTTTTTTTAATTTTAGTAGAGATGAGGTCTATGTTGCCAGGCTGTTCTCCACTTTTTCTAAATCCAGTTCTTGCTGCTCAGTGGGAACCATGAGCTCAGGGTACCTGCAGCAGGCACTCCAGTGCTCTCCTCAGATCCCCTCATCAGGGCTGATTTGTCAGTTCCCAGATGCTGAGAATACTGACTGCTGAGGATTCACAGCTGTGACCCTGACTGCGCGATGCCCTAAGCCACAAAGAATTCCCTTGCCCAAGGTTACACCCCTCCAAAGAGACAGCCTGTGGCCAATGATGGACTGATACGGGAATCCAAAAAGTTTCAACTTTGTCTCAACTGGGAACAACTCTGAAAGGTCGGAAAGGTCATCCTAGCTCAAAGCTCCCCACAGAACTGGCTGAATCCTCAGTGGAAACTATTTTTTAGGTCAGTAAATTTCAGCTACTGCTGCTTTCTTCTTTCTCCTCCTCCTTCTTCTCTTCCTCCTCATTCCCCAACCCTCCCTTCCTCATTTTTTTTGAACAGGTGTTTTTCCCAAGAGCACTCCCTAATAAACCCTGAGTGAAATTCTCCATTTCATAGTCTGTTTCCAGGGAACCCAGTCTGAGCCCATTAATACCAGGATTGGACCTAGAAAGTGGGCTATCAAATATGCTTTTGGAGGTGAATTATTCCCTGGCCAGTTGGCAATGAGGACTCCATCCTGGTGGTCAGTATAGTATGGGTAGTGTCTGGTGTGCTTTAGCAGTGCAACTGCAAAATGTCTACCTAGCTTAAAGGTATTAGAACACCAGTAAAAGGTGATGCACTGGCTGGAGTAATATCTCTGGCACCTTAGAGGCATGAGGGAAATAATAACTCGAAAGACCATGGAATTGGTGGCCGTTGTTGAGTGCTACAGATTCACTCGCTGAAGAGAGATAGTATAAAACTCATGATAATCAGTTGATAATTCAAGGTAAAATGTGAAAGCCAGGTGATTTCCTTTGCAGCATTTAAAAAAAAAAAAAAAAAACTATAACAGAGGGTCATCCACACAAAAAATCGGATTCAGTAATTAATCATGTAATAGCAACAGAACTTCAGGGAAGACTGAATTCTCAGCTGAGAGGTCTCCTATGCCAAGGTCAAGGCCATAACAGAAAAGGAGTAGGACTCTGACACTTGGGATGTGATTACCTGGGTAATGATGTAGTTGAGAATTTTTAACTCCCATCTTCCCCCAAACCTGCTGGCCTGCAGAAGTACCTATTCCTCTTGATAGAGGATAGTGCCCCCACTTCCTTGCCTGAGTATCATACAATGATGGCAAATGAGTCAGCTGCCTTGCAAGACTGAACTGGCCCCCTGGGGATTCCTATGCCAATCTTTCTTTCCGTCAATCAGACCAATAGGAAAAGTCAAATCAACAAGACCAACAAGGCCAGAGAAGGAGGGAGTATGTGGAAGAGAGGGACTATACACCAAAGGGGTGCAGGTTCTGGCTGATATGTACCAAGAAGAGATGGGAGTGTGTGCATTAGGCTGGATTCTGAGGGCAATGAGTCAAGGGGATGGAACACAGTTGGATAAAGGGGGTTATATTAATATGAAAATGTATTAAAATTTCCCCATGATATGGAATTGAACACCCTGGCAAGGATCCTGGAAGAAGATGCTACTAAACTGCCAGGTTGAATCTTGTAAGTTTAGAACCAGTAATGGCCCAAACTAAATGGATGTACCAGCACTTCCCTGGCAAATGATGGAAGAAGGGCTCAAAGAGCTCAGAAAAATGGGTGGGACAGAGTGGATACAGGCAAAAAACCCACTTTCTGACTATGTTCTATGAAGACTAAGAGGACATTTTATTTCCCAAAGTGATAAGGAATGTGTTGGTGAGAGGAACACCAGCATCACTCATGTGCTCAGTGGTGTCTGTCTTCTTTCAGCTAGAGCTGGCAGTAGGCGATGCTGTTACAATATTGGACTCCCTGATCGCAACGGGAATGCTAGCATCCAAAAGCCAGATAGATCACGGTGGATGAGAGTGGGCTACTGCCAATTTAACCAAACAGCAGCCCCCAATTGTGCCTACTTTGCTAGATGTGGTACCTTTTTTAGAGGAGATTAACACGCCAACACATGATATGCAGACATTAATCTAGCGAGTGCATTCTTTTCCATCCCTTCTCAAGGAGGATCAAAAGCAGTATGCATTCACTTGGGACAAGTTAACAATATATATTTATGCCCCAGGGCTTGTTTAATTCACCTTCTCTCTGTCATAATATAAAACAAAGAGGCCTACACCATCTGCACATTCCACAGACTATCACATTGTTTACCATATTGGTGACATCATGCTAATTAGACCAGATAAGAAGCAGTAGGTATTTTGGAGGCCTTGATAAGGCACATGTACTCCAGAGGTGTAGATTAACTCTATGAAGATTCAGGGACCTGCCATATCAGAGAAGTTTTTTAGGGTCCAGTGATCTGGGCATAGCAAAGCATTCCCCCACGTAAATGACAAATTATTGCATTTCATAACTCCCACCACTGAGAAAGGAACACAATTCTTGGTAGGCCCCTTTCGGTGCTGGAGGCAGCATACTCCACATTTGGAAAAACTGCTCTTACCCAGTTACCAGGTGACATGAAAGTCTGCCAGCTGTAAGTGGGCATAAAAAGGGCTATGCAAAAGCGAACTTGTCACTTGGCCATACAACTTGGCAGACCTTATGGTATGAGACGCTTCTGTGTTTGCAAAAGACATCAAGTAGAGTTGACGGCAAGCCCCAATAAGAGATCAGTGTAAACCCTTAGGGTTTTGGAGCAAGGCCATGCCATATATGACAGGACTATATTCCATTCAAGGGGCAGAACCTTGTAAGCCCACTGGGGCTTAGTAAACATAGGCCATCTGAGCATGGCTTCCAGTGGCCATGCAGCCAGAGCTGCCCATCATAAGCTGGGTTCGGTCATACCCACTGAGACAGTCAGGCTGACCGAGCATCAATCTGTGTAAGGTGGAAGTGTATCTGGGACTGAGCAGGAATAGGGCCAGAGATCACAATTAAGCTGCCTGAATAGGTGGTCTCAACCCCCACATCACCTTCTATGGTTGCATTCATACCTCCTTCCACAACACGCACCTGTTTCTCCCTTACACCCAGCTAATGGAAGAGGAAAAAGTGTAAGCTTGGTACATGGATGGATCAACTTGGCACATCAGTGTGAGTACAAATAGACTCATTGCTTTATAGCTCTATTCAAAAGTGGCCCTGAAGAAAGCAATGAGGAGAAATTATCCAAATTGGCAGGGTTTTTTGTGATGCAGCAGGCCCTCCACTTTGTGAAAAGAGAAGTAGCCCAAAGTAAATATATCTGTAGACTTAGGGCATTTTTAAATGGACTTTCCAGCTGGACCAGGGTCCTGAAAGAAGAAAGATTAGAAGATTGGGGATGAGGTCTTAGAAAGACTCACTTAGATGGACCTATGGGAATGGATATAAAGAGGGAAGATTTTAGTATGGCATGTAATGGCCACCAAATGGCCATTTGATTTGGTGTAAGAGACATTATGTATCCACAATGTAAGAGACACTAAACCAAGCAAGTGGGCAGAATGACTCGGTCATTTGACGTCAGCAAGTATTTGTAATGGGCCAACCTAGTGCTGACACAATGGACATGTGAGTGGACTAGCCATGGTAGAAGTGTTGGAAACTATTCATGGGCCCAGTAGAATGTGTTTCCACTCAACTGAGGCTGATCTGGCTGCTGCTGCTGCTGAATATTCAACTTGCCAGCAACAGAAACTAAGACCGCGCCCATCTTTGACACCATCCCTTGAAGAGATGAACCAGGCACATGGTGGCAAGTTGACTACTCTAAACTCCTTTCACCCTAGAAGGAGCAATGATTCCATCTTATTAATATAAACACATATATTCTATATGGTCTTGACTTCCCTACTCCTAGGGCTTTGGCCAATACAACTATTTGAGGACTTGAAGAGGACTTCATCAGCTGACATAAAATCCTAATCAACTTTGCCTTAGGCCAAGCAACCCACCTAATGGCAAAAAAAAAAAAAAAAAAAAAAAAAAAGTACAGCAATGGCAGTGGGTATTTGACCATGGGACCCACAGGTTCTGTCATCTACTGCACCTTTAGGAGTCACCAGCCTGATAGAGGAGTGGAGTGGCCTCTTAAAGAAATAATGGAGATGTCAACTTGAAAATGACAACATCTCTGAGTTCAGTATAGATTCTAAATTAATGCCTATTATATGGCACTGTGTCCCCTGAGCATAGAATACATGAGTCAGGAAACTAAAGGGTGAATGTGGGAGTGGCCCCACTTACCAACAACCCATAACCACTTGGAGAATTTATGCTCCCAATCCTATAATCTTAGGCTCTGTGGGCTCTACAGATCCTTGTTCTCAGAGAGGGGAGCACTTGTACATGTGTGCTCCATAAAAGTCCATTACATTTTAAGCTGCAACTGCTAACCAGGCCCTCTGAATTCCTCATACCAGAAGACCAACAGGCATGGAAAAGCAACAATCATATGACAGGAGATCGGGCTGCTGTTAGATAATGACAATGGGGAGGAATATGCTCAGCACTCAGTTGACCCACTGAGGCATCTATTGGTGTTCATGTGCCCTAGTTTTGTCTTGTTTCTTTCAATTTTCATACTTTTATTATTTTTAAATTTTTAATTTTACTTTAAGTTCTAGGACATATGTGCAGAATGTGCAGGTTTGTTATATAGGTATACATGTGCCATGGTGGTTTGCTGCACCTATCAACCCGTCATCTAGGTTTAAGCCCTGTGCATTAGTTATTTGTCCTAATGCTCTCCCTCCCCTTGCCCCCCCCCCACCCCCTGACAGGCCCCGGTGTGTGATGTTCCCCTCCCTGTGTCCATGTGTTCTCATTGTTCAACTCCCACTTATGAGTGAGAATATGCAGTGTTTGGTTTTCTGTTCCTGTGTTAGTTTGCTGAGGATAATGGCTTCCCGCTTCATCCACGTCCCTGCAAAGGACATGAACGCATTTTGTTTTATGGCTTCACACGCCCTGTTTTAATAGTACATTGGCAGATACAGCACCCATGTCCTGAAAAGAGCATTCTAACAGAGGCTAATATACCTCAGGGTTGAGGATCCAGTCCACCTCACGAAGCAAACTGCCTAGACTAGTAAAATGGTCAGCTGAAGGTGAGGGTATCTAGAATGGGTGATGGAGTGGGGGGAAGGTAAGTGTCAGTTATGGCTTCAAGATCAATTGTACAGAAAGAGCTATGGTTTGTCCCTTTAATTATTTGCCTGTAAATTCCCTAGAAAGTGAGACCAACTTTAATCCTAAAGGACTTGTCCCCAGGTGAGGAAAACTTAAGATGTCAGTGGGTCAGAGAAATAAAAAACAGACTGTAGTGGATACTGTTGTTGTCTGCTCTGATTCCCTTTCCTCCTGTCATTCATCACCCTGCTGATGGGGATCTTGCTGCTGACAGCTCATAGCTGCATTCCTCACTGGGAATTGTACTTGGTTTCAGGGAACTAGTTTGTCCAATATTACTCAGCCTCCCAGAAGGTAGCTTATAGCCAGTGACTATGAGCTCAAGCCATCATGCCCTTGCCTCAGTTTGGGACAACTCTGATAGTTCATCCCAGATCCAAAGCTCTTTACAGGATCAGCTGAGATCTCAATTGCAACAGCATTATCAACTGGTTTCTCTCACTGCCCAATCCAGTCTTCCTCACTTTCCTACAGGTACATTTCCTGAGAGCAGTCCACAAGAAGCCTTCTGAATGCAATTCTCTGTCTCAGGGCCTGTTTCCAGTTAATTCAATCAAAGTCAGCACATATCACTTCACTGTTTCAAAGTTTACATCAAATGCACTTTTCTGTAACTGTATGAAGATGTTGCCAAGCACCCCACACCCCTCCTCCAGAATGAGAGTTGACATAGGGCTGGTCCCGCACAAAGATTTCTAAGGGCTTACATGAAATAAATCTGTGTATCACCAGAGTTATCTCAGCCTGGTAGAATTACCAAGATTTTAGACTGGCACACACTAAAAGTGAAGCTAATGTTGCTGCCCCAGAGTTGCAAGACCCACGGGCTCCCACCCAAGCATATGGAAGGCTGTAGACTTAAGAGATGGAGGCAAGCAAAAGAAGGCTTCTGCAGAGAGGAAATAAAGCGTTACCTCCTACATCTCTGCCTTGTGATGCTGAAAGTAGAAGTTGGAGGCCCCTTGCCACAAATCCACGAGAAAGCACTTGGAGATCTCTCACAGTGGAAACAAACTACTTGTATCTGGGATTAAAGTCTAAGCAGGAAGATGTTCTAAATTACCTCAATGGCATTGAAATTTACCAGATTCACATCTATTCAGTTAATGACCTCTTCCTCTCTGTTTCAGGATACTTAGTAGATTTCCAAATTTTAGCATGCTCCATGCTAGACTATAGTTTTTTATTTGTTTGTTTGTTTCTGGGACCATTCTCCTAACATGCTAGGAGAACTTACAGAGCAAAAACCCAGTTACATTCATCTCCATGTCCCAAGAGTCTGGCTGAATAAATATGGCTTCAAGGTCCAGGTCCTAGGAGGTAGGACAGACAACACGTCACCTCAAGCTATCTCTAAACTGCAAGCATCAAGTCAACTGAAAAGGCTCTTTAAATATGTGTGCAGGAAAACTTTAGGTGTTCTTTGATTAAAAAAAAAAAACTAAATATATTTCTAAATAAAAGAATACAGTGATTTCTTTTCTACAGACTTATTTGTTTTCTAATTTCTTCACAATAAAGGGCATATACATTGTAATGTTTAAGTTTCTTAAAAAGAAAGAGAGAAAGAAACAGCAATCCCTAGAAAGTGTGTCCATTGTTCTAACAACAAACTGGTTTTAAGCACGCTTTGTGAAGATTCTTAGCCTTGTGTCATTGTTTTGTGGAAATAAATCTAGAAGCCTCAAGTTCCTCCAGGATGCAATTTACATACAACTTGCATAAGGAGAGAGCATAGGGCTCCTGGTGCCCAAAACACGGGACCCAGCTCACAGCTGGGGACAAACACATCTCACTGGCCTCAAAAGAAGCTGGTTCCTTCTCTTCTTTTGCTGTGACAGCTCCAGTGGCCAACATGTCAGCAGTCCATAAATCAGAACCTCAAAGAACAAATCAAAATCCCACAAATCCAAACATATATTTACATCATTATAAGTGTGTTTTTTAAAAGCCTGGGAGCACGTACACCATGTGGAAAGTGGTTATCAGGGGCACTTCACTTGGAATGTCTTCTTTTTACAACATGAATGTGTACTTTAATAATTCAATAATATTTTTTTAATTTCATTTGGGAGAAATATATAGAGATGGTGGAATGAAAAGAAGAAGAAGTCCTGTAGTTTAGTACTGTGCTGCTCAGTGCTTTCCAAGAGTCAGCAGGGGGAAGGCTGAAGGGTGTAGTCAGCTCCGTCCCTTCAACTTGTTCCCACTCATGCTGCTGTGATGGTGATAGCAAGCTGTGACTTAGGGAGGCCAAGGGGCACCATGTCTTGAGACCTGAATAGAATGGCTAGGGAGTCCTGGACTGTTGGAGCTGCAGGGAGTTCACAAGAGCATCTAGTACAACCCCTGAGCCTTACAAGTAAGTAAACCGAGGCCCAAACCCCCAGGATCATGGGGCTATCTAGTGGCAAGGCCAGAATGGAAACCCTGGCTACTGAGTCTCAACAGCGTTCCTTTGACCCTGCAACACTATGTCTTCTATTTGTAGCTGCTGAGGCTTGTGACCCTACATGTGTCACTAAAACTCGCCCACTAGACCCTTCTTTTAAAAAGGGAAGAGAAAGTTATGGAAGGGAAGAGAAGGGAAGGAGAGCAACACAGAGCAAAGAGAAAAAAAGGACACAGAGGGAGAAAGGGCTCTTCTTATCACTTTAACAAAGAAGGCGAGGAGACAGCCTCTCTCCAAGCTCGACCTGCTCCTCTCACTCTCAGGGAGGAGAAAAGCCTTTTGTGACATTGTTTTTCCTCCAAGGCTACCTTTGATCTTCATCCGGGTGACATCTAGTTAAGATGAACATCAAAGGTGGAAGACAGCCAGAGCATGTCTTGTCCAAACCCAGCTCTCACTGAGGATGGCTGAAGTAAGTGTGTACCAATTGTGTGAGAGACAAGGCCAGGACCCCAAGGGATTCTTATTGGGATGAATGGCAGAGGGAGAGGATGCTTGATGCTTGAATTGTGCTCATTTTGCCAGGAAATAACTCTTTCTGCCTTTTCTTTCCCACCGCAAGCAATTCTCGTCTCAGAAGGAGAAGGCAATGTCTCTTTCTCCCCCTTTCAGCAAGTGTGGTAGCAAACACTTAGTGCACTAGCACACACGCCATTAATTTATGCTGCCTGTCGCCTTTGTGTTTGGGAACAAGTCAGACTCCTTTGTGTAACTGCTTGATGAAACATTCCTGTCCATTCTGTCAACACAAATTATACCGTTAAATAATGAGAGCTGCCCCCCACCCTCACTGCTACACAGAAGAGAAAGCATCTCCTAGCCCCAAGGACGTGGGCTTCCAGGAGGAGCACCCCAGGACCCCTGCCTCCCTGCCTGCCACCTGCCCTACCTCAATCTCTAGACCTTGCCATGTGCCTTCCACCTTCCAAGGACGGTTGCTAGGAGACAGAAGATAAAGCTGGACTGCTCCATTGCCTGTCCATTTAGGAGTAGGGGGAACAGAGGTGGAAGGGCCAAAAACCAAAACACCCAAGGACTCGGATGGGGACTTCTCTATGGCAAGGCTTTTACCCCACAGAGGAGAGGGTCTTTCACCCTCAGGGAGAGCATCTCTTAGTCCTTCTCTGATGCCTTTTCTCCAAGTGTTTGTCTAAAAAAACAGAATGTAGACATACACACACACCCTTACACATACATACACACAAATGCATGCACATGTGCTCCCACACACACAAACACCCACACAACCCTACACACACACATACAACCCTACACACACAAACTCTTACCCACAAATACACATACACACTCTTACCCACGAATACTCACACATACCCTATACACACACACACAAACCCTACACACACATAAATACACACACCCATACACACACATATACAACCCTACAAACACACTCCTACCCACAAATACACACACATATCCTATACACACACATACCCTATACACACACATACACACACACCTCTACATACACATACACTCCTATACACACACACGGCTACACACATACACACATGCATATATATACATGCCTACACACATAAAACACACACACACCTTGCATACACATACATACACATGCACACACATGCCCACACAAATACATGCACATGGTCTTATAAACAGACCATGTTTTTTTATACACGCATACAACCTCCTACACACATACACGCACATACACACATACAACCCTCCACACACACACAGAAAGCCAAGTACCTCACAAGGAGGAAACAAGTTCCCAGTTTTAGGAAGATATTTTCAAGTTAGTATGAGAGTAGGAAGGAGGGGAGGGACAGTAGTCACAACCAACAAGGGTGGGTCCACTCCAGTGAAGGAAACACGCTGTGTCTTCAGGCATCCTCTGGAGGAATCACACACATATGCCCACCTTTGCACACACACACCTTTCCCTCACTTTAACAGTTGTTAAGTCAAAGCACATGGGCATGCTGTTGGGACAAGGAGGATGTGTTAGTCAGCTTGGGCTGCCATAACAAAACACCACACACTAGGTGGCTTGAACAGCAGACATGTATTCCTTCACAGTTCTGGAGCCTGGAAGTCCGAGATCAAGGTGCTAGCAGGATCGGGCTCTACTGAGGGCACTCCCCTCAGGTTGCAGACAGCCGCCTTCTCATTTTGTCCTCACATGGCCTTTCCTCAGTGTGTGCAGGGGATATGGTGAGAAAGAGAAATCTCTCTTACTCTTTTTATAAAGACCACCAATCCTATTGGATTAGGAACCCACCCTCAGGACCCCATTTAACTTTACCTCCTAAAAATCCTATCTCCAAATACAGTCACAATGGGGGTTAGAGCTCCACATATGAAATTGGGGTGGGGGATACAATTCTGTCCCTAACAGAAAGAACTTGCTCCCTCAAATACACCTACATTGATTCTCTGGCCAAATGAAGGATCCATTTGTAATGTAAATATCATGGCCATCTGTTCTATAGCTTAAAAATGGTGGCAGTAAGGACTTTTTTAAAGCAGGAGCATGAACACAGTTTTATTTTGATCACATAACCAGGAAATATGAAGTAGAAGAGAACTGCCATTCCCCACAGTCCAGAGCCACCCCTTACCCAATTTACAGGAAGGGGACACAGAGGCACAAAGGGTGGGAGAGGAGATTCCTTCCATCTTACCAGTGTCTTCCAGCCACACCCAACATCGCCAGGGGATCGCACGTTCACCTGTCCCTCCTGCTCACACCACTGGGCCCATGGTGGGTTGGGGGGATTACAATTTAGCCCCCTCTTTAACCCAACCTGAAATAACCACCCAAAGCACAGGAGGTCCTACCTGTATGGAGTGAGAAAAAGACACCACAGTCAACATCGCCATCCACCCCTACAACTCATACTTTTACTTAACTACTTATTTATTATTTATTTATTTATTTATTTTGAGATGGAGTCTTACTCTGTCACCCAGGCTGGAGTGCATCTGATGTAATCTTGGCTCACTGCAACCTCTGCCTCCCAGGTTCAAGCAATTCTCCTGCCTCAGCTTCCGGAATATCTGGGATTACAGGTATGCACCACCACACCTGGCTAATTTTTGTATTTTGGTAGAGATAGGGTTTCACCATGTTGCCCAGGCTAGTCTCTAATTCCTGAGCTCAGGCAATCTGCCCATCTCAGCCTCCCAAAGTTTTAGGATTACAGGCATGAACCACCACACCCGGCCCTTATTTAATTACTTTAGAGACAAGGTCTCACTCTGTCACCCAGGCTGGAGTGCAGTGGCACAATCACAGCTCACTGAAGCCTCCAACTTCCAGGCTCCAACAATCCTCCTGCCTCAGCCTCCTGAGTAGCTAGGACTACATGCATGCATCACCATGCCCAGCTCATTTATTTTTATTTTTTTTGTAATGACGAGGTCTTGCTATGTTGCCCAGGCTGGTCTCCAACTCCTGGGCTCAAGTGATCCACCCATCTCAGCCTCCCAAAGTGCCGGGATTACAGATGTGAGGCACCACACCCAGCCTCCAAGCCATACTTTCATCTACACCAATTTTTTCTTCTCCCCTCCACACTGAAACCAAGGTTTGGCAGTGTCTGAACAGTCAATGTTGCCCACATGCTGTCACTTTCCACCTGAATCCATAAAGCCCTCCCCAGGAGCCTGCCTCTGTGTGCAGCTGGCCAGAAATACAAACAAGCAGAAAGAAAGAGGAAGCTGCGGGTGTGCCAGTGTCCACGCAAGCCCAGAGGTCCTTTCATAGGACCACCCCCATCCTCCTTCCCTTTGATCTGTGACCTTGGGGCACAACACATGCTTCTCTGAACCTCAGCTTTCTCATCTGTAATATACAACAATAAAGCTTCCCTTTGAGTCATGATGAGGATTAAACAAAATCACATATAGGAGGAATGTGCATAGCAATGAGCGACAAGTCAGTCCTCACTGCCACTCACTGGACACAAGAAAACCTCCCCAACACCCAACAGGATTAGAAGTAGGTTACAGAGCATTTTCACTCAGAGATGTTGCCTGGAGCAGCGCTACTAAATGATAGATTGCAGGGACTGGAAGACCCCCATGAGATCACCCAGCCCAGGCATGCGGGGCACAGGAGCAGGGGTAAGGAAACAGCTCCCAGAGGTGGTCCAACTTGTCCAAGGTCACACGGCTGCTGAGATCAGAACTGGATTTCCACTTAGGCAGATGAAATCAGCCCCTCTCTAGTCCCAGTTTCAGCTGAAAGAAAGCTTTTGGAGGGTTTGAGACTGAGCTAAAGCTTATATGAGGTACAGCAACTATTTATAAGCTGGAACTATGGTGTTTCCAGATTCCCGACAGATATTAATTAATCTTCCAGATTCAGAACCAATAAATGCAAATGTCCAAAATCTTGTTATTTTTTAAATACTTCCAACATTCTTCATAGTCTTTATTATTATAATTATATTTATTATGGAAGATGTTTAATAAACAAGAAATATTCAGCTTAGTTCTGCTTACAAAGGACCATAACCTACAGAAAATATTCAAACACCAGGAAACACCAGAGAACATTATTGGATGGCAGGTGAACCACGTAACAGTCAGATCTCCTAACAAGGAGGAACAACATCACACAGAATCATGTGTCAAATGGCCACATTAAGGACTTATTTTGCTTCCAAAACCTGTTATTTCTTAGAACACCATTCAACAGTTCTGTATCAAGTACACTTTGCACATAAATTTAGTGATATGTATTTTAATTGCTTGAAGGATGCACCACGTGCAGCAGACAGGGCCATAGACACGTACGTTAACTCAGCCACGAGATTATGAGAGACTGATGGATTAGGTCACAGCCACCTCTCTACCTCCTTCTGACCTGGCTCTCAGAAATGTTGATATTAACCCTTGACTCTGCTTTCAACTCAACGTCAGTGCCTTCCTTCAAAACTGTAAGGTCTGCATGTTGATTACAAGCTTTAATTCCCACAAGAGACTTATAATACTTTTTCCCATTTTCCTGACTTCTCGACTGATTTTTCTCAGGAATCAGGATTCAAAAAATATAAATTTCTCCCAAGAAATGCCAAGAAGAATTTTCCACATGCAAACACAAGGGAGGAGGGTGGCCCCCTTCCTGCCTGGCAGGCTGTGCTCTGCAAGGAGTCATCCCTGGCTGGACACAGGGGACTTCAAGGCCACACGCTGGGCACAAAAGGAAGGGCCAGGCATGCTGGCTCACGCCTGTAATTCCAGCACTTTGGGAGGCAGAGGTGGGCAGATCACTTGAGGTCAGGAGTTTAAGACCAGCCTGGCCAACATGGTGAAACCTGTCTCTACTAAAAATACAAAAATTAGCTGGGCCTAGTGGTGGGCACCTTGTAATCACAGCTACTCGGGAGGCTGAGGCAGGAGAATAGCTTGAACCTGGGAGATGGAGGCTGTAGTAAGCCGTGATCATGCCTCTGCACTCCACCCTGGGTGACAGAATGAGACCCTGTCTCAAAAAAAAAAAAAAAATAAGAGGAGGAGGCAGTTGATGGGGTTCATTCATTCAGCCCAATGCTGGACAAGGATGCCCTTGTCCCCCAGGGCCTGGGGTTCTGTGTGAGTTTCCTGTGGCTGCTGAAATAATGTGCCACATGCTGGTTAGCTTACAACGGCAGAATCTTATTCTCTCCCAGTTCTGGAGGCTAGAAGTCTGAAATCAAGGTGTTGATAGGTGTTGGTAGGGCCATGCCCCCTCTTAGAACCCTTCTTAGAATCGGTCCTCTAGAGAAAGAATCCGTCCTCACCTCTCCTAGCCTCTAATGCCCCCAGCAGTCCTCGGCGCTCTTGGCCTGCAGCTACATCACCCCAATCTCTGCCTCCATGTTCCCATGGCCTTCTTCCCAGTGGCTGTCTCTGTCTCCAAATCTCTCTTTCCTTATCAGGACAGCAGTCGCTGGACTTAGGGCCCACCCTAATCCAGTATGACCCCATCTTAACTTGATTACATCGGTAAAGACCTCATTTCCAAATAAGACCACATTCACAGGTATCAGGGGTTACAGCCTCAACATATTGGTTTGGGGGACCCAATTCAACCTACAACAGGCTGCATTAGCAAACAAAGCAGACATGGATCTGGCTACGGCTGAGTTTCCCAAGTCAATGGCTGGGTGCCTTGGGTGCACCCTACAGCACAGAGGGTGAATGAAGAACCATGGCAGGCAAGTGGAGCAAGAGCAGAGGCACTCCCTCAGTGTGCAGTGATCTGGGAAGGCTTCCTGGAGGAAGAGACATCCACCAGAATCAGGAACATTGGGCTTGGGAAGGTTCCAAAGAGAAAACAGCAGCAATGAACAAAGGCCTGAGGTTGACAGAGCAAGGCCTTGGCCTTTGCCCTAACTGTCCCTCTGCTCAGGAGGTAGGTCCCCAAGATCTTAGCACAGCTACCTACTTCCCTGTCGCCTCTTTTGGAAAGATGTTTCCTGGCCAGGCTTAATCCACTCTTCTCTATCACATCACCCAGTTTATTTCCTTCAAGACACATCACAACTTGCAATGGTTAATTATTTGCTCACTTATTGTCTCTGGAAGTTAAGTCTCTGCGGGTACGGTCCTGCCACCTTTTTTCACAGATATAGCCAGAGCACTTAACACAGTGCCTAGCATATTGTACACAATAAAAATGAAGAAATAAATGACTGAATATGTGAATGAACATGTGGAAATAGTTTCATTGAGGCTAGATTGCAGAGTCTGAGGCAAGAACTGGCAAGACAGGAAGCTGACGTGGGAAATGTGGGCTAGAACATTCAGGATCCTGTAGCCAGATCCAGGAGCTGGGACTTGTTGTGTAAGCAATGGAGATTGGGGTAGAGTGAGATGGGGTTTTTTGACAAAGGAAAGTGCATAGGGGCTTGAACTTGGCATCTAGCAATGGGCTAGCAATCGGCAAGCATCCCAAGATCTGGGTAGAAACAGATTCTGAAAGACCTGGAAATTCATACCTAAAACATGCATTGCTTAAAGCAGGTGCTCAGTAAATATGGAGTTGAGTGAGTGGGTGAGTGAGTGAGTGAGTGAGTGAGTGCGTGCGTACGTGCATGAAGGAGCCTCTTACTAAAAGCCATTGAAGTTTTACATGAAGAGGGCACAGAATTCCTGCTTTCTGGGAAACCCTGTATCCCTGAAGTGTTCTTCTCCAAATTTTGGGAAGCAAGTCCCATTACTAGAACCCTCACTGCTTTTTCTTTTTTTTCCCTCTTGCACTCTCCTGAACCAAGGAGAGGCAGATCTGTGCACTCCTGGGAGAAGACTGCCCCACCAAATGGCCAAAAGTCAGAACCAGAAACCTGCAGGTGAGAGTTGACGCCAACACCTCACTGCTTCTATCAGCTCCAAGCTGGCTTCACAGGCACTTTCCTGCAGCCAGGATGCAGTACCTCCCGCTGTGTGAGCCCTGGGCTCTGCTAGGCACAGAAAGAGATGCTGTAGGGGAAGCCTTTGAAGGCCCAGCCACCTGGCCAAGTTCACAAGCTTCCAGCAGCGTCCTGCCCCATGTTGCCTGCAGGACTAGAAGGTCACCAGACACCTGCAAACTACAGATCTCCCTTTGCATCTCCACAGCAGAGGATTTTCAGGCCCCTGGGCCTTTCCCTTCTTACTGTGAGCAGGAACCGAAAAGACCAGGCTTGGCCTGGTTTTATTTTGATTTTTCAACATATGAGTGCTGCTGCTGCTGCCACCACCCATCGCTGCTTTGATGGCTGTTATACCCACGACAGAGCCTGTGTATCTGCTGGGTAAGGTCAGAAAACCTCTCTGGGATCCTAAATAAATCAAGGACATTTTGAATCATTTGCTGTGGAGATGCAGGAGATGTAATTTAATCCTTAAACATACTGAATCTTTATGATGTAACCTATTCCAGAGGGGTTAAGGAAGATGGTGAGGGTGAAGACAAACCAGCCTCTCATCTGTTACTGATGGAAGTATAAATTGGTATAACCTCTATACAAGAGAGTTTGGACCAGGCACAGTGGCTCATGCCTGTAATCTCAGAACTTTGGGAGTTTGAGTTGGGCGGATCGTTCGAGGTCAGGAGTTTGAGACCAGCCTGGCCAACATGGCAAAATCCCATCTCTACTAAAAATACAAAAATTATCCGCGTACTTGTAATCCCACCTACTCAGGAGGCTGAGGCAGGAGAATTGCTTGAACCCAGGAGGCAGAGGTTGCAGTGAGCCACTGCACTCCAGCCTGGGTGACAAAGGAAAACTCTGTCTAAAAAAAAGAAAAAAGAAAACAGAGAGAGGAAGAATTTGGAAAGACTTTATTTTTTTTAAAAATGAACCTTTTGCCATGACTTTTCTATTTAAGAATTTATTCTACAGGTGTACTCACAGACAGGTGGAATGATGTATTTATGAAGTTTTCCATGCCTATAATCCCAGTACTTTGGGAGGCTGAGACAGGAGGATCACTTGAGCCCATAAGTTTGAGACCAGCCTGAACAAAATAAGGAAACCTCACCTCTACAAAAAATTTAAAAATCAGCCAAATGTGGTGGCATGTGCCTGTAGTCCCAGCTACTCAGGAGGCTGAGGTAGGAAGATTTCTTGAGCCCAGTTAGGTGGCACAGGCTGCAGTGAACCTAGACTACGCCACTGCACTCCAGCCTGGGCAACAGACTGAGAAATTTTCATAAAGTTTTCCATTGCAGCATGGTTTGAAGAGCACAAGCTTAGAAGTAGTCTAAATGTTCATTAGTAGGGGACTGGTTAAAATAAATAGTGCTGTGTCCAGTGAACAGAACACAAAGTAGCTGTAAAAAGAAGTAGGCACACTAGGCACTCAGGAAGAAGGATCTCCATGTACATTATCTGTTGCTGCATAACAAATATGTTGGCTTAAACAACAAACATTATCTCACAGTTTCCAGAGGGCAGGGATTGGGGAGCAGCATAATTGGGTGGTTCTGGTGCAGGATCTCCCAAGTGGTTGGCATCAAGCTGTGGGCAGGGACTGCAGCCCTCTCAAGGCCTTTTGGGGAGGACTCGGGTCTGCTTCCGAGACTGCTCATGTCACTGTTGGCAGGTCTCAGAAGATCGGCTTCTACACTCTCAGCTGTGGGACCCTCAGTCCCTTGCTAGCTGGGCCCCTCCCCAGGCTGCCTGAGTGTCCTGAGGACATGGCAGCTGGCTTCCTAGATAAGTGATTCATGAGATAGATGGAGAGAAAGAAAGAACATACCCAAGACGGAAGATGCAGTTTGTTTGTAACCTAATCTCAGAAGTGTTAGCCCATCAAGTCCTCTGTATTCTATCTGCTAGAAGCACATCACTAATTCCAGCCCACAGTCAAAGGAAAGGGAGTTTAGCTGCACCTCTTGAGAGGACAAGTATCAAAGAATTTGGCAGACGTATCTATAAAATCACCACACAAAGATTCTTAAGCAAAAAAAAAAAAAGAAAAAGAAAAACAGTCTGTATAGCAGGCTACTACATACTTAACAAGAGGAAAAAGAATAGTTATATGTATTTGCTTGCAGATGCATGAAATATCTCTAGAAGGATACACATACACAATAAACTGTTAACATTAGTTGCCTCCAGGGAGAACAATCTGGTAGCTTAGAAACGTGGATGGGAGGGGAACTTCACACTAGGTGTCTTTATCTACCTCCTGAATTTAACACCATTGTAAACCACCTGTTTTTCAAGAAGAGGGGATGCAGCCATATAGTTATTCCACTAATGTTTGCTGAGCATCATGGAGCAAGGCCAAGGGAGTGTTCGTATCTTTATGGAATTTGAAGGTTCACTAAATAAATGAGACCTCAACCCACTTAAAATGTGGGGAAATAATTCCTCACCAAACAAACTGAATGTGAACTGTATGGCCCAGACAAAAGGCCCTACCTACACAGATGGTTTTCGAAGGCTAGAGAGAGGAGGGATCTTAGTCAGCTTGGGCTGCTGTAACAAAAGACCATATGCTGGTGGCTTACAAACAGCAGACATGTATTTCCCACCATTCTGGAGGCTGTGAAGTCCAAAATCAGGGAACCTCCATGCTCAGGTCCCGGTGAGGTGGTCTCTTCCAGGTTGCAGACTGCCAAGTTCTCATTGTATCCTCATGTGGTGGAATGAGAATGAGAGAGCTCTCTGGAGTGACTTTTTTTTTTTTTCCGAGACAGCATCTCGCTCTTTGGCCCAGGCTGGAGTGCATGGAGTGCAGTGGTGCAATCTTGGCTCACAGCAACCTCCGCCACCTGGGTTCAAGGGATTCTCCTGCCTCAGCCTCCCTAGTAGCTTGGATTACAGAAGCATGCCACTACACTGGGTTAATTTTTGTATTTTTAGTAGAGACAGGGTTTCACCATGTTGGCCAGTCTGGTCTCAAACTCCTGACCTCAAGTGGTCCACCTCCCTCGGCCTCCCAAAGTGCTGGGATTACAGGTGTGAGCCACCATGCCCGGCCTGGAGTCCCTTTTATAAGGGCACTAATAGCATTCATGAGCCTCCACCCTCATGGCCTAATCACATCCCAAAGACCCTCCTTCCCAGTCCCATCATATTCATTGATTTCAACAAATGAATTTGGGGTGGGGGGAATACAACATTTAGTCTATAACATTACATCCTTTACCCCCAAATATCTATGTCGTTCTTGCATGCAATATACATTCATTGTATCCCACCAACCCCAAAAATCTTCTTTTCTGAACATCACCTCTAAAGTTTGAAGTCCAAAGTCTTATCTAAATATCATCTAACATATGGATGAGACTCAAAGCATGATTCATCCTGAGGTAAAATTCCTCTCTAACTGTGAACCTGTGAAACTAAACAAGTTCCGTGCTTTCAAAATACAATGGTGGGTCAGGCATAGGATAGACATTCCCATTAAGCAAGTCCAAATCCTAGCAAGGCAAGCTCCATGAGACCTTAAGGCTTGAGAACAATCTTCTTTGGCTTGATGTTCTGCCTTCTGCCTCCACTGGGGAAGTGTTCTCACCTTTCAAGCCCACTAGAATGGCAACATCACCCCTACAGCTGAAAGGGATGCCCATGCCGTGGCTCTCTGCAGCAGCCCTGACCATGCTGAAGTTCTCTTTTGGGGTGGGGGTTATGCTCCCAGCCTCTGCTACATGGCCTTAGCCCCTGAAGTCCACTGGGCATTGGTTCTAGTCTTTGAAATCAAGGTGGAGGGAGTTCTGCTCCCCAGGCCCTTGCACTCTGAGTCTGCGGTGGGAGTGGCAGCCATGATGATCTCTGAATCACCCTCAAGGTCCTTCTTCCCTTGTTTTAAAGAGTAGCTGCATGTGATGGCTCACGCCTGTAATCTCAGCACTTTGGGAGGCCAAGGCGGGTAGATCACGAGGTCAACAGATCAAGACCATCCTGGCCAACATGGTGAAACCCCATCTGTACTAGCAAACACAAAAATTAGCCGGGCGTGGTGGTGCATGCCTGTAATCCCAGCTACTTGGGAGTCTGAGACAGAAGAATCGCTTGAACCCAGGAGGCGGAGGTTGCAGTGAGCCCAAATCATGCCACTGCACTCCAGCCTGGTGACAGAGTGAGATTCCCTCTCAAAAAAAAAAAAAAAAAAAAAAAGAGTAGCACATGAAGAGTGGCAGCTGAATAGTTCTATGGTCTGCTCCTAGTCCAGACTTCTCTATCTAAGAAGTGTGACAGGCTCCCTTCATTTTGTACATTTTCTTTGATTCCTCTAGTCTCAGCCAGCAGTGTTTCTGCTGGTATCATGCCATCTCTATTCGTGACTTTTGCAGAGATGGTTGATTAAATCTGTGGGTCACACCACACTGATCTCTGTATCACATTGTTGGTCCACCACAGCCTTTGGGTTATCTTTCAAACACACTTTCTCAGTTTTTATAGTATGGACGGGCTGCAAATTTTTTATTCTCTAACTTCTGGTTCCTTTCCAGTTAACAATTCCACCTTCAGTGCATTTCCTCTCTCATTTTACTATAAGCAGTCAAGAGGAGCCATGCTGATCTTTCAACACTTTGCCTCACATTCTACCTCCCACAAAATGCTAGAACACAAACAATACCATTCAGCATGTTCTTTGCTACTTCATCACAAGAACCCCCTTTTCTCCGTTGCTTGATAACATGTTCCTCATTTCTGCATATGAATATCAGAATAGTCTTTACCGTCCATGTTTCCACCAGCATCGTGTTCATGCTGACTTAGGTGTTCTGTAACAAGATGGACGCTTTCTCTACAGCTCTTCTCTTTTCTTTCTGAGCTCTCAGCAGAATCAACTTTGGAATGCCATTCACAGCAATCTAGGCTTTTTCTGGCATGCCCCTCAAAACTCTCCCAGCCTTTATCCATCACCCAATTCCAAAGCTGCTTCCACATTTTTAAGTATTTGTTATAAGAGCACCTGACTTCTCAATGCCAATTTTTGTCTTAGTCATTTCAGGCTGCTATAACAAAATGTCAAAGACTGAGTGGCTTCTAAACCATAGGAATTTATTTCTCACAGTTCTAAAGGCTGGAAGATCAGGGTGCCAGCATGGTCAGGTTCTGGTGAGGGGCCTCTTCTGGGTTGCAGACTACTGACTTCTCATTGTATCCTCACATGGAAGAATGAGGATGGAGAGTACTCTGGAGTCCCTTATATAACAGCACAAATCCCATTCACAAAGGCTCTGCCCTCATGATCTCATCACCTTCCAAAGTCCCCCATCTCCAAATACTGTCGCTTGGGGGTTAGGATTTCAACAAATGAATTTGGTGGACGTAACAGGAGAGTGCTTTGGTGGGATTCCAGTGCAAAGTATAGGATAAGCAGAGAGAAAGGAGAGAGAGTCAACAGAGGATAGGAGTTGAAAAGGGGATAAGAATGAGCCTGTGTGGGTAGAAAGGGGAAAGGAAGGTTTGTGAGAAGATCTGCCCAATGCAGCTGAACGTGTGTGTTCTTTGTTTATTATTTTCCCCTAACTCCGCAGCTCTGTTTCTTTCTCCTGTTGCTTTGAGAAAGCTGTGGAAGACAAAAGCATTCCACATATGGTGTAAAAACTGACCTTCTGCATGTCCCTATTCAAGAGAAGTCATTTTGATGCTATAAACAGAAATCCCATGACTTTAGGTCAAATCGAGAGGAAGTTTCCTGAAGACTTCAGAGGAAGCTCACAGAACCCAAGTAGAGTTGAGCCTAGTGGCAGGAGCTTGAACTGGAGGTTTGAGAACCCATATATGTATTGGTTTCTGCCTGCAAACCACACAAGCTAGGGGGGGTCCTAGAGTAGATCCTTTCTAATGGCCCTCAGAAGGAACCAGCCCTGCTGATACCTTGACCTTGGTGTTCTACCAAGACACCTTCACCTTGATCTTGAATTTCTAGCCTCCAGAACTTGGACAATAAATATCTTTTGCTTAAGCACCTGATTTGTGGTTTTTAGTTACAGTAGCTCTAGCATCTCTATATATACATAACATATATATATGTATGGGTCTACAAGACAAGGCACACCAAAAATTGCCAGGAAACCATGTATGTATCTTATGTATGTATGTATGTATGTATGTATGTATGTATGTATGTACAGAGAGAGAGAAAGGAGAGAGGGTCAATGGGGGATGCGGAGCTGTAAAGAGGACAAGAGTGACCCTTTTGAGGGTGAGGCATGTACATATCTCACCTCTCGGGTCTCTCAGGCCTGCCTCTCTATATACACCTGTTCCATTTCCCCCCTGCTGCTCACCTCCCCTTCATTAGTTATAGTTTCTGCTCCTCCTTTGTTATGACTTGAATTATGTCCTCCCAAATTCATATGTTGAAGTCTGAATGTCCAGTATCTCAGAATGTGACCTTATTTGGAAATAGTATCATTGTAGATATAATTAGGTCAACATGAGGTCATTAGCGTGAGCCCTAATCCAATATGACTGGTATCCTTAAAAAAGAGGGGGGAATTTGGACACACGGACACACACACACACACACACACACACACACACACACACACACACGGAGAATATCACATAAAGAGGAAGACAGAGATTGGAGTGATGGGTCTAGAAGACAAGGAACACCAAAGATTGCCAGGAAAGCACACAAGCTAGGGGAGAGGAGTGAAAAAGACCCTTTCTCACGGCCCTCAGAGGGAACCAACCCTGCTGCCAGCTTGACCTTGATATTCTCCCAAGACACCTTCCCCTTGTTGGTGTGCAGGCCCCTCCACCTTGGTCTTGGACTTGTAGTCTCCAGAACTAAGGCAATAAATGTCTGTTGCTTAAGCCATCTGGCTTGTGGTTCTCAGTTACAGCAGCCCTAGCACCCCTCACGCTGACCTGCTCCTGGCTTTGGTTTTCCATGGCAGACCTGCTCACCAGGAGCACAGCACAGGCTGACCACAGACCCTGAGTCTGTTAGCTCACACCCCACAGAGAGTCTGACTGCCCAAGCTCACCTGTTTAGGGAAGAGTCAGCACTGAACCTGGTACCACTTTCTGTGAGAGAAGTGGATAAAATTCTCTGCTATAAACTGGTCACCCAGGTTCCGTGCCTGCAACAGGGATTGAAGGGGATGAGGCAGTCAACAGAGAAGGGACACAGCTTCCAAACCCATGTCTGCTGCACCTCAAGTGTAACATTCTCTTCTACTTAACATATTCCTGGAACCCCAGTTCTCAGCCTGAACAAAAGGGTAACCAGCAGTATGGGGAAAACTTAGGGATCCCTCACTGCTCAGTGACCCCATTCATTCAAGAAGGTCAATAAAGCCTTTTATGAGATAGATATTGTCCTAGCTGCTGGAAATGTAAAGTTGAAGAAGACACTGTACTTTTCTGAAGGACCCCATGGCCAAGTGCAAAAGACAGACAATAGACATTAATATATTACTGGATGCTTGATTACTGTAACTTAAGGACTTTGCAGGCATTACACAATTTGGTCCCCTTAACAGCTCGATGGAGTAGACCTCTCTATTCCTGTTTTACAGAGGAGAAATCAGCATTGCACAGAGATGAAGAAACTTGCCTGAGGTCACACAACTGGTAGGTGGCGGATCTGGGCTAGGAACCAGGCCTGGCTGATGCCAGAGCCCTCATCTTCAATCCCTACATGGAGCTGCATCACATTCAGATACAGCAACAACACTTGACTGTACTGAAAAGCGGGACCAGCACCAAACAGAGCCACAAGCTGGAAGTGCTGGGGCAACAGAGGGAGGGGCAGTCCATTATGCCAGGAACTGACAGAGATGGAGAGGCTGAGTGTAAAAGGCCTGGATGTCTGGTTGCAGATTGATGCCTGAAGAGCTGGTGGGGGCATCTCTCTGGCATCATTGGTGGGTGAGAGGCAAAGAAGAATCTCATGCAGGAAGCTGGACAGGAAGGGATGGGTAAGGTGAAGAGATAGAGGCCTTGAACATCAGGCTGAGGGGTATGAAGTGAGAATATTAGGGTCCACAGACTTTTCTTGGCACAATATGATAATCTAAGCATATTTTTAAAGATGCTTCTGGCAGCCCTAAAAAGACGAAATATAAGAAGTTAGAGACGGGATGCCAGAGAGTATCATGGAGAGTACAGACAGAGAGGAGGGATTGAACAAAGGCAGTGACAAGGTGCTTGAAAGACAAGAGACTCCAGGAGGTGGAACACAGAGAGTGTCTTACACGGAAGAAATGAGAAGGTGGAATCCAGGCCTTATGGGGTCTCTTCTGTGTTTCTCCTGTAGGTGACTCTAAAATGTGCCTCTCAAAAATTTCCAATTTCTTCCCACAGTTTCTTTTCTTTTTTCTTTTTCTTTTTTTTTTTTTTTCAGACAAAATCTCACTGTCACCAAGGCTGGAGTGCAGTGGTGCAATCTCGGCTCACTACAACCTCCGCCTCCCGGGTTCAAGCGATTCTCCTGCCTCAGCCTCCCGAGTAGCTGGGACTACAGGCACCTGCCACCACACCCGGCTAATTTTTGCATTTTTAGTACAGACGGGGTTTCACCATGTTCATTAGGCTGGTCTCAAACTCCTGACCTCAAATGATCTGCCCACCTTGGCCTCCCAAAGTGCTGGGATTATAGGCGTAAGCCATCATACCTGGCCCTCTGTCCATGATTTCTAATGTTTTTCTTTTTATCTAGCTCCCCCAGTATTGGCCTATATGTTACAATAGCACTTGCCTGCACACACATGCGCACACGTACACATACAAACACACTGACTTGTCACATCTAGTACCTTTAATTATTTTACTGGAACAATTTCTTTGACGTAAGAAAAGGTAATCAGAATATCTTTTTCAGGAAGGCAAGCACGGGTTATATTCTTGACCTGATTCCAAACACCCAGCAAAATCTCTGGAGAGCAATTAATTAAACAGTTATCTATATGTCTGGCTTAGAGAATTTTCCTATCTTCTCTCTCAGTCTCTGTCTCCTGTCCTCCCTAACCTTTTTCTTATTCCCATTCCCCCACTTTGTACCTACTGGTTAAGAAGCTAAATTTCATTTCCCCTGGTGGTGGAACATAGCTTTGTTTTTTAAAGACACTCACAATCTAAGAGCTTTATTTTCTTTCCCCTTTTAACCATGTTGATGCTATATTTAGTAATTTTATTAAGGAGATAATTTACATAAATACCATACTGGTGCCCTGCTGAGTAGCAAGCTAACTAATTCTATTCTTCTCATTAGGGAAAACAGACAAACCAAATGAGATTTAAAGACTAGACAGATGAATTTGTGTCTGTGCTGAAGTCAGGCGTAGGGCCTCAGGAGACAGGTCCAGGGATGTGAGGAACAGAACACGGTGTTCCATCCACCAGCAAACAATTGATAGGAGGAAAGTAAGGTGGGAGGGAGAGGAAATAGATTTCAATAAAGGGGAAAAAACGCAGCACCAGGGTTTCACCTGGGGCACAGTGGGATCTTGGAAGAGCATCCACAGATCTCAGATGAAAATGCCCCTTTTTTTGCCCTCCTCGAGAGGCCCCAGCCACAACTTGACAAGTGCCAATGGACTAATCTTCCCAAGAGTTTTCTGTGGCTGTGTTTGGTCTCTGACATTTTCCATCTCATTCTCAGCTGCACCCGCATGGCAGGGAGGGACCAGATCTCTTCAATTGACACACTCAATCTCCTTCTCAGTTCCAAACATGTATACATGGTTTTCTTAATAAATACAAGGGAACCCTACTTTCAACAAAGCCAATAAATGGAAAGGCTGCTATGTACCACAGACATCAAGGGGTGGTTATTAGCTTTACAAAAAGACAAACCAGAGAATTCTTTCCAAACCCCAGCTCCCTCAGTGCATGGGAAATGAGATTCAATTTAGAAAAAAAAAATTCAATTGATACACAACTTTGGAGAATGCTCTGCTGTGAAAAGAAGACACAGCGGGGATGAGGCATTGATGATGATTAAGGAAAGGAAGAGGGCATAATTTCCTTCCTTCCCAATAGGTCTGATATTAAAATGTGGTGCAGGCCTAGTACGTACCAAATGCTTTCAAACACCTCCACCATGTCTGGTCCTTATAGGAGCCCTGGGGTAAGATTTGCTTTATGGTATAAATGAGGAAACGGAAGCTCAGAGAGGCTATGCCACTTGGACACAGCCAGGGAGGGGCAGGGCCAGCATCAGCACTCGGGTCTTTTGCCTCCAAGCCTCTCCTGCCACCCCACAATTCCTTCTTCCTCAGAGCCACATTTGCATGGGATTCTAAGGCTGCCTTTCCTTCTCTAAAAAAAAAAAAGCTTGTTGCAGAACATGAAAAGCAAACTCCCCTCAATGTCAATATACCCTTATTCTGGGAAAACAACTGTGTAATCCAGGGTCTTTTCCCTGTTTGGGCTATTAAAGATTGTAGGGAGCTCTAGGTATCCCCAGTGGATTCATAGGAAACAGAACCCCAGCACCAGATGGAGGCAATAGGCCCCAGAAGGAGGGTGGCCCGGGGAGTTGACACCCATGGGCTCCTTATTCTTTGACAACCTCATCTTGACCTTTGTGAGCCAAATGCAGAAGTTATTTGTGGCCAGTGCAGAGTAGCT